>NC_000005.10:112534049-112837079 GCF_000001405.40 Homo sapiens
CTTCCTCACCCTGTCCATGCTCTGATACCCTCCACAAGACCACCCTCCTCCTTGGGTTCCAACTCTGCACCAGGCTGCCACCCCATGTGTGACAAGGCATGAACTTTCTTCACCTTGCACAGGCTCTGGCTTCCTTAGGCAGCCCATACTCCCATGCAAATACCCACCTCAACTCATTTGACTCCAGTGTCTGGCCCTGGACAGCCTTCTTGGTGCAGATGCCCTCCTCAGCCTGCTTGGGGTCTGACATGCCACACCAATGCACCCCTCTGAGGCAAGGCCCTCCTCACCCAACTTGGGCTCTGACACCCCATTCTGGGCACCATAGCCAACTGTAATAGTTAATATTGAATGGACTGAAGGAGGCAAAGTGTTGTTTCTGGGTGTGTCTGTGAGGGTGCTGCCAAAGGAGATTAACATTTGAGTCAGTGGACTGGGAGAGGCAGACCCACCCTCAATCTGGGTGGGCATCAGCTAATCAGCTCAGGACCGAATTGTTCAGAATGGGAAAAGACAAGAACTTGGGAAAAGAGCTGCAAAGCCACCTTGTAGTAGCAGCAGTCAAGTAAAACCTCTCATGGTTATTTTAATTCTTCTCTTTCTTTGCTTTCAGATCTGGAAGGTTAAGAAAGCACAATTATCAGGCTGGGGGAGGAAGGGCATAGGAAGGGAAAAGGAACCAACTACACCCCTCCTCCAGTTGAAGGCTTCCTGGTAGGGGAGGGAAGATTTATATTTGAATCAGGTTCAGAGTTTTGCCTTATATGGGATGAGAAATTTTGACTTCCGAATTGAGACTGTGCTTGGTGACTAAGAGTGGCAATCGTTTTATTAGTTAAGTGTGTTAAGGAAAGCCATAGGACTGCTGATGTTTTTTATCCAAGAGCCAAGGGAAAACTTTCCCCATTGAATAAATATAAAAGGAAAGTGAGGGACAAATTATACCACCTTATCATTCCGCTCCATGAGGCCTGCTTGCTCCGTGCCTTCATTACATACATTTGCAGTGGCTGCCAATCTAGAACAAACAGGGGTTTTCTATAATTTCCAAGAGGCCCCAACTGTCTGAAAATCTACAGAGGAAACAAAAGTCCTTATGGTAACCCTTTTTTGGTTGTTCATTTCTTTAAAGATTGACAGGGTTTTGTTTGTTTTGTTTTTTGTTTTGTTTTGTTTTGTTTATCATTCTGTAATTAGGGAGAGTGTTCCAACAACAAAAATATATTATTTCTAGGTAACTGAGGTATAACTAAGAAGACCTCAAGGGCAAAATTCTGCTTTCTCTTTAAATCTCTCGCAAGCACATCTCTAATTTTATTTCTGCCTTTGTTGCTGTCTCATCTTAACTTCATCTTAGTAAAATTGTCATCAAAATCTTCTTGGGAGAGAAGAAGACTCACAGTCCGTGCCCATGGTGGTTTTTATCTGCCTGAACACAAGCCAAACATCTTGGGGCCAGTATCCTCAGAGGTCTTCCTTTATCACTGAGCTCTCCCTTGTACTCACCTCAGCCTCACTGCTGGGTGGGTCTATCTCCTGCCATCTATGCACCACCCAGGTCCTCCACTCTGCTGAAACTTCTTTTGAGCTATTAGGTTTGGATCATTCCTGGGACTTTTGTAATCTCTCACATTTTAGACGTGGTCCACTGAAAATAGAGTAAGTTTAATTCCAAATCCAACACCTTCATCTCTTTTGAGGGAGGCAAAAATTGATCACCTCTTTCCTACGGTAATGTTGTTGATCTTGTTTTTAGTTTATCTCTGTAATTCCCACTTTGTCTAGCACAGTGCTTTGAACATAATCAGAACTCAGTAAATATCTACTGAATGGATGAATTCATTCCATGAAGAAAGAACATGAAAGGATGATTAATGGAGGCAATTAGCCAGATAATTAAAAAGTATTTTTCCTCTACTATTCAGACATTTCAACAAGAGGATTTTTTGTTAACTACACAGATAATTACTTTAATATACCACATCACTCTTTATACATGTGTGGGACCCAATATTTGTATACACGTATGGCCTGACAAAAAATAGGTAACAGTTGTTGGATAAAGAATTATATTTGCAGAAATAGAATGGAAAAGATACTGTTAACAGTATTATTTCTGGGAAAAGAGGAAAGGGAATTGTTGGATCAACAAGGTCACTGGTCTTGTAGTTTTTACTGTATACACTTCTATATTTATACAGTGTTTTAATTTTTGTGAGCACGTATTTTCAATATTAATTTCTTAAAATTGTATTAACTAAGCAGAAAACTAAGCAGAGATATTGCGGACCTGAACTTTTGAGCTTTTAGCTTCATGGGTTCGTATTACGGGATACAATGCCCATGGGGTAGCAAATGCCTCCAGGGAACAGGCAAGTAAAATACATAAGCAAAGTGGACTGCAATATGGACTGCAGCAAGTGGGGGCAAGGCAAGCCCTGTGCACAGTGGCCAGGTGCTGCCAAGTCCAGCCAATTACTGTTACACAGAAACATGGGACCAATGTTGTCAGATCACCCAGTTTTCAAAAGAAGTTCAAAATCTAGAATATTTTTAGAGAAGTTTCCTGATTTTTAAATGAAAGCAATTGATTGAAAAGGTTTGAGGTTTAAGATGCAGGCAAAACAAAATGTCTGTGGCCTAAATTCAACCTGTTTGCACACTCTGACTTAGGTAATAGCCTAGGGTAGATTGTTCGTTTGTTTGTTTTTAAACAGATGTAGAGGTTTCATGAAATTTTCTCATCCTTTGGCTATTTTTCTCTTATGCAGATTGTCAGTTAATATTCCAGAGTCTACAAAGGGCTGCAGGGATTTCCATGATGACTGAGCAGCAGGGCCCAGAAACCATCAATCCTCTGTAGGTTTATAAACTGATTCCCAGTTGGCACAGCATTCTGGGGTGGTCATAAAGAATAAGGTGTAGGGAGTAGTAGCATGCTTCCTGAGGGCTTCGAGGGCCAATAACTGAAATTAGGTTTATAGAAAATAATCACAATAATGGCAGGGAGTGGCCTTCAAATCCTAGAGCTATGGCCAATTGGAGTATGAAACTCTAAAGGAGCCATGAAGGCCACAAGGTCAGTAATGTGACATTTCAGTAGAAACAGATGTCAAGACAAATAAAAAGCATTTCTTCTCACATTAAAAACATTGAGATGGCAGATATATATGTAAGGAGATAAAGTCCATCCCAAATTCAGGCTTCATAATGAACATTGAGCCTTAAGGAAAGAATAATCCAGAACAGCCCAATGGAGTCTTATGTTCCATTTAAATCATCTGTAACACTATTCAGTAAAGACCATGAAGACACTGCACAGAAGCAGGTGAATGAATTCTGTCAAGCCACTTGCTGAATTACAGTATCATGCCAAGTACTTTCTCCTTACATATAATAATATCTACCATGCCACTTACCAGTGCTCACTACTGAAAATTTAGCTGAAAGCCAAGAAATAAACATTAACACACAAAAGCCCTCAAGGCATCTAAAACCAATCTCACAAGGCCAGGCAATAAGGATCACAAGGCTGATGAATGGGGCACCTTTTCATACAGCACATATTAACAATACTTAACACACAAAGCTAAAATAATGGGCTCTCTGGTTCTTCCATTAAAGTAATTTGGAAGCGGCAAGTAAGGACAATACCTGGCACATAGTAGGCACTCCACAAATTTATTGAGAAACAAATTAGAAACAAAACAGCTAGAATTATCAGCCAACTACCTGACAGGGAGAGAGGACATGTCCTGAAAAGTGGACACAGGCCTAAAGTAATCTATTATTCTGAAGCTATTAGGGGTACAAATAAAGCTCCTGAGAGCAGCACTCTGCACTGCACAACACAAAGCTCCTCTTACACCCTGGTTAAGAGGCTCAGCTTTGTAGCCAGGATCCAATTGCTACCTTACAGCTGGGTGAACTTGGTTAAGTACCTTAATCTCACTTAACATTGGTTTCCTCATCTGTAAACTCTGCCTCATAGGGTTGTGAGAATTCAATTAGTTAATACATGCAAAAATCATAGAATAGTGCAGGTACATAAAAAACATTCAATAAAGACTAGCTATGGACAAAAATACCATCATCATGAAAAAGACGACCTTATGTTCAGGATGATCTAATTAATAAGGCAGGAAAGTAAATAACAAAGGTATGGAAGATCTTCATCCAAAATTATTAAAACAAAATGTTTTGGTTTTGTAGAGAGCTGTTTTTAATTATCTGGAAAATTCATGTGAAATACTCCATTGAAAAGCAAATCTGCAGAGCTGAGGACAGTGTTCTGTGAAACACTGGAATTAGAGTGCCTAGACACGAGTTTCAGCTCTGCCAGTTGCCAGCTGTGTAGCACTGGGCAAGACACTTAAGCATGCTTCAGTTTTCTCATCCATAAAATTAAGATCATAGAAAAGTTGTTATCAGAACTATATTATGACTTCCATGGGCCCTGGGTACATTTGCCTTTATGAGTTGCTTCCTCCCTAAAATAATATTAAAAGTTGTTTGTACCACTGACTGAACTGCTGTAAAGACAAATATAATCTAGGCTGGTGATATGGTTTGATTGTCTCCCCAAAATCTGATGTTGAAATGTAATCTCAAAGATGGCTGAATAGGAGCAGCTCCGGTCTGCAGCTCCCAGTGAGACCAACATAGAAGGTGAGTGATTTCTGCAATTCCAACTGAGGTACCAAGCTCATCTCACTGGGACTGGTTAGACAGTGGGTGCAGCCCACAGAGGGTGAACAGAAGCAGGGTGGGGCATTGCCTCACCCAGAAAGTGCAAGGGGTTGGGGAACTGCCTCCCCTAGCCAAGGGAAGCTTTGAGGGACTGTGCCATGAGGGACAGCGCTGTCTGGCCCAGACACTAGGCTTTTCCCATGGTTTTCACAACCTGCAGGCCAGGAGATTCCCTCGGGTGCCTACACCACCAGGACACTGGGTTTCAAGTACAAAACTGGGTGGCCGTTTGGGCAGACACTGTGCTATCAGCAGGAGTTTTTTCTTTTTCATACCCCAGTGGTGCCTGGAATGCCAGCAAGGCAAAACTGTTCACTCCTCTGGAAAGGGGGCTGAAGCCAGGGAGCCAAGTGGTCTAGCTCAGTGGATCCCACCCCCATGAAGCCCAGCAGGCTACCATCACTGGCTTGAAATTCTCGCTGCCAGCATAGCAGTCTGAAGTCGACCTGGGATGCTCAAGCTTGGTGGGGGGAGGGGCATCCACCATTACTGAGGCTTGAGTAGCAGTTTTCCCCTCACAGTGTAAACAAAGCCACTGGGAAGTTCAAACTGGGCAGAGCCCACTGAAGCACAGCAAAGCTGCTGTAGCCAGACTGCCTCTCTAGATTCCTTCTCTCTGGGCAGCACATCTCTGAAACAAAGGCAGCAACCCCAGTCAGGGGATTACAGATAAAACTCTCATCTCCCTGGGACAGAGCACCTGGGGGAAAGGGGGCTGTGGGCGCAGCTTCGGCAGACTTAAACGTTCTTGCCTGCTGGCTCTGAAGAGAGCAGCAGATCTCCCAGCACAGTGCTCAAGCTCTGCTAAGGGACAGCCTTCCTCCTCAAGGGGTTCCCTGACTCCCCGTGCCGCCTGACTGAGACATTTCTCTACAGGGGTCGACAGACACCTCATACAGGAGAGCTCTGGCTGGCATCTGGCAGGTGCCCTTCTGGGACAAAGCTTCCAGAGGAAGGAGAAGGCAGCAATCTTTGCTGTTCTGCAGCCTTCACTGGTGATACCCAGGGACATAGAATCTGAAGTAGACCTCCAGCAAACTCCAGCAGACCTGCAGAAGAGGGGGCCTGACTGTTAGAAGGAAACCTAACAAACAGAAAAAAATAACATCAACATCAACAGAAAGGACATCCACATAAATACCCTACGCAAAGGTCATCATCATCAAAGATCAAAGGTAGATAAATCCATGAAGATGGGGAAAAACAAGTGCAAAAATGCTGAAAATTCCAAAAACCAGAATGCCTCTTCTCCTACAAAGGATCACAACCCCTCACCAGCAAGGGAACAAAATGGATGGAGAATGAGTTTGACGAACTGACAGAAGGAGCCTTCAGAAAGTAGGTGATAACAAATTCCTCTGAGCTAAAGAAGCACGTTCTAACCCAGTGCAAGGAAGCTAAGAACATTCATAAAATGTCACAGGAACTGCTAACCACAGTAACCCGGTATGAGAAGAACATAAATAACCTGATGGAGCTGAGAAACACAGCAAAAGAACTTCATGAAGCATACATAAGTATCAATAGCCGAATTGATCAAGGCGAAGAAAGGGTATCAGAGATTGAAGATCAACTTAATGAAATAAAGTGTGAAGACAAGATTAGAGAAAAAGAATGAAAATGAATGAACAAAGCCTCCAAGAAATATGGGATGATGTGAAAAGACCAAATCTATGTTTGATTGGTGTACCTGAAAGTGATGGGGAGAATGGAATCAAGTTGGAAAACACACTTCAGGATATTATCCAGGAGAACTTCCCCAACCTATCAAGACAGGCCAACATTCAAATTCAGGAAATACAGAGAATATCACTAAGATACTCCTCGAGAAGAGCAAGCCCAAGACACATAATTGTCAGATTCACCAAGGTTGAAATAAAGGAAAAAATGTTAAGGGCTGCCAGAGAGAAAAGTCAGGTTACCTACAAAGGGAAGTGTATCAGACAAACAGCAGATCTCTCTGCAGAAACCCTGTAAGCCAGAAGAGAGTGAGGGCCAATATTCAACATTCTTAAGGAAAAGAATTTTCAACCCAGAATTTCATATACAGCCAAACTAAGCTTCAAAAGTGAAGGAGAAATAAAATCCTTTAGGGACAAACAAATGCTGAGGGATTTTGTCATCACCAGGCCTGCCTTATAAGAGCTCCTGAAGGAAGCACTAAATATGGAAAGGAAAAACCAGTACCAGTCACTGCAAAAACATAGCAAAATGTAAAGACCATCGACACTATGAGGAAACTGCATCAACTAATGTACAAAATAACCAGCTAGCATCATAATGACAGGATCAAATTCACACATAACAATATTAATTTTAAATGTAAATGTCCAAATGCCCTAATTAAAAAACACAGACTGGCAAATTGGATAAAGAGTCAAGACCCATTGGTGCGCTGTATTCAGGAGACCCATCTCATGTGCAAAAACACACATAGGTTCAACATAAAGGGATGGAGGAATATTTACAAAGCAAATGGAAAGCAAAAATAAGCAGGGGTTTCAATCCTAGTCTCTGATAAAACAAACTTTAAAGCAACAATGATCAAAAGAGACAAAGAAGGCCATTACATAATGGTAAAGGGATCAATTCAACGAGAAGAGCTAAATATTCTAAATATATATGCACCCAATATAGAAGAACCCAGATTCATAAAGCAAGTCCTTAGAGACCTACAAAGAGACTTAGAGACTCCCACACAATAATAGTGGAAGACTTTAATACCCCACTGTCAATATTAGACAGATCAATGAGACAGAAAATTAACAAGGATATTCAGGACTTGAACTCAGCTCTGGACGAAGTGGGCTTAATAGACATCTACAGAACTCTCCATCACAAATCAACAGAATATACATTCTTCTCACCACCACATAGCACTTATTCTAAAATGGACCACATAATTGGAAGTAAAACACTCCTCAGCAAATGCAAAACAACAGAAATCATAAGAAACAGTCTCTCAGACCACAGTGGAATCAAATTAAAACTCACGATTAAGAAACTCACTCAAAACTGCACAACCTCATGGAACCTGAACAACAACGTGCTCCTGAATGACTACTGGGTAAATAACGAAATTAAGGCAGAAATAATTAAGTTCTTTGAAACCAATGAGAACAAAGACACATCATACCAGAATCTCTGGGACACAGCTAAAGCAGTGTTTAGAGGGAAATTTATAGAACTAAATGCCCACAAGAGAAAGCAGGAAAGGTCTAAAATTGACACCCTAACATCACAATTAAAGGAACTAGAAAGCAGAGCAAACAAATTCAAAAGGTAACAGAAGACAAGAAATAACTAAGATCAGAGCAGAACTCAAGGAGATAGAGACACAAAAACCCCTTCAAAAAAAATCAATGAATCCAGGAGCTGGTTTTTTGAAAAGATTAACAAAATAGCTAGACCACTGGCCAGACTAATAAAGAAGAAAAGAGAGAAGAGTCAAATAGATACAACAAAAAAATGATAAAGGGTATATCACCACTGATCCCACAGAAATAAAAACTACCATCAGAGAATTCTATAAACACTTCTATGCAAATAAACTAGAAAATCTAGAAGAAATGAATAAATTCCTGGACAAATACACCCTCCTGACACTAAAGCAGGAAGAAGTCAAATCCCTGCATAGACCAATAACAAGTTACGAAATTGAGGCAGTAATTAATAACCTACCAACCAGAAAAAGACCAGGACCAGATGGATTCACAGCCAAATTCTACCAGAGGTACAAAGAGGAACTGGTACCATTCCTTCTGAAACTATTCCAAACAATAGAAAAACAGGGACTCCTCCCTAACTCGTTTTATAAGGCCCACTTCATCCTGATAACAAAACCTGGCAGAGACACAACACAAAAAGAAAATTTCAGGCCAATATCCCTGATGAACACTGATGTGAAAAAACTCAATAAAATACTGGCAAACCAAATCCAGCAGCACATCAAAAAGCTTATCCACCGTGACCAAGTTGGCTTCATCCCTGGGATGCAAGGCTGGTTCAACATATGCAAATCAATAAATGTAATCCATTACATAAACGGAATCAATGACAAAAACCACATGATTATCTCAATAGATGCAGAAAAGTCCTTCAACAAAATTCAATACCTCTTCGTGCTAAAAACACTCAATTAACTAGGTATTGATGGAACATATCTCAAATAATAAGAGCTATTTATGAGAAACCCATAGCCAATATCATACTGAATGGGAAAAAGCTGGAAACATTCCATTTGAAAACTGGAATAAGAAAAGGATGCCCTCTCTCACCACTCCTGTTCAACATAGTATTGGAAGTTCTGGCCAGGGCAATCAGGCAAGAGAAAGAAATAAAGCGTATTCAATAGGAAGAGAGGAAGTCAAATTGTCTCTGTTTGCAGATGGCATGATTGTATATTTAGAAAACCCCATCGTCTCAGCCCAAAATCTCCTTAAGCTGATAAGCAACTTCAGCAAAGTCTCAGGATATACAATCAATGTGCAAAAATCACAAGCATTCTTATACACCAATAACAGACAAACAGAAAGCCAAATCATGAGTGAACTCCCATTCACAATTGCTACAAAGAGAATAAAACACCTAGGAATACAACTTACAAGGGATGTAAAGGACTTCTTAAACTACAAACCCCTGTTCAAGGAAATAAGAGAGGACACAAACAAATGGAAAAACATTCCATGGTCATGGATAGGAAGAATCAATATCGTGTAAATGGCCATACTGCCCAAAGTAATTTATAGATTCAGTGCTATTTCCATCAAGCTACCATTGACTTTCTTCACAGAATTAGAAAAAACTGCTTTAAATTTCATGTGGAACCAAAAAAAAGCCAGTATAGCATGACAATCCTAAGCAAAAAGACCAAAGCTAAAGGCATCGCAGTACCAGACTTCAAACTATACTACAAGGCTACAGTAACCAAAACAACATGATACTGGTACCAAAACAGATATATAGACCAATGGAACAGATCAGAGGCCTCAGAAATAACATTGCACCTCTACAACCATCTGATCTTTGACAAACCTGACACAAACAAGCAATGGGGAAAGGATTCCCTATTTAATAAACGGTATTGGGAAAACTGGCTAGCCATATGCAGAAAACTGAATGTGGACCCCTTCCTTAAACCATATATAAAAATTAACTCAAGATAGATTAAAGACTTAAACATAAGACCTAAAACCATAAAAATCCTAGAAGAAAACCTAGGCAATACCATTCAGGACATAGGCATGGGCAAAGACTTCATGAATAAAACATCAAAAGCAATGGCAGCAAAAGCCAAAATTGACAAATGGGATTTAATTAAAGTAAAGAGCTTCTGCACAGCAAAAGAAAGTATCATCAGGGTGGACAGGCAACCTACAAAATGGGATAAAATCTTGGCAATCTATCCATCTCACAAAGGGCTAATATCCAGAATCTACAAGGAACTTAAACAAATTTTTGAGAAGAAAACAACCCCATCAAAAAGTGGGCAAAGGATATGAACAGACACTTCTCAAAATAAGGCATTTATGCGGCCACAGACATATGAAAAAAAGCTCATCATTACTGGTGGATGACACTGGAAAATCAAAACCACAATGAGATACCATCTCACACCAGTTAGAATGGTGATCATTAAAAAGTCAGGAAACAATAGATGCTAGAGAAGATGTGGAGAAACAGCTTTTACATTGCTGTTGGAGTGTAAATTAATTCAACCATTGTGGAAGACAGTGTGGTGATTCCTCAAGGATCTAGAACCAGAAATACTATTTGAGCCAGCAATCCCATTATTGGTTATATACCCAAAGGATTCTAAGTCATTCTACCCTAAAGACACATGCACACATATATTTATTGTAGCATTATTTACAATAGCGAAGAGTTGGAATCTACCCAAATGCCCACCAATGATAGACTGGATAAAGAAAATGTGGCACATATACGCCATGGAATACTATGCAGCCATAAAAAAGAATGAGTTCATACCCTTTGCAGGGACATGGATGAAGCTAGAAACCATCCTTCCCAGCAAACTAACACAGGAACAGAAAACTAAACACTGCATGTTCTCACTCATAAGTGGGAGTTGAACAATGAGAACACATGGACACAGGGAGGGGAACATCACAAAACGGGGCCTGCTGGGGGGTAGGGGGTAAGGGGAGGAGTAGCATTAGGAGAAATACCTAATGTAGATGACAGGTTGAGGGGTGCAGCAAACCACCATGGCACATGTATACCTATGTAACAAACCTGCACATTCTGCACATGTATCCCAGAACTTAAAGTATAATAAAAAAAAATCAAACTCACAAACAAAAAAGAAAGAAATATAATCTCCAGTGTTGGAGGTAGAGCCTAGTGGGAGATGACTGGATCATATGGATAGACTTTGTGTGAATGGTTTAGCACCATTTTCCTTGGTGCAGTGATGCAATCACAGCTCACTACAGGCTTAACATCTTGGGCTCAAGCATTCCTCTGTCCTCAGCCTCCCAAGTGGCTGGGACTACGGGTGCATGCTGCCATGTACAGCTAATTATTTTTTATTTGGAAAGACAAGGTCTTGCTATGTTGCCCAGGCTGGTCTTGAACTCCTGGTCTCAAGCGATCCTCTTGCACTGGCTTGACAACCACCTTTGAATTCTTCATTCATGCGCAGGGGCTCAAAATCCATTCCCCTCTCAAGCCTCTTGGCCAGCCTCTGGTCCTCCAGAGAGCAGTCTCTCAGACACTGTCCTCACTACCAATGTAAACTCATAAGCACAATTTAGTCAGGTTACTTCTTGTGCCTGTGTGTCTGCTTTCCCTGGAACCATGCACTGTACATGAGCAAGTAGCTCAAGACATGAAATGGATGAGCTTTACTTTTCTCATTCTCATCTCCGCTTCCCGATGTGGAAGCATTTCCAAGTGTCTGAACTCCTAAGACTAGTGTTGGGCCAGATCCCAACACACGCATAAAACTAAAAGGATACCCTTCATCCAACAGCTTTTTTTTTCTTTTCCTTCTTCACCTGTCTCTAGCTGCATCTTCTTATTTGTGTTTTAAGTTAGACAGTGTTGAGAGCAGGAAGTCACCATTTAGTATTCAAAGAGGCGTTCTGATCTGGCCATGACAAGGTAGAGAATAAAATAAAACCCATTGTAAAACCCTTCAAAGTAATCTGAGTAAGCTGTGCGGATTTCATAGTGACCAGCCACAAGCTTCTGGCTGCGAGCACCTAGCTTGAATTTCTCTGCTACCAATAAATATGGGAGAAATCTTTTGCCAATTCTCTAGAGAAATAAAAACAAGATATACTAAGATCAGATATTCCATATTTATTTTGTAGGAATTGATAATTGCTTTACCTTGAGAATTTAGGCTGAGAAGAGTTTGAATTTACATGTGAAAGTTATGGTCATCTTCAGCTAATTCAGTCCCTACCTCATCCTTTTATTGGTCACATTATACAAAATCATAAGATAGGTATCATTTCATATCATTCTCTTAAAGTAAAAACAACCTGGAAATCATCTCGTTTACTCACTTCATTTTACAGATGAGGAAACTGAGACCCAGAGGAGCAAAGCTCAGGGTCACACACCACATATTAGGTAGTGTTAGGAGCACAGATGGAACTGGCTTCTGGCTCCCTGTCAGCCCTGCCCCAATTTTACAGCACAAAGAATCAAAGAAAAGAAATGTTATCTTAGTATTTGTGAAGTTTTTTTCTGATTAAATGCCAAATAAATTAGCTTCAGATTCAAAACTCCTTTATATAATAATTCAAAGACCTAAAACGCATCGGGAAAACTTATTCAAAATTTGCAACATACAAACATTATTGTTCTTATTAAATTTAAAAATATTTGTGTACTTGCACACATACAGACTTACAAGTCAATAATCCCTAGAATTTGAGCTTATCCAGAAACTTGCTTGTTTATTTTCTTCCAAGAACCCATTTAATGACAGTTCAAGGACAATGAAACCTTAGTGTTACAGGGTTCATAATTTTTACTGGTGTTCCAGTAATAATCATATACTGGAATTACTTTCACCAAGTATGGCCTTAGTGGAAATAACCAAAATAAGGTTTGATTTAATTCATGTCAACGATATTGCATTAAGTGTTAAAGAAGGGTGTAGGCAATGGTGGTAGAGCTGGGCATAGCTGACCTGAAACATGGCCTGGGGTCCAGGCATACTAGACTAGCCTTGCCCTGATATAGTCGCTGTGCCCAAGAGAAAGAAGTGACTCGTTTTCCAGGCCCACAATTCCTGCTGTGGCTGAGTGACCATGGAGAATTATGCCAATTATGATGCAGCTGTCATGAAGTCTGGATGGGTCTAGAAAGCCATTGCCCATGCTGTTTAGCAGGAAGAAGTCTCTCTGTGGCTTGGAAGTCTCCCAGGTTCCAGCAGAGGAGCTTTCTGGGCTGAAAAGCCTTTGACACCAGCAATGACATGCCCAGGAGGAGAGTATCCATGAGAGGACCATTTCCAGAAAAAAAAAAAAAAAAGCAAGAAGCACAAAGAACACCCAGATGGGGCTGGAGATTGAGAGTACCTGCTGGATGTCTGGCTGAGCTGGTCTCCTTCAGTTGCCTGAGGAGATAGTGCATGCCCCTGATTTGGAGGAATGCCTGGTCTGTCACTGGCACTGATACACTTTGGACCAGGTTGTATGGAAGGCACTATATGCCAGATGCCTGTCTGTCTGACCATGTTTCCGTCACCCAGAAGCAGCTGGCCTGAAAGAATGGTGGACTGATTCATTGAAAAGTAGGTTACAGTGCCGGTTAAAAGACAATATCCTCAAAGGACCGTGTTCTGTCTTATAGGACACAGTATATGTTAGAATTAATGACCAGTATTTGGTGCTGTCTCATCCACAGCCAGAATACATGGGTCCAGGAATCAAGGATGGATGGCAGAGTGGTTCCTCCCACTAATACACTTGATAAGCTTCTTACAGAATTTATGCACCCCATTCCTGCAATGGCAATCTGCACTGGTTTGAAGCACTTATTCTAAAGGAAAGAATGCTTCCTTTCAGGAACACAGCAATGATTCCATTGAATTGGAAAAGTAGGCTGTCAAGTGGTCATTTGGGGGTACTCATGCTCCTGAACCCACAGGCAAAGAGGAGGATTACTCTCCTGGCTGGGATGATTGATCCTGAATACCAAGAACAAATTGTGTTGTGTAAACTAAAAATAAAATCCTACCCTGCCCCCGCCAACCCTGGCCTCTCTACTGAGAACAGACTCTCTTGTAGCTGAGGGGACCCCAGAAAAAGCTTAAAACTGAGTTCCTGACCATCATGGGACAGCAGGTCAGACTACCTCATTAGACCTCCTTTTATGGCTTAGACAGAACAAGTGACCAGCCTAAATGTTAAAATAAAGATCATAAGTTTAACACAACAGACTCTTGGTGACAATAAGATACCAACATATAAAAAGGACCTAAGGCCATGTCAGGCAAGAGTTAAGTCACGCATCCCTACACTTGAAGAATAATCTATGTTCTAACTGCCACAAAATTTTTCTTTTTCTCCAGCAACTAAACAAGCACTGGCCTCAAGATAAGCACGATTAAAACAGTCACAACTCATCCAGCTCACAGACGCTGACTCACTGGACTGTTCCACCAGCCATAACTACAGTTTTCACTGGACAAGAGACTGACTTCAATAACTTTCCCCAGATAAGAAAACCACCAACCCTGGACTGGTTCTGGCCAGTTTACAAAGATTATGCACTTGCATCCCTTCATGTCTTGAAAAGATCTTTTGAAGTACAGGGCCTCATTATAATACACTTAAATGTTGCATCTCCACCCCAAAGTGAACATGGGTTTTATATTACTTGCATGTTTGTTCAAGACGTATGCATCAGGGCCACCTTCATGAATATTCACAGCTCCTCCTGTAACCTGTTGAATATGTATGTTTAGTCAACCTGTTCAGTATAAAACTTATACCCCAACCCCTCCTCCTTCCAAGTGCCTGTTTCTGGGCTCCAGCCAGAGGCTGTACTTCCCAGTCTGAAGGATGGCCATCTTATAGGCTGTAACACTTTAGATGAAATAGTCTCTTCTCCCGTTCTAAATTTATACATCTTGTGATTTTTAAGTTAACAGTTGCTACTGCAAAATGAAAGTAGGGAGGACCATGTCTCAGATGCTGGGGATTTTCTGGGATGTATCTTAGTACTTCCATGAGTAATAAAGTTAATGGAAAATTCCAGCAATTAAAACAAGAGACAACCACTGAGGTCTCAGACACTTAGGAATTCATTCCAACATTTATTCAGGAATTGATATTTGCATTACCCCTAAATACTGGGGCATGATAAACTAGCATCATCACTCCCCTTAGAACCAGCATCATCATACCCCCTAGAGACCCCAGCACCAACCAGTTAGCACCTCTCCTTGAAGGTCACGGTCCTACCTATTCCCTACCAGGGGCCACCTTCAAAATCCTGAGGCAATAGTACAATGCAATGACCCTCAACCCGGTCTCAGAGGTTTCAGTTTCAGCTCTGCGGGGCACCACCTCCTTCAAGCTTCTAAACTTTAACAACTCCAAACTCTTTCATGTATTCACCCAGTTCTAGAGCAGTAACTGCTTCTACGATTTCTGCCTTCTCAGTGTTTCCTTTCTGCCTTTTCATTTCTTGAGTACTTGATTAAAAAATCTTTACATGAAATCTCCCTGTTCAAATAATCAGTGTGATTTCTGTCTCTTGACTGTACAGTTGATCTTCCATAAACCCTATGAGATTATATCCATTTTTCAGATGAGAAAACAGACACATAGAACAGATGAGTAACTGGACCAAGGCCACACAACCAGTACAACACAGGAATAGGACTTAAACCCGGGTATTTCTCATTCCAAAGCCCTTGTTCTTTTAAACACTGCACAGTTCTGCAAGATGAAGGCAGATCTTTTACATTGTTCTCTGACCTCTTCTAGCAATGATACTGGTATTCAAATTAGACTGGGTGGAAACAAGGTAGGTCATGTAAATGCAAGAGCGAGTGCACCTGCAGCTTTAAGAGAATATATGACACAGGGTCCAAGTGAATTATCTTCCAAAACACTCAAGTAGCCTGCAGACATGATTGGAGATACTGTAGTAATCTCCAAGAAAACATGAGGAGCTTCTGGAACACTGAGATAGTTAAATATTTTTGCCTTTAGAAAATAGATATAGAGATATTTAGTCTTGACATTAAACCCCAGGAAAAACCTAGGATGACCCTGTGTGTACTTTTAACAAAAACTGCCTGTTCTCTGGTTGGACACATGGGATACATTCTGGAGGGACATCAAGAAGTGCTGCTGCCACCTCCAGCCAAGGGCTGGGCATGGGACTCAAGCCAATCGGATACTCTCTCCTTAAAATGTGATTCTTGATCAGAGAAACAAAAGACTAAAACTATTGTTGCTGAAACAGTAGCAGTACCATGAAAATACTGTTCATTAGTTTCAATTGCACATATTCACCTGAAAGTTACAAGGAGAAGACTATAACTTCTTTATGTTCAGGGACTTCATGTTCAGAGTTCATATTGTTAACCACTAGATCCAAAGTGCCCAGCACAGTACCTGGCATAGAGTAGGTGCTAAATAAATATCAGCTGTGTGAATAAATAAAAATAATAAAGAATTTCCAACAATTTAACAATGCAATTGTTATATCATGAAGTAGTGAGTTCCTTGTCACTGAAGAGATTAAAATAGAGCCCATCTCTCAGCATGACAAAAAAAAATTCCTGCATTGAGTAGGTGGTCTCCAAAAAGCATTCTACTTCTGGCTTTGTAATTCCACAACTATTTCTTATTTACTCTTAAAAAACATATTTTAAAGTAAAAATAGAACACCATATTCACACAATATACAGAACACAAACTAGGTGGTCGGGACAAGAGATATATGACATTTTTTCAAAAGTAGGGTAGCATTTCTTCACATGCTCACAAAAAAGGCCAGCAAAAGCTGTTGCAGGAGATGTAAACCATCACTGGACTTGTTTGCAGTGACCTACACTTGATCTATTTCTAGTCTCAAGGAAAGCGAAATAAGAAAATGGATAGTTTGGTTGCCATGGTTATTCCCAGCCACCAGCTCACCTCACCACCCATTTTCCATCATTTCTAATAACCTAGTTTCCCAGAGTGATACTGTAGGAGCCAATAACCCAGGCTCTTTATTAAATGGTTTCCCCTGGTGCCACCCTCATCCAGCCACTTTTTACAGCTTTCCTTTGTCTCACCAGTCTTCAGCATGGCTCAGGAATGAAAAATACTCACCTAAAACTACCAAGATTTTTCAGTGCAGGGAAATCTTGTGCTTGGTTGCATCCACTTAAGATTCTGAATGGTTTATGTCTTCCTGAACTTTAAGGATAAATTCCTCTGTGGCCAAGGGGAAAACAGTTGAGATGGTGGGTTGCTATTTTCTTTAACATTGATTTTACTTACTTTATAATCAGCCTACTTTGCCTGGGAAAGGAAGGTGACATTTAAGAAAACAGTCTGGAGAATGTGCTATCTGGTGAAACTCAGCTAGACAGCTCTCTTGGTTGTTTCAGATTTCTTTAGTAGCTAACAAAGACAGTAGCTCAACTTTTGGCAGAAGCCCATGAGAATGGAAAGTATCCATTTGGAGTCTCTTAGGAGATACTTTGTGGGAAATTGTGCTTCCTTGGTAAATTCTGGTCTATATTACAGCAGGCTGTGGAAGTGTGGCTTTCTATACACACAGTTTTTTAAAAGGTATTGCTGGTGACACAGATCTACACATCTAAACACTAGGGGGCAACCTTGCCTTTTGTGTCACCAATCAAAGCCATTTTACAGAACCATAATATTTAAGGAAATACATGGAACCATCAAATCTCAGCCTTCTTCTTCACCAGTTTTATTTTAATATTGGCATCCAGATGTTACAAACGGCCAAAGGCCATTCTTAAAAGCAGATCCAAATTAGGGGAGGATTAAATGTATATAGACTTGAGTTTTTCATAGCATTCACTGGAAGGAACATCAGCAGCCTCACAACTGTTAGAATTCCCTCCCGCTCTGGGTGTGGACATTCATTGATTAAACGTTTATTTCAGGCAGCGGGGATTCTCTGGTGAACAAGAGACAAGGTCCTTGCTTTTGTGGAGCTTGCACTGAAGTAGAGGAGACAGATACTAACCAAGTAAACGAAAATAATTTTAGGTAATAATTTCAATGAAAAATAACACCGTAATGGAATAGAAATAGGGCATGAGGGGAAGAGAACAGTGCCAGGAAAGGCCTTAGAGAAGCTGGCATGTGACCTGAAGCCCAGATGAGAAGGAGCCAGCCAGACCAAGGGCTGGGGGAAGAGTGGTCCAGGCAGAGCGAAGAGCAAGTGCAGCAGCCCTGGGTAAGGACAAGCTTTGGGTGTTTCAGAATAGAAAGAAGCCAGTGTAGCCAGAGCATGGAGAGGGGAGGGAAAGGTGGGATAAAATGAGGCTGGAAGACCATCCGGGTTCAGACCACATAAGGACTGGTTGGCCAAGGAAGGAGATGAATTGTATTCTAAGTTCGATAGAAAGCAGTGGAGGAAGAGTCCAAAGGGCGAAGGGACTCGAGTTCACCTTCGCTGTTATCGCCGAGGATGTATTCTGCTCCTGACAACACTCACATTGCTCCAACCTAGGACCTCTCAGCCCAGAACAGAGCTCAGAAGCCCAGCACACCCCAACGAAGGCATCCTTTAGAGTGTGGATCCGTGCAAGGAAAAGGCAGAGGCAGAGGCAGAGGCAACATTTTGGAAACACTGAACCCTGTGGCCAGTACCCATTTTCCTCTGAGAAAATATTTCAATCCACAAACCTCCTTTAGGCCAGAAAGGAAAAACAAAAGAGGTAGAATTTCCCACTGTGATATGCACAGATCAAATTTAGGCTCTAGGACACCTGAGTTCTGTGTGGCTCTCTTTTTTGCCTGGCACCAAACAATGAAGCTTTATGATAAACAATGATGGTGACAATTTGACAGGAGACTTGGTCTATCTCTTGCACTAACTAAGGCATTTTAGTCAGAGGGCAAACATTCTGTAGTAAATGAAGGCTGGCTCAGTTAGCCTGAAGCAAGACTTTCCTGTCCACGCAGTCATACCCAGAGTTGTTTATGAGCCGCTCTGCTTACTTAGCTTTGTGGTGGGGCACTGACTGGCATCTCAGCAGGCTGGAGTAGAAGGGAAGAGGAGGCCTTGCCACCTGACTACACAAAACAAAGGTGTAGGACTGCATTTTCCCACATAACTGCATGTGGGCACGCAAGTGCTCACAGACCGATAAGCTGCTTTTCTATGACTTTTTCCCCTTTTTGAGGTTGTTCTGGATGAATGTCATTACCTGAGAAACTGGCCCATACAAGTAACATAAGTGAAGAATGTATATGTTGCAGGGTCTGCATCCAAGAGGAGAGGATGTGCCCCATCGAAAGGGAACAGCTGCCACCCAGCTCCAGTCAACTGTTTCCATGCAGGAATGTGGGGCCAATGCTGTAAGATCTCCTGATTTGTCTACAGAAACTGGAAATCCAGATTTTTTTGTGCGATCTCCTCTTTAAATGTTTGCAAATGATTTAATAAAAAATATCGCTGAGCTGCCAAGTAAATTGTGTCTGTGGGCTTGACATGGTCTGTGGGTCTCTCATGTATGAACTCTGCTTTAGTCAATTTTCTAACATTTATGAAAATTTCAAGTGTATAGAGAAGGTGAAATAACTACAGTGCACAGCTCTAGATGCCTATCACCTAGATTCCACTTGCTTTCTCACCTATCTTTTCATTTATTTATTTTAACTGTATGGGAATTTGAAGGGGCAGGAAAGAAGGAAGGAGAGGGGAAAGTCCTGTAGAGGTGACTCTCGTATCAACTCATCTCTGAAAGTTCAATTGCATCCATTCACCTGGTTTTCTATTTGGCCTTGATGTAAAACTGGACCCCCAAAATGAGGGACTTCAAAGCCCTTTTCAGCTGGGTGCCTTGAGCAGATCCAATCTGCCTCACAAAGTGAGATTCCAGGGCTAAGCCCCTTGATGCTGGAGGGTTTTGTGAATTAGGGAGAACACATCTTCTCCCATCTCCCTGGACATGGAGATGAAGTGAGAGAAGTGAGAGAAGTGAGGCCTACAAGATCTGGGCAGTGCTATGGGTTATGGATTGCCTTCCACTGACCACAGTTTAGTCAGAAAGGGCCAGATGCAAACCGTGGGATCTCGACCAGGAGGAAAAGCATGCATTTAGAGGTGTCACTCACTCTGAGTATGTGTGAGCAGGCCTCTTTGCACAAGGGATGCTCATTTTGTGTGAAAAGTTAGAGACGAAAGCTTTGACTGTGCAAACTGATTATTTTAATTAAGTCCCATGAGACTTGATGCAGAATGCTTTGCAGAGGTTGAAAATAGCCTGTATCTGGGTTCCCACATGTGCACCAAGACCCAGGGAAGATATTTAAATCCTGGCAGCAGCTCTCATGTTGGCTTGTCTAGAGAGACTGATCGGCAGCCTGACTTGTCCTTTGTGGCGACTGAGAAGCACCTGAGGCATAGAGCAGGAGAGAAAGCTTTTATACCTACTACTGTTCCCCCACTGCCTCCACTGCACCAAAGAAAATTATATTCCCCGTGCGGTAGCAGCGTATCATTAAGGGATAGTAATCACCATGGTAACCAAGGATAATCTGCTATGAGCAAATGGAAAAAGAAAGAAAAGCATTGGGTCAGGGCTTGCTACAACCACATAAGCTCAAAATGCTCCCGATTTAAAGTAATATGGAAAAGAAATATATTTTCTAGACTGGCAGCTGGACGAAATTTTAGAATCATTACGTCCTAAAAGTGAAAGGAATCTTACAGAATGACTAAGGGCCGCAATTAAATGCCTGCAAGGTCAGCAGATCGGGTAAATATTCAGGCCAGAGACACCACTGTGGTGGTGGAGGGAATGGGTGCAGGGGTGGGTGTGGAAGTGGGGCCGGGCTCTGAAAGACAGGGCAGCAGCATCTGCAGCTGCAGCTGATTGGAGCCACAGGAGAGGCTGGCCCTCTGATGTCAGATCGTGTGCCTTCTCAAAGAGAGCTGAGAATGCAGATTTTTTATAGGAAGTATCTCAATTTTGACTACTAATTAAAGCTAATTTAAAGCATGTTAACTAAAACACATCTGTGAACTCCCAATTTACAACATTTGATTAAATACACATGCCCATTCTTTTTTTTTTAAACTTTGATACTGAGGTCCAGAAAAGTTGTGATGCGTGTCACACAGTCAATTCATGAGCAAGTCAGGCCTCTGGGTTCTGGACTCCCAGTGCTGTGCTCCTTCCCTCCTAGAATGTGATGGTGACACTCCACCTTAGCTCCAAGGGCCTCATTTCCACTTTAATTGGGACCTAAACTCCATTAGATAATTAGGCTTTCCTATGGGCTAAAAATTTAGAAACCATAAAGAGGAAAGAGATGTGTTTATTTCATTAGAGATCATACAAAGAAGTGAGCTGTGTGGGGTCAGCACCAAGAGCTCAATAGTGCCAGAGCCAGCACTGTGGCTGGACTCAGCCTGGTCTCTCGGTGAGATCTCAGCTTCACATTCTCCTCATCTGCAAAGGAAGGAGGGTGGTACCCGTGCAGACCTGAGTAGTACATTGTGCTGTCTTCTGTAGACAACAGTAACTGCCCTGCATGAGGACAGGCACTCTGTGCCACCTGGCCATCATGGCAGGAGGCTGCTGGCAGAGCTTCACCTGGTTTCCACTGCCAGTCCCTTATGCCCAGTGGCATTGATTTTGCAAGACAGGATGGTGGGCTGGCATCAGCCCTCTGTGGGCCAGAGAAAGGGGTTCTAAACATTGTAGATGGAAAAGAACTAAATACTCACAGAAGTCAAGTAGCCATCAGGAGGGTTGGTGTGGGCCATAATGCTATGAACAGCTGCCAGTGTTTTCTCCTGAAGTCCCCTGCCCTACCATGACCCCAAGACCACAAAAGCTCTGGAACCTGAGTGTGCCTCATTCACATATTAGATGACTCAAGGGCTAGACCATGCAAACGGATGCATCAGTGCCTCTTCCAAATGGTTGGAAGAGTCTATATTTCCATTCTTGCTCTTTTTTTGTGAAGCCACATCTGGATCCAGCATGCTCCTCTGCTGAAATGGCCTTTCTTTCCTGCAGTCCTGCAACGTTCTCCCAGGTTCACAGGAACCAGAGCAAGGTAACAAGAAGCACAGTACGCTACCTTGTTCGCTGTCAACATTTATTTTTCTTTTTTAAATCACCAAATTAATTTAAATGGTTTTACTTTTAATAGGGAAAAACACAGAAAAAAAAATCCACACAATTTTAAAGGGCATGTGGTAGATAAAAAAAGCCAACTCCCCTTCTACTCTTCTACTCCTGACCTCCCACACTCCCGTTTCCTTCCTCCCAGACATACATAGCAATCAGTTTCTTGTTATGTCCTTCTAGAGATATTCAACACATATTTTCATATCATTGCTTTTGTTGTTTTCACCACAAATTGCAATATGCTATATGCTGTTCCAAACCTTACTTTTTCACTTACTACACCTTGAAGATAGTGCCATATTATTACATGCAGCTCTGTCTTTTTTTTTAAACATAAAACATGCTGTTATTCCATTGTATGGATAATAGTAATTTATATGAACAGTCCCATATTGATAGACAAATATGTTTCTAATCTCTTGCAATTTTGATAATGAAATAAATTCTATGTGCAGGTAAAATATATCTACTGATAAGTTTCTAAAAGTAGGATTACTAGATCAAAGGATTTGGGCATTTTTAATTTTGAAAAATAATCTCAAAATGCTCTCCACTGAGATTATACCAATTCATAGTCCCATCAACTCTACATGAATACTCATTTCTCTCCAACTTTGCCAACACCAAATAATTTCAAAATCTTTGATCTTTGATAATCTGATAGGTGAAAACTGATGCTTATATTCTTACTTTACATTTCACTTACAATGACAAAATTGAGTTTCATATGTTTAAAAGTCATTTATTCTATATTTCCTTTTATGTGCATTGTCTGCTTATATTTTTTGTTGTCAATTTTTCTAATAGGGTTTGTAGGAATTTTTTTTTTTTTTTTTGAGACAGGGTCTCACACTGTCGCTGAGGCTGGAGTGTGGTGGCACAATCACGGCTTACTGTACCCTCAACCTTGCAGGCTCAGGTGATACTCCCACTTCAGCCTCCCAGGTAGCTGGAACTACAAGCAGGTACCACTACACCCAGCTAATTTCTTGTTTGTTTGTTTGTTTTTTGTTTTGTTTTTTGGGTTTTTTTGTAGAGACAGAGTTTTGCCATGTTGCTCAGGCTGGTCTCAAGCTCCTGGGCTCAAGTAATTTGCTCACCTCAGCCTTCCAAAGTGCTGGGATTGCTGGCATAAGCCACTGCATGGAGCCTAGAAATTCCTTTTTAAAATTTTTTTTTAGAGACAGTCTTGCTCTGTTACCCATGCTGGAGTGCAGTGACACAATCATAGTTCTTACTGCAGCCTTGAACTCCTGGGCTCAAGTGATCTTCCTAACTCAGCCTTCCAAATAGTTAGGACTACAGGCATGTGCTATGACATCCAGCTAATTAAGAAAAAAATGTAGGAGATGGGGTCTTGCTTTGTTGCCCAGGCTAGTCTCGAACTCCTGGCCTCAACCAATCCTCCCACCGTGGGAAATTCTGTACATATTCTTTGTCAAGTGTTTTTTTTGTTTGTTTGCTTTTTGTTTTTTTAACATTTCATTTCCTTGGGTTGGAAAGAACAAACCTGAGGGCCAGGCTAGCCATTAGAATAAAGGCTTAGAGTGGACTGTGTGTAACTCTCTTTGAGCTCCTGCTGGTTTCCTGTGAGAAGATAGGAGAGGGCCAATGGAAAATTAACTTCTTGATAGCCACTTGGGGGTTCCCAGATACAGGAAGAGGACATAATAAATTATTATTTTAATGCACCTCAAAGTCTATACGCAGCTTTCTGCATTGAAGACCTTTAAGGTTATGATGCTACTTATTAAGACTCACACCTTTACATGTGAAGGAAGTAAGTAATTAAGGTATTAAGGTAATTAGAAGACCCTTGTGACTGATTCCTCAGGATCTGGGCCACACTAATGAATAGGCAGTCATAGAGCTCCAAAGCACTAAGAGACTAGGCCAGCTCAAGCAACGGTGGCAATTACAGTAGCAAATGCTTTGGAGAAGGCTGTTGTTGGTACTTTTGTATATGACATCTTTGCTATACAGAAAAAAAATTTTGTATGCAACACGTTAATGTTTGGGGGCTTTGTTAGGTTTTTGCTTTCACAGCCAAGCTTAGAGTCATTTTCCCTGTAATGAAATCATTAAGGTATTTCTCTTATGTTTTCTTCAATTAAATTTATAGTTCTATTTATTATATCCAAATTTTTGGCCCACGTAGAATTTACTCTGGTGTAAGGTAAGAGATACAGGAATCCAAAAGCCTTTCTTCTAGTTGGCTTACCAATTATCCCAGTGCTTTCTCCACTTCCTTCATCATATGTGAAATTATTCTTTTTTTTTTTTTTTTTTTTTTTTGAGTGGGGTCTTGCTCTATCACCCAGGCTGGAGTGCGGTGGTGCCATCGTGGCTCAACACAGCCTTGACCTCCTGGACTCAAGCAATTCTCCTACCTCAGGCTTCAGAGTAGCTGGGTCCGCAGGAATGTCCCACCACATCCAGCTAATTTTTTTATTACTTTTATTTGTAGAGACAGTGGTATGGTTTGGCTGTGTCCCCACCCAAATCTTGTCTTGAATTGTAGCTCCCATACTTCCCACATGTTGTGGGAGGGACCCAGTGGGAAACAACTGAATCATGGGGGCGTTTCCCATATACTGTTCTCATGGTAGTGAATAAGATAAAAAACATTTTATCACAAAGCTTGTATTGATACATGGTTTGTAGTTCCCTTTTGTGATATTTCTGACAGGTTTTGTCATCAATGCTATTCCGTATGTGCAAAATAATTTGGAGGTTTTGCTTCTTTCCTCTACACTTCTGGATGCTTTAAACAGAATGAAGATTTTGAAAACTTTGTTGACTTAAACTGAAAATTTCTGGTCTGGTGGTTTTTTTAGAATGAATTATTTAATAATTTTTTTCAATTTGTATCTGTAGTTGATCTGTTGAAATTTTGCTATCTCTTTTAGGGTCATTATTGGTCATTCATATTTGCCCAGAAATTGTCCCTTTCATACAGGGTTTCAATTCATTTTTCACAGAGAAGAGAGAAATAATAAATTTCCTCTGGGTATTTGTCTATTTCCTCAACACTCTGATTTTGTGTATTTGTGTTTTGTTCTCATAGTTATTTGAATAGCTAGAGGGTCATCTTTTTTAAAAAAAATTAAAATGAGCTCAAAAATTTATTACTTCTCAACCACTTTTCTATTTTCCAAAGTATTCATTTCACTTTATTTTTAAAGTAAATTTTTCTTGTTAATACTGGATTAGGTATGGCAGAAGCAGGCCTCCACCAAATTTGCCAATTCTTTCTCTGCAGTGACTATTCTCTATTTTATCCCCATGGCCCAATCTAGTCCAGATTCTTATTTCATTAGTATTGTTAGCAGTGGCAAATCCATACAGGTCTGCAGCAACAATTTTTGCCTCCTCAGAAGAACAAATTCAACCAAAAGGGCATAAGGCAGAGTGAGAAACTGAGGCAAGTTTTAGAGCAGGAGTGAAAGTTTATTAAAAAGCTTTAGAGCAGGAATGAAAGGAAGTAAAGTACACTTGGAAGAGGACCAAGGGGGTGACTTGAGATTCAAGTGTGCGGTCTGACATTTCACTTGAGGTTTTACATGTTGGCATGATTCCCGGGTCTTGCATTACTTCTCCCCTGATTCTGTCCTTGGGGTGGGCTGTCCACATGTGCAGTGGCCTGCTAGCACTTGAGAGGGGCCACATTCACTGTGTGTTTAGTGGAGTTGTATGCATGCTCACTTGAGGCCTTCTTCCCTTACCAGTCAAGTGTTTCTAGAAGAAGGTCATATACCTGTTAAACTCCGCCATTTTGCCTCTAGTGTGCATACTCAAGCCCACTTGCCCAACTCCTGAGATTTTATCAGAAAGCCACTGATCACCAGTTTCAGGTTTTTTCTATCTATTGGTAGATTGCCTTTCCCTGGTGCTGGCTGCAACCAATTATTATTTTAGAGAAGCAGTGTAACAACCGCCTGACCATCACTGATGGCATTCCTGGTGGGGTGGGGGTGGAGCCCTCTCCTGTCCTGCTCATGTCTAACTAGCTACCAACTTTAACAGTACAAATTAGCCACTGCCTGCAAACTCTGCCTTAGGATAGTAAAGAATATTTTAGCAAAAATATGCCTCCTGAAAACACTTGGGGGTTAAGATCAACCCACCTAGCCGGTGAATTAAATGGACTAAGTGATGGATATGATAATATTGGCCTATAAGAAGTCTATAAGACCTAGAAGTTCAGGATGATGTTCGTACTACTGCTGAGTCAGGCAGGAGGTTGTTCACGAGACTTTAGAGCCTTGACATAGGGAGGATTTTAGAGTATAAGGGCCCCCTTACTTTAATCCAGTGCTCACAACTTTGGCTACACATTAGAATCACCTGGGGAGTTTAGAAAAATCCTGATTCTGAGGCTATACCACAATCCAATTAATCAGAATCTCTAGTGGTGGGACCCAGACACCAGTCTATTTTTATAGCTCCCCAGGTGATTACAGTGTTCAGCCAAGAGTGAGGATAATTACTTTCGTCTGCTTCATTATTGGTAGGTACACCTGAGCTGGCTCTGCCTTCTTCAACTCACACCTGCTGTGCTGTGCACCCCATTCCACCCCACCTCCACCCCAACCCATGTAGCTCAAGATTTTTTGTCAAAGACCCAAGTAAAAATATTTTTATGTGACCCAGTACATTCAAATGCAAATAAATTTATATTTATAACTGGAACAAAAGTTAAAGAGAAAATCGACCTTACTTTGTATAAAGCATTCTGGTGTTTTTTAATTCTACTCTATTTCATTCCAATAAAGATAATAATAATAATCTGGACACAAGCCACTACACAGGTTCCTTGACCACTAACTGGTCGTGACCAACAGTTTGAAAACACAGCTCTAGACTATCTTTTAGGTTACCTTCTCCTCCTGTCTTAGCCCTCTTTATTGGACACTTCTCCACTGAAGTTTTTGACATCTAACTCTTAGTAATCACAGTAGCCCATTGTTACAAAGGACTTGTTATGCACCAAGTACCTAGTCAACCCACTGTAAGGGAGAAAAAGTAGTATCTTCTTCTTCCCCATTGCTAGGTTCGTGGCTGAGACCCTGTAAACCAAAAATAAAATTTGAAGTCCCTCAACTTACTGACTGGACCCCCTCTCAGCCCAGAGGACCCAACTAAACCTGAAAAACTAGTTCAGACCACGCCGGAAAAGTGAGAGACAGACATGCCTCATACTCTCTTTCCTTTGGAGTGCAGGCACACAACTGACCAGCATTAACATTAAAATAGACATCCTAAGACTGATAGAACATGCTGTTTGTGGCAGTAAGATATTAAATTCCAACCTGACTCTAGTGTACCATCACATGACAGATAGCAGTGCCATAAAAGAAACCAAAGTATTTTACCCCAAAATATATTTATCTGATATCATTTGAAAAGGCTGTACAATGCCATCTCTTGTGGGGGAAATTTCCATTCTATAGAGAATTCCCTTTTCTTTGCATATCTTTTTCTGATCCTTTTTCAGCCAATCAAGAGCTGAGAGTCTAGCACCTTTTAAGGGTATGAATAGGAAACATTTGCCATCTATTGCCTCTCGGGGGAGCCACCTGTAAGATGGTCATCTGCATAATAAGAACTTTGGTCTCCACACCCCTGACCCTAACCCAGACACTTCTTTCTATTGATCCCAGGTCTTTAGATAATAACTTAACTGTTTCAACCAATTGCCAATCAGAAAATCTTTGAAACCACCCATTACCGGTAAGGCCCTACCTACCTTCCAATTGTCCTGCCTTTCCAGACAACACCAATGTATGCTTCACCTGTACTGATTGATGTCTTATCTCTCCCTAAAATATATAAAACCAAGCTGTAACCCAACCACCTTGGGCACATGTTCTCAGGCTCTCCTGAGACTGTGTCATGGATCATCATCTATAACCTTGGCAAAATAAACTTCTAAATTGAGACCTGTCTCAGATACTTTTTGGTTTATATATCCTTAGGAAAAAATACAAATTAGCAAGATAAAAGCATAACAAATTTATTTTATATAAGCTTTATGTACCACAGGAGCCTTCAGAAATAAAAACCCAGAGACTCAGGAAAAACTGTGTATCCTTATGGACAGTTGTGCAGAAGTATGATTGGAGTACAAAAAGGTATGATCTAATGGTAACAAACTGAGAGGAACTCTAGGCCTGTGATATGGTTTGGCCAGGGATATGGTAGCCAGGGATATGTGTCCCTGGCTAATGTTGAATTGTAATCCCGAGTGTTGGAGGTGGGGCCTTATGGGAGGGAGGTGATTGGATCATGACGGTGGTTTCTAATGGTTTAGGACCATCCTCCTAGTGCTGTCCCATGATAGACTTCTCACAAGATCTGATTGTTTAAAAGTGTGTAGCACCTCCCGCTTCACTCTCTTCCTCCTGCTCCAGCCATATAGGACTTCCCAGATTCCCCTTCCCCTTCTACCATAATTGTAAGTTTCCAGAGGCCTCTCCAGCCATGCTTCCTGTACAGCCTGAGGAACTTTGAGCCAATTAAAACTATTTTCTTTATAAATTACCCAGTCTCAGGTAGTTCTTTATAGCAATACAGAAAATTGGCAGATACCTGAAAATTTGGAAACGACTTTGGAACTGGGTAATGGACAGAGGTTGGAACAGTTTGGAGGCCTCAAAAGAAGACAAAAGTTTGGAACTTCCTAGAGACTTGTTAAATTGTTGTGACCCAAATGCTGGTAGTGATATGGACAATGAAGTTCAAGCTGAGGAGGTCTCAGATTGAGATGAGGAACTTATCAGGAACAGGAGCAAAGGTCACTCTTGCTATACTTTAGCAAAGAGACAGGCAGCATATCCTGCTCTAGGGATATGTGAAACTTTGAACTTAAGAGAGATGATTTAGGGTATCTGGCAGAAAAAATTTCTAAGCAGCAAAGCATTCAAGAGGTGGCCTGTCTACTTCTAACAGCATATGCTTATATTTGTGAGGAAAGAGGTATTCTGAAACTGAAACTTGTATTTAAAAAGGAAGCAGAGCATAAAAGTTTGGAAAATTTGCAGCCAGGCCATGTGGTAGAAAGGAAAAATCCATTTTCTGAGGAGGAATTCAAGTTGGCTGCAGAAATTCACACAAGTAAAGAGGAGCTGAATGTTAGCAGCCAAGACAATGGAGCAAATGCCTCCAAGGCATTTCAGAGACCTTTGTGGCAGCCCCTCCCATCACAGGCCCAGAGGCCTAGGAGGGAAGAATGGTTTCATGGGCTTGGCCCAGGGCCCTGCTGCTCTGCCCAACCTCAGGACACTGCTCCGTATGTCCCAGCCACATAAGCTCCAGTTGCAGCTAAAAGGGCCCCACATGTGTCAGGCCGCTGCTCCAGAGGGCATGACCCATAAGTCTTGGCAGCTTTCACATGATGTTAAGCCTGCTGGTGCACAGAGGGCAAGAGTTGAGGCAGGGAGCCTCTGCCTAGATTTCAGAGGATGTATGGAAATGCCTGTATGTCCAGGCAGAAGTCTGCTGCAGGGGCGCAGCCCTCATGAAGAACCTCGGCAAGGGCAGTACAGACAGGAAATGTGGGGTTGGAGCCCCCACACAGAGTCCACACTGGGGCACTGCCTCGTGGAGCTATGAGAAGAGGGCCACAGCCCTCCAGACCCCAGAATGGTAGATCCACCAACAGCTTGCACTGTGTGCCTGGAGAAGCCACAGGCCCTCAATGGCAGCCTGTGAAAGCAGCCGATGACTCTGTATCCTGCAGAGCCACAGGAGCAGAGATGCCCAAGGCCTTGGGAGCCCAGCCCTTGCATCAGTGTTGCTTGGAAGTGAGATATGGAGTCAAAGAAGATTATTTTAGAGCTTTAAGATTTAATTACTACCCTGCTGGGTTTCAGACTTGCATGGGGCCTGTAGCCCTTTTGTTTTGGATGATTTCTCCCTTTTGGAATGGGAACATTTAGCCAATGCCTGTACCCCATTGTCTCTTGGAAATAACTAACTGGTTTTGATTTTACAGGCTCATAGGCAGAAGGGACTTGCTTTATCTCAGATGAGACTTTGGACTGTGGACTTTTGAGTTAATGCTGGAATGAGTTAAGATTTTGGAAGACTGTTGGGAAGGCATGATTGTCTTTTGAAATGTGAGAAAGCCATGAGATTTGCGAGGGGCTGGGGGCAGAATGATATGGTTTTGTTCTGTGTCCCCACTCATATTTCATGTTGAATGGTAATCCCCAATGTTGGGGAAAGGACCTGGTAGAAGGTGATTGGATCACAGGGGTGGATTTCCCCCTTGCTGTTCTTGTGAGAGTGAGTGAGTTCTCACGAGATTTGGTTGTTTGAAAATGTATAGCACTTCACCCTTCTCTCTCTCTCTCTCTCTCCCGCCAGCCATGTGAAGACATGCTTGCTTCCCCTTTGCCTTCCACCACGACTATAAGTTTCCTGAGTCCTCCACAGTTATGCCTCCTGCACAGCCTGTGGAACTGTGAGCCAATTAAACCTCTTTTCTTTATAAACTACCCAGTCTTAATTGGTTATTTATAGCAGTGCGAGAATGGACTAATACAGGGGAGTGTTAGGAAGACATGATTGTGTTTTGAAGTGTCAGAAGGACATGAGATTTGGGAGAGGCAGGGGCAGAATAATATGGTTTGGATTTGTGTCCCTGCCCAAATATTATGTCACATTGTAATCCCCAATGTTGGAGGAAGACCTGGTAGGAGGTAATTGGATCAGGAGGATGGATATTTCCCTTGCTGACTAATACACATTGTGAATTCATTCTCTTCCCAGGGGACACCATGGAAATAGAAACAAGCAAAGTATAACAGTTTTTTATCCTGGGATGGAGACTACATCTTGGAGGAAACAAAAGACCAGAATGAGATTTTCAGATGCTGGGAGAGGACACTGATGTTTACATCACAGAATTTGATGTGATGTAAACACACATACATCACAGGGTGTGATGTCAACATACATACATCATAGAGTGTGATGTAAACACATATACATGCATACATCATAGGGCATAGGGTATAATGTAAACACACATACATACATACATACATCATAGAGCTGCCATAGGGATTAGTGCCTCTTCAGTAGAAATGAGGCTGCTTCCAAAAAAAAAAAATCCACAAGTTCTTTCATCTTTCTCTCTTCTCTCATTCTCTCCCTCTCACTCTCTTTCTCTAAAAGATGGGGTCTTGCTCTGTTACCTAGGTTGGAGTGCAGTGGTGTGATCATAGCTCATTGCAGCCTGAAACTCCTGGGCTCCAGCAATCCTCTCACCTTGGTTTCCCAAAGAGCTTGGACTATAGGTGTGCACAACCATGCCTGGCTCTAATCTCTTCACTGGATTTACCGAAGAAAGTGGCTGGATGTGCACTCTCCAGAGGCTTCTTCCAGCTCTAAAGCAAAATATTCTATGAGAAACATGGTGTTCTAAAGGCTGATCATAAAGAAGTTTGGAATGATGGAAAAATAGACAAAGGGAACTCAGAAAAGTAGGTATTTGTTGAGCATTAACTATGTGCCAGACATGCTGCCTCCTGAAAATAGTTAATTTTTAATTTAATAGGTAATAAATAGATATAGATATTTCCCTCAAGGATGTCTGGAAGAATGGAATAATGGTTAAGAGTATGGGCTCTGCTTACCTTCAGCTCCCTGCTATCAGCTTCGTGACTTTAAGCAAATTACTTAGTCTCTCTGTTTATAGACTGCCTCAATATTCTAGTCTGTAAAGTGGGAAAAGTCATATTCTACTCTCTGGGGTTAGAGTGAGGGCTAGATAAGGTAATTCATATAAAGCAAATGCAGTGTCAGGGCTCAGAACATGATACTTCAAAATATGGCACCTTGGTCTACTGAGCATTGTAAGCTGAAGGAAGCTGAGAAAACAACAGAAGCAGGAAGGTTACTCTTTGACCTTCTTCTGCATTTCTTCCCTGAAGAAGGCCATAAAAGAATTTTCTCACTAATGTCACCTGAACGTAGTTTGTTAGACCCTCACTCCAGAGGTATACTGCTCTATACCCAGAGATCAAAAAGAATCTGTACAAACAGGCTGTATTGGTCTGTTCTCAAATTGCTATAAACAACTACCTGAAAGAAGGTAGTTTATATATAGGAAAGAGATTTAATTGGCTCATGGTTCTGCAGGTTGTAGAGGAAGCATGGCTAATGATCCCCCAGGAAACTTATAGTCACGGCAGAAGGTGAAGAAGAAGCTGGCACATCCTACATGGCTAGAGCAGGAGGAAGAGAGCAAAGGGGGAGGTGCTACATACTTTTAAACAACCAGATCTTGTGAGAACTCTTATCACAAGAAAGCACTAGGGGGATGGTGCTAAACCAATAGGAACCACCCCCATGATCCAATCACCCTCCACCAGGTCCTTTCCCTAATACTGGGGATTACAATTCAACATGAAATATGAGTGGGGACACAGAAAAAAACCATATCATTCTGCCCCTGGCCCCTCCTAAATCTCATGTGTTTCTCACATTTCAAAAGACAATCATGCCTTCCCAATAGTCTCCTAAAATCTTAACTCATTCCAACATTAACTCAAAAGTCTACAGTCCAAAGTCTCATCTGAAACAAAGCAAGTCCCTTCTGTCTAGGAGCCTGTAAAATCAAAACCAGTTAGTTACTTCCAAGATATTTACAATTTCCAAGTTTTGAAAAAACCTTACAATTATGGTAGAAGGGGAAGGGGAACCTGGCAAATCCTACATGGCTGGAGCAGGAGGAAGAAAGTAAAGGAGGAGGTGCTACACTCTTAAACAACCAGGTCTTGTGAGAACTCTATCATGGGACAGCACTACGGGGATGGCTAAACCATTAGAAACCACCTTATGATCCAATCACTTCCCACCAGACCCCTCTTCCAACACTGGGGATACAATTCTATGTGAGATTCAAGCAGGGACACAGAGCCAAACCATATCATTTGTGACTGTGAAGTCACAAACCCCATTCTAGGCATGGATGTTCGAGCCCGCATCTTAAAATTCCACCTATTAGCTTCCCTTTTTTTTTTTTTTTTTTTTTTTTTTTTGCCTAAACTGTGACTTTTGTTTAAACCTTGAGAGTTGATATCAGCCATTTACACATATGGCTGGATAAAGGACACAAGAGCGAAATTTGATTTAAGAAGAGATTTAGAGATAAAACAGTATCACTAAGGTAGGTGAAAGGAAATACAACATAACACAAGGACATGCCATGTTTAGAAACCAACTTACCCAGGGTATATTCTGCCTTCAGACACTTGCCCTGTTTACATCATCCTGCTCTGTTTCAGGCTCACTCACACATAGGTAGGTGCTGCAGGAGAAATCCTCTGATTCTGTGTGGCTACTATATATCCCTGCTAGTATTCTGCAGTCTGTCCATCCAGGTTCTAGGTAAATGTCCTTTGTTTTTCTTTTTTGTGCTGTCTCAGTGACAGCAAGGGGCAGTATGCAGAAGCTGCCTCCATTTTACGTCACAGCAGATGTTTCTTTAACACCTACTATGATTAGATCATGGTGCTAGGGCAGAGAGGATAAATCATGATCTAGGCCTGGCATCACCTTTAGGATCCAATCCATGGATCAGCTCACTGCGAAGTCTAAATATTGCTAATCTATAGACTAATATCAGAAACATAGGAAGAGATTTTTATCTGTAAAGATATTTATACTTTCTGCTGGTAATTTTCATGGTATGAAATACAGAAATAATCATTTTACAAAGGCCATGGTGTCTTTTATATTTCTCTCCTATGTCTCAAGACTGAGAAGATTTAGTCTTTAACATGAAATAAATATCAGAATCAGTTAAATAAACATAAAACAGTAATCAAATGAATACATTTTGTTAACTGGAAAAATCCATTGAATATGACTTATTAAAATCCCTTTATGATACTTGAAAAATGCTGAATGAAAATTACTATTTTTGAATAAAGACTTTCTAGTGTAAAGAGATTGAAAAAAATGAAATGTGAGATTCCATGAGAACGTCTGCACATTCACACTCACTGTGAAGTGCACTGGGCTTTTTTGCTCTTTGGTTTCTTAGCTCTTTGGGGCTGTTTTTAACCACCAGCTCTTTTCTTTTCCTTTTCCTATCAAATCAAAGGGTGAAATGAATGTCAAGGCAGGTTTTATTGCCTCTCTCCTAGTGGATTTGCTGCTCTGAGAATAATATCCTCACCTGGCTGAAGGAAGACAGACCTAGGCTGGACAAGAACGGGTCCCCTAAGACTCCTCCCAACTGACCAGGGATTGCTCCTGGCCTGGACCATTCGTAGTCTTTCTTTGGAATCAGCTAAACCCATTGGGCAGGTCAGGAGTGCAGAACACTCCAGATAAAGGTAAGAGAGGAAGAGGGAAGGGACTCAAGTGATTGGAGTCAGTGTTTCTATTTCCCAAACTAGGCCAGTGAATATCCAGAAGGCAGGGACTGTGTTCTTTGATTCCCCAGTGAACACCACAGTGTCTAATGCATAGTAGGTGGATGTCTAATGCATAGATATTGAATGACTGCTTAATTAAATGAAATAATTAGTACACCATGTGGTTATGTTGCTCAGGGCATAGATTTCATTTTTGTGTGTGTGTATGTCTAAAGGGCATAAACTTTCCTTCTATTTAAATTAATTAAGAACAATTTTATGAATAAATCCTTTTATAGGTAAACTATTTTGCTAGGAGAGAGGGAAGGGGGCAAAGGCTGATAAACTTCCTATTGGGTACTATGTTCACTATCTGGGTGATGGGATCAACGGAAACCCAAACCTCAGCATCACACAATATGCCCTTGTAAAAAACCTGCATATGTAACCCAAATCTAAAATTAAAATAAGTAAAAAGAAACAAGTGAGAAAAAGTTAAAGTACTTTGTAGATGACATGATGCTGTGGGAGGAAATTTTACATATTGAGAGTTTTTTGACATTGACAAAATAAAATAAATTAAATATAAATTTACCAGCCAATGGGAAAAAAGAAACCAATGACAATCAAAGAGATATTTGCCTCAGGGTTCTCTCAGTTTGTCTTACCCTGAACTCCAACCCCATCAACCTCCTGGTGAATGGCCCTCCCCTTAGTGCAAAATCTAGAGGATAAAACCCAGTTTCCTCTCCTTTCTGTGATACTCCAGGGGCATTTCTGAGCCCCAAATAAGTCTTTGATGTCTTCCTAGCAGCCCTCTAAGCAGACAGAGAATGGTATTAACAATGACCACTGCCTTGAACCAGCAGCTAACCCTCCTCCAACAAGAACATACATGGGCTTCTCCAGTGTGGCAGCAGCTATATCCACAGCTGATCAATACCCCACCACTGTCAGTCCCACTCACGGTGGGCTTGTCTACCTAATAATTGCTATCTCCTGTCCCTTTGTTCTTGCTATCAGGACTCCACTTTTATTGGATAGGGTTCACTCTACCATGTGTTCAAGGTGACTCTGGGGTGGCTGTTAATTAGTCTAAGCCAAAGTTTGGCAAACTTTTTTAAAAATAAATTTTATTATAATATTAAAATATTCTGGAAATATTTCCAGTTTTGTGGTCCAGATAGTCTTTGTCACAATTATTCAACTCTATGCTGTTGTAGTATAAAATTAGCTGTAGACAATATGTAGACAATTGAGTGTGGTTGTGTCCCAATAAAACTTTATTTACAAACATAGGCAGCTGGGCAGGCACAGTGGCTCATGCCTGTAATCTCAATGCTTTGGGAGGCAGAGGTGGGAGGATCACTTGAGCCCAGAAGTGAAAGCCAGCCTGGGCAACATAGTGAGACCTCATCTCTACTGAAAAGAAAAAAAAAAAATTGCCAGGTGTGGTCACATGTACCTGAAGTCCCAGCTACTCAGGAGGCTGAGGTGGGAGCATCACGTGAGCCTGGGAAGTTGAGGCTACAGTGAGCCATGTTCACACTACTGCACTCCATTCAGCCTGAGCAACAGAGTGAGACTCTGTCTAAAAAACAAAACAAAAACAGGCAGCAGGATAGATTTGACCCAGATGCTGTAATTAGTTTACTCATGGTCTAAGCCAATCATGGAATTGTCCTCTCCCCTACCAGTGATTGTTATAGACAATGGGCAATACCACGCAATAGGGGCCAATGAGACACAGGAGACAGTCTGCTGGGAGTCTTCTCTCTGATAAAAAGAAGAGCCTGCCTTTCCTGACTTGAAAGGGCTTGTATAAGGATGTGATACCTGGAGGTGGGCTAGCCGTTTTCAGCCATGGGAGACAAGCCTGAGAATGAAGACCCATTCTATGCATGGCAGATTCCCATTCTATGGAATAAGAAAGCCACATACTTCCTTCGCGATGTCATCGTGCAACTGAATTAACTAACTTTTATTATTATTATTATTATTATTTTGAGATGAAGTCTCACTCTGTCACCTGGACTAGAGTGCAGTGGTATGATCTCGACTCACTGCAACATCTGCCTCCCGAGTTCAAGTGATTCTACTGCCTCAGCCTCCTGAGTAGCTGGGACTACAGGCACACACCACCATGCCTGGCTAATTTTTGTATTTTTAGTAGAGATGGGGTTTCACCATGTTGGCCAGGCTAGTCTCGAGCTCCTGACCTCAGGTGATCTGCCCATCTCAGCCTCCCAAAGTGTTGAGATTACAGACATGAGCCACCGCGCCCGGTCTGAATTAACTAACTTTAGAACTGCCTGCCTCTTGGCTTTTTGTTGTATAAATAGCCACTTATTGGTTAAGATATTTTTAGTACAATTTCTATTTTATTTGCAGCCAAAAGCACTGACCAGTAGCATGGCTCCTCTGTGGTCACCACAGGCTGTTTCTGCTGCTGCTATCACAGAAGCTGCTCCACTCCCTGGCCCCACTATTGCCCACTCTGACTCTTCTGCACCTATTCTTGCTTCTCTGCCTCATGATGAGACCATAGCACCACTGTAGACTCTCATCTCCACAGAGCTACCTAGCAATAGCCCTCCTGCCCCAGTGGACAGGGAGTTTCCCCCACATGTCTATCAGTCAGGACCCTTGCAGATACAAATGACAGAAAATCCAATTCAAAATGAATAAAGCATTTTTAAAAGGAAGGGGGTAGAGTTATCAGCTCATAGCACAACTGTGCAGATTCACACCCAGCTTATCTATGGGCTCAAACATAATCATGAGTACTCAGTCTCCCTTTTCCACCACTGCTTTTCTCTTTGTTGACTCTTCTCTCAGGCATACTTTCTCCTCACATTCTATTTTCTTGGGAAACATAGTTATAAAGACTCTCTTATCTTAACAATTTCCACAAGTGTTCCAAATTCAGACCTATTGACTATGATTGGGTCACTTGATCATGTTACTGGAGCCAGGAGATGCAATGCTCTGTCCAGTTTCAGCCATTTGCCTATTTGCCCCTGTGGCTGGGAGTAGAGTCAGCTCCAACTGAACTATAAGAAAGTGTGCATCAGTCAGGTTCTAGCAGAACATAGATAGTGGTTTCAAACTGGCTAATTTGAGGAGAATTTAATAAAGAAACTATTTTTAATGGCATGGTATAGTTAGAGAAAACAATGGCAATAGTGCAGTATGCTAGGGTTAGCAACAGTGCAGGAGCTGTTACCATCCCAAAGCCTAAAAGAACAAGGGAAGGGTGTGGTCATAGAAGCCAGAGAGGCTAAGTGTAGAGTGCGAGCCATCTGACAGGAGTGATGGTCTTGCATAGGCGCACAGAGCCAATCTCAAATGCCATGGAAGGAAAAAAGCCAAGATGGGATGGAGATGTAGGGGGGTAAATTCTCTGATCTCACTTTTCTCCAAGGCTCTTCAGAGCACAGTTCACTAGTCATATCCAACTGGAAACCAACGAGCAAGGAGGCTCACTGATACAGTCCATACAGGTATATCCAGCATTGAGTTCAGAAGCAGTTCCCCAAGGAAAACAAAGGCTCTCGAACAAATGAAGGGGATTGGCAGGCATTACAAAAACCAGATCTTCACTATAATAACATTTTGCTTTTTCAACACAAAACTGATGGCCTACTAGATGAAGAGAAATATTGCATCTAGAGCTCAGTGTCCCTGAGGTTCTTCCTTCTAAACCAACTCTTGACTTACCAACACCTCATTCTGTCTCTTGTGGCTTGATTCAGTCTCATCCACCCTCACAGTTGCTGTTTCTCCAGCTTATAATATCTACTCATCACATGACATTTCCAATTCCTTTTCCACTTTTCACACTGCCCCCTCCTCCCAAACAGTGTTCAGTTCTAGCTAAATTCCTAACCAATCTCCTCCACTTGGCCTAGGAATTTCAGTCCATTTTTCCGATCTTGTCTCAGCAGCAGCCCGGTTGGGCAGGGCCTAGGCTTCCACACTGGAGGGCTAACTCTTAGCCATTGGCCTTTGTGACACATATTGTTTGGTCCACAAAATGCCTTGCTCTGGATTTCCTATATTATTCCTGCACCAGCCTTTGGACAAACCCAACTTTTGGCTGACTACAAGCAGAGAGAGTACAGTCTAAACAGCAGGCAGCCTGGATTGCTCCAATTATAGGTTAACTTACACAGGATGTCAGGAGAGGGAGCATCTTCTATTTCTTTCTTCCAGGCAATGCTGATGATAGAGAAGGAGTGACAAAGTAAGTATGCAACTCTACAATTTGTTTCTTACTAAATTGAACAAAATCCATTGGAAAAACAAGTTTCTAACCCAGAATCTTTTTCTTTGTGATCTATTTATTTTTGTCTCTTAATTTACTAACTTTATTTTTTTCAACTCATTTTATTTCTACTAACTAGGTTTGTGATTTTCCTTCCTTCTATAGAACCTATGTTTCCCTCTGATCAAGAATGGACTTTCAACAGTTGCTTTCAGATTTAAAGTTTGCTTATAAAGAAGCTATGCTAAGTCTCCATGTCCCTGAACAAGTCCAGCCCCAACTCTTCTCCAATGACAAATTCTCTCTCCTGAAAAAGGGCCCCTGTCTTTTATGTCCTCTACCCCAGAGTATGTTCCCTGCTTCCTTTTCCAGGAACAGCTTTTACCTTCCCTCCTTTAATCCAGTTTCTTAATCCTGATTGCTAAAAACCTCATGTTCCCTTCAGGGTGTCTCCCAAGTGGCCTAGTAGTCTTCGAAGAAACTAGGACCTTTCTGCAAAAGCTCAAGGTGGCTGACCTATAAATGTAGATCAGATTCATTTAGCCTACCTCTTTCTTTCTGCTTAGAAAAAGTGCCAGATCCAAGGTTCTTGTTGCATTTAATCTCACTGTTCTTCAGCATTTCATTTTTTTTTTAGACAGGGTCTCGCTCTGTTACCCAGGCTACAGTGCAGTGGCATGATCATGGCTCACTGCAGCCTCAGTCTCCTGGGCTCAAACAATGCTCCTGCCTCAGCCTCCCAGTAGCTAGGACTACAGGCCTACACCACCATGCCTGTCAATTTTTTAATTTTTTGTCGAGATGGAGTCTTGCTATGTTGCCTACGCCTGTCTGAAATTCCTGGGCTCAAGCAATCCTCCTGCCTCAGCTTCACAAAATGTTGGAATTACAGGCATGAGCCACCACACCCAGCCTCTTCAACATTATTTAGAGCCCTCTGTGTGGCCCTAAGTGTGGCTCTACCAGTCTAGCCTGCAAGTGTCTCTTTTTTCTCTTTTACTTTGTTCAATCTCTTTTCTATTCCCTTCCTCCTGCTAAACACAATCGCAGAGGAATGCATGAATTAGATTGCAATAGCAGGAGACATGCTGGTCTATCTTTGTTTAGCTCATATCCTGGATTCTAGCTTTATACTATTTTCATTATAATACAACCAAAACCATTCCACAGTGTCCCCTAGTCGCCCCAAATAAATCATATTGTCAATGAAACCTAAAAAATTTCCTTTTTTACCATCCTTCACATAGATGAAACCTCTACTGGAATTTATTAAAGCTGGATACAGGAGATCTTCTGTTCCAAATACCCAGTTTCCTCATGAGAGTGCTCTTAAACAAACTCGCAAGCCCGAGAATTTTGTTCACTCCATGGACACTTGTGTTGATATGGTCCAGAGAAGGAAAGTTCCAGGGGTTGTCCACATGCATGTTACAGTGACCAAATTGAATATCCCATGTCCCAAAGATGAGAACCAATAGTTGCTTTACCTAGAGATCTTATTGTCAAGAGGAAGAAAGTATACAGGCTCGTGGGGGCTGATCCTTTCCAGGTCAGGAAAAGCTGTGCTACGCTTATGTCCTGAGGTCTTGGTGCCCAACACTATGCTCTTTCTGAAGCCAGTTATCTTAAATGAGGTTTGGGCAAGATTACAATGGAAGAAAGAAATCTGCTGGTGGCAGGAAAATGGTTCTCATGCTAATAAATATGAACAGGTGGTTGAGCAGCAGGTTCTTAAATACTGTGCCGCTACAGGGAAGGGAAGACAGAAGACATTTGCACTTGCAAAAATATCCTGCCTTTAATAACAACTTTACACTGCAAATGCAATTGGTGTGTTAAACTCAGTGGGAGAATGGCATGATATTGCCATCATTATTTAGTAGAACAATAAAACAATGTTAGTGGAGCCCTGCTGGGCACTTGTATGGCACTTCACATTTTCAAAGGCTGTGACACGCAGCAATTCATTGTGAGGCTTTCCACATGCTTTCTTGGTCTAACAGTGCTTCAGAGGCATGTACTGTAAATAACTCTTTTCAACACGTATACCGTAATGCAGTCACAAGACTGTTCTTTATCCTCAACTGACAGTTTTTAAAGGTGCTGTGACCATGTAGGAAGTCAAATTATGGACTGATTAGGGAACTAGAGGTTAGCAGTCTTTAGCTTGAGACACTAACCTCCAGTCATGGAGAATAAATAATATTAAATTCTCTTTCTGGTTTTCACTTTTCTATGTGTGTGTGTTTCTTTTCAACATACTCCATTTATGAAGCCTCAGGGTCTTTAATCAGATTTTGTAAATGGACATGGACCAAGTTTGTCAATATTAACAAAAACTTCATGGGCCAAAAAACCACTTCCGGCTATGCCCTCTTCTCACAGACTTTGCAGTCTAAACTACTATCCAAATATGTGGAAGCAATCTATCCCATAAATGATTTATGGTACATTTTCATTGGCTCAAGGCACATATTTCTTTTGAAGATGATGCTCCAACTCTCTTGGATTATTTTTCATGATTTATTGTGGTCTTTCTCTGGGTTGAACAAGTACACTAACACTTACTGTCCACGTCTAGGAAAATTGCTCTAATTAAATATGAATGCTGTGGACAAGTTAGAAGAAATAGACTTTCAAATTGGCTTTATGCTGAAAAACTGCATTAAAAACAAATATTTAAATCAGTGCACTTCAATTCAGCATCTGTGAGGTTCTGCTACACACTAAACATGTGCTAGGCATAAAGATACCATGGTGAATAAAATGGGACTCCCGCCTTGAAAGATTTCACAGCCTGTCTGGGTAAGGAAAAAATTATGTGCAGCATAAAGCATAAAACTGTTTAAGAAAGAGATGTGCACAGTATTTTATATTACGTATTATGATATATACATACTATATGGAGACACAAAGGGGGAAAATTCATATGTTTGGGATCATGGAGTGGTCAGAGAAAGCTAGAGAAAGGAGACAGCCGTTCACTTAACTATGAAGGTGAAGTCAGCAGTCACCAGGTGGACAAGGAGTAGGTAGTTGTAAGCCGAGAATAGAAAAACGGCAAGAGCAAAGGTGGAGAAGTAAGAAGATGCAGGTCACTGCCCTTCTCCCTCTGTCCCTCACCCACTACCCTGGAGCCCGAGGATTCCAGCACAGTATGAAGTCAACACACAGTGAGCACTTGCTGAATGCATACATGCATGTATGAATGAAGGGGTCCAGGCAGGAAAACACTGATCTCAAAATTGGGCCTATCCTGAGAAGCTGATCTAGCTAAAAGCATGACATCTGACAGAGGGCCGTTGCTGGACTACTGGGAAAGGCAGATGATAAGTCTTAGAACTACAATTGCATTTCTCACTGGGATGAAGCTCTCACCCATGAGAAAATTTTCAGCAGAAAAACGTCAGAATCTGGAAAGGACATTAGAGGGCATCTAACCCAGCCCTGAGAGATTAAAATGAAGGGTTCAAGTCTACATAAGACCCTAGATTTTGTGTCTAGCAGTGGTCACCCCACAGTTATGGCTGAATGACCCATCACAGCCAAAGCCTCTGACCACCGAGAAGGCAGGCCTATTTGGAAGGAAAGCAGGCAAGCCGGAAGGCAAGCCAGGAGGCTGCTGGCCTATGCATCTGGACTTTAACAGAGATTTGGCAGTCATTTTGTTTTTTCCTCTGCTCCTTGCTGGAAGGGAAACTCTCTTGAGCCTAGTTCCCATCACAGTAAAGGAATAGCTTTTCACAGCCTGATACACAGAGACAAGCCAGCCTTCAGTCCCTCTGGGAGAAGAAGGGCTTTTGTGGGACTTGAGCAGCCCTGTTGGTCCTTCTCCCCCTGCTTCACCAGGGCAATTGGTTGCTAGTTTCCAACGCAGCCCTTCCAACTCTTACAGGAAATTCCTAGAGACTAATTAATCTGGCTGCAAAGTCTTTGGCAGCTGAGCTCTGAAGTCCTCCTTTGAATTCTAAAGGAACCAGCAGGGGCACCTGGCCCTCTGTTCCAGAACTTTCTTCTCAGCCTTGGTCAGGAGACCTGGGTTGAATTTGCATCTCATTTCTCCACATGAGATACAAATTGACCCTTGATTTCCTTACCCCAGCATTCTCCTCCACCAGGTATCTTGAATCAGATATTCTTGCTACAAAAGAGGCAGCTTTAACCCAGTGGTTCTTAAATGTTAGTACGCATCAGAATCACCTGTAGGGTTTGCTAAACTACGGATGGCTGGACTCCACCCCCAGTTTCGGTTCAGCAGGTCCAAGATGGAGCCTGAGAATTTGCATTTCCAACAAGGCCTCAGGTAATGCTAATGCTTGTGTGCCATGGCCCACACTTTGGGGAGCACTAAATTGCTGATGGTGGTGGTGGTGGTTGCTGATGTTGTTGTTGTTCTACAAACTAGTTTTCTTGCCCACCTATGCTTCAAAATTGCCAGGAATTCCTGAGTCAGGAATCAGGCCTTATATTTTTGGTCTGCAAACAATTTCTTCTCTGCCCTCCTACAACTCAATATTGTGTTCTGTCCCTCTCCTTGGGAAGAAAATCATTTCACTAATTAATTACTGTTCAGTCTACTTACAGCTACAACAATTTTGCTCCTGGCATCATGAGGCTTTACTAATAAAGATTATTTTATTTTCTGCCCCTTTCATCTAGACCAGAATATTAGTTATAACCCCCAGGCCCAAATACATGTGTAATAAAAACAATAAAACAAAACAGCTCACAGAACAAAGGCAGTTTTCTCTTCTAAGAAAAAGGTACTTCATTTGAAAGCTTATGCAAGCTTTAGATACAAAATGGAGTTACATGAGTATGGAGTGATGGCAAATTGCCTGCTAGCATTCAAACAGGCTCCGTTACTGAAGAGAGCTTTTCCCTGGAGAAGGTTAGAAATTGGTGCCAAAATTAATTAAGGAATAAAGGTGAGTGGATATTTTTCTCTGTTGAATAGAGTCTATTTCATGCGGCCTTTCTTGCTCTAGTAACACCAAGCTAGGTATGATGTGTTTCTCTAGTTGTACCCTGAGCCCTCCTTGGGGGGATGCCAGGAGAAGACAACTCTGCTAGTAGTGGGATTAGGTAGATCCACAGACCCCTACTCATAATGATTTTCACACTTCAGACTACCAGAGGGGAAAATGATCCATAGGAAATATTTCACAGCTCAGAGGACACAATTATAAGCCAGTTTAGGAAGTGGTTATTGGGCACCTCAAGTGGATGGTCTGGGGTGGAAATAGAGAGGGATGTGATGCACTTTGCATGTTACCAGTACCAAAAGCTCCAATTACCTGCAGATGCCATGGGCTGGGGTGGGAACAACAGAGCAGATGCTAGAGGGAGTTTGCAATGTAGATTGAACATGGAAGAGAATGTCTCCAAGAGAAAGAAATGACAGAGTTGAGGATGTGTGATGGCTCCAATAAAAATAGGTTTAAGAATGAGCACCCCCTGAGAACAGCATGGTTGGAGGATCCCTAAACCCCACCAAGAGATCCCAGGGAGCTAACGGTTCTCTTTGGTGAGGACATGGCCTCTTTGATACCAATATGAAGAGAAAATACATCTGAAGATGAGTGGCACCTTCCTAGCAAATCATCCCTTAGCACCCAAAACAAGCTGGAATGCCGGGATGGACTAGGGAAATGATTTAGATTAAGGTTAGAGCCAGACATTCTCTTCAAGGAATGGTGTTGTCTAGGCACAGGACCACAGTGGCAGGGCGTCAGTTCAGCATGCTATGGTCTGAATGTTTGTGTCCCCCCAAAATTAATATGTTGGAACCTAATCTCTAATGCAATAGTATTAAGAGGCCTTTAGGAGGTGTTTAGGTAGTGAGGGCAGAACTCTCATGAAGGGGATTAGTCCCTTATAAAAGATGCCCAGGGGAGCTTATTTGCCTCTTCCACCTTGTGAGGACACAGCTAGAAGGCATCATCCATGAGGAAAAGGTCTTACCAGACAATGAATCTTCCAGTGCCTTGATCTTGGACTTCCCAGCCTCCAGAACTGTGAAAAATAAATTTCTGATTCATAAGCTATCTAGTTCATGGTATTTTGTTGTAGCAGACTGAATGAACTAAGCATTCTTTTTGCTAGGGCTGGACTAATCATGAATGCTGAAATTATAATCATCCAGAGTTGACAACTATCCAACTTAGCTCTGACAAGTACAAAGATTAAGGATCTGTTAAAAGCCCACACTTAAAATGGTATTGCATACACATATTCCTTATCTGTATCTGTGATATGTTAGTTGCTGCTAGAAATTCTAATTTATAAAAGTGGATTGGAGGCCGGGCATGGTGGCTCACACCTGTAATCCCAGCACTTTGGGAGGCCGAGGCAGGGGGATCACTTGAGGTCAGGAGTTCGAGACCAGCCTGGGCAACATGATAAAATCCCATCTCTACTAAAAATATAAAAATTAGCTGGGCGTGGTGGCACTCACATGTAATCCCAGCTACTCAGGAGGCTGAGGCAGGCAAATCACTTGAACCTGAAAGGTGGAGGTTGCAATGAGCCAAGATCATGCCACTGCACTCCAGCCTGAGTGACAGAGTGAGACTCCATCTCAGAAAAAAAAAAAAAAAAAAAAAAAGTGGATTGGTGCTCTTTGTCAAATAGCCTTTGACTGACTATCAAATATAAAAGTAATCTTCTCTCTGGAGTTCCCTGGATATACCACCACCCTCAAGCCCTCCAACTGAAATCAGTGGATAATTTGAAAAACCTCTGGGATCAGCAAAAGACAATTAAGGCACATTAGCACATTGTCTACTAGAGTTGGTCACTCTTTTAGCAGGGATTGAAAGGTTTATTATTATTATTATTAGCAGGGATTGAAAGGTTTAGGACTGCTCCCTTTCATCCCTAGGAGAGATCCAAATCCCTAGAGAGTTTATAGAACTTTGTTAAACATGCTACTAAATATAGCCTTAAAAGCTGAGAAAATGTTCAGGGGCTGGTATATAGGAAGACAAGATTGATGGCTTCTAATTGTTCTGTAAAGGAAGAGTATGAGGGAACATAGTTGCATACAGGAGCGGAAGAGTTTGGGGGAAGAATGGAGATGGTCAAAATCACCATTACAGAGAGTAGGAGAGTAAGCAGATCACAAAATAGAATAAGTACCCTGAGAATTACCCTGTGGTCTAAGAAGAATGCATGTTTAGAGTTCCAAGCTAAGGAATCTGGGAGTGGCCAATCCAGAGATATATTCCTTATGTATAAGGAACATCTGAATTCCTGGTCCATCCTATGGAACACAGGCCATACAGGGGATTGAGGCCCTTTGTTTTGGGTTAAATGAAGATTGCCAGGTAGAGGTTGCTAGGGGAAGGGTACTAAGTGAAGAAGCTATGTAAGCTGCATGCTTTCTACAAGTGGTTGTGGTTCTCCCATCCAGCTTACTGCCACTGAACTGCCCTGTACATAAGTCCCCTCAATAAACCCCGTGTCTCGTTTGCACACTCCACGTCTCTTTTTTGGCCTCTCAAACACGGTGCCATCCCTACTGAAATCAATGGAGGTCCAGCATGACCATCAGCAATCCAGCCAGGAGGTCAGAGAAAACCCCATGAGCACCAAGAGGATGGGACTGGGAAAGGGGAAATCCATGGGGGAAATCCCAATCTGGCCATCCATGCCTATATAGAGCCTGATAGCCACTATCATTGATGCATGGGGCCCACCACGTGAGTACAGGGACACCCTGAGAATGCTGAAGGGTCTGGAAGAGCTGTTGCAGGGGTTGGATCTAACTAAGCAAAAATCAGTTGCCTGTGGCAGCCACAATTGGCTGGCTGCTCCCCACTACTTTGAGCAGCCGCTGAGGCTGAGCTCACAGCACAAGTAGGAGTTCCTCAGGTACAGGATGAGTTACAACTAGAAACCAATGCAAGGTTAGCTCAAACTGAAATGCTGGAGTCCTTACTGTCCCACTTTCAGGCACAGGATGACAAAATGGAGACCCTGGCGTATCACGTAGCCCATTTGAAGGGTTATTGGCTGCCATGGTAGGGCTATCATGGACTAAATTGTCCTGGAACCCTAAGTCCTAGGACCTAATGGAGAACTCTAGTGAGGAGGAGAACGAGGACTGGGACAAGCTCACAGAGGTTCCCATCCTCTCTGCCCATCCCATAGCCACTACTAAGATAAAGACAGACCAGCTGCACCCACAGGGAGTTGACCCACAAAACCTGCCCTCACTTGAAAGATGGCAGCACAGCACAATGTAGGACTGCACTGCTGTGCTGTTCAAGCAAGAACAGCGTGTCACTAAGGAGCCTCTGACTCAGCCCACCACCGCTCCTGCAGAGGGCTGGCAGGCACCAACCCCTTTAGTCTAGAATAAAAGCCAAGGTCCCAGAATCCCAATGAGAGCAATGGTGGCCAGGGTGTCTGGGGACCAGAGGCCACATGTAGAACTAACTATATATTCATCACCTAAAAATAAACAGACTGTTTCTGCCCTGGCGGATACTGGAGCGAAATGCACTTACATGGTAACATTCGTAGGTTCCAAGGCCTTATACAGCAATAGATGGTTATGAAGAGGGGGCCGTGAAAGTCAAGCAGCCAAAGCCCTGCCACCAAAACCCTACTCAGTAAACACAGCTCTCATCTCAGAATACCTCTTGTGAATGGATATCTTATCAGGCTTTACCCTCTAAACAACTGGCAGGGAATTCCAGCTGAGAGGGTGGTGAAGCACATGATCAGCAGGATCGCAAAATGGACCCCAATACAGCTGCCAGCCCTGCAGCAGGCAGTAGCACTGAAGCAATATGGCCTGCTGGGGGTGCATGATGAGATCATGGGACTGCTAAGGAGTTAGCCCAGGTAGGCATTATAAGGCCATTGTGCAGCCCATACAATGGCACTGTATGGTCCATGAGGAAGCCTGATGGGATATGGAGAATGACCATAGATTACCAGGAATTAAATAAGGTGGTCTCCCCAATATATGCAGCTGTTCCCAATATTGCCTCCCTTCTGATGAGGATAGGATCCATGCTTGGCTCATACCACTTTGTCGTAGATTTAGCCAGTGCCTTTTTCAGCATCTTCACTGCCCCAGAGTCAAGAATAATTTGCATTCACCTGGGAAAGAGAAGAATGGACCTTTACCATCTTGCCCCAGGGATATTTACATAGCTCCGCTGTCTGTCATGTGCTGGTGGCTGCAAACCTCGGATGGACCACCCGGGAGTGGGTGCATGTTTTCCATTACATTGATCATAAATGCCAACTTCTGAGTCTTTTTCCAGCTCACCAACTGCAGCCTCCAGCTTGTTGTCTCACTTGGTGAACAGAGGACGGGCAGTCAATGCAGACAAACTCCAAGGTCCGGGCTTACCAGTCACATTCTTGGATGTCATCTGGTTGGGTGAGACTAAAGTGCTTCCGTCTGCTGTCATGGATAAGGTGCAGGCCTACCCACGTCCTACCACATCAAAGCAGCTGCAAACATTCTTAATTCTCTTAGGGTATTGGCGTCCTTTGACTCCCCATTAGACCCAACTCCTTAGGCCCCCCATAAGAAGGAAGGGGGCCCACTGGGACTGGTCCACAAAGGAGGATGAGGCCTTTGAACAAGCTGAAGTCCTAGTGAGACGAATAAAAGCCTTGAGAGTTCTAGTGCTGGGACAGCCTTGTGAATTGAATGTGGTCTGGTCCCCGAGGGGTTTGGGTGTAGCCTGTGGCAAAGGCAAAGATGTAAACATGTGCCTTTAGGATTCTGGTCCCAGCTACAGAAAGGGCTGAAGTTAGGTTTACTGTCATGGAGAAACGATTCTGCACCACACATTAGGCCTTACAAATGGAGGACATTACACAGGGGGTCCCAGTGCTAGTATGCACCCAGTACTCCACAGCAGGCTGACTAAAGGATATCTTCCAGAAACCAAAGTCTGAGAATGCTCAGATACAGACTATCGCCAATTGCCCTGCATACCTGCAACAGACGAGCACATTAACTAATAGCCCCTTGAGCAGAGCTCCATTCGATGCTTGGCCCTGTCCCCTGTGTGACAACTGAAAGTCAGTCTTTGACAGAGGCCACTAAACCTCCATAGTCTCTCCTTCCCACAGGAGGAACAGAGCACAATTCCTGACCAAGCCTGGTATGTAGACAGCTCATCATGAGGCAGTCCTTGCACTGGGATAACCGTCGCCACCAAGCTGTCCACTGATAGTACCTGGCTTGATACAGGCAAAGGACACAGTAGTCAAGGGGCTGAGCCACAAACCGCCTGGATGGTCCTTCTCTATAAGCCAGAGCCCAGCACAATAGTGGCAGGTAGACCACATAAAACCTTTGCCTCTATCTGATGGCTGCCACTGTGCCTTGACTTGTACAAACACCTGCTCAGGGCTACTGCAGGTAAATCCTAGCAATCGTGCCACCAAGAAAACCACCAAAATAGCACTAGAGCAGCTGTTTGCAGCCTACAGCATCCCCGCTGATATTGGTGGTGACCAGGGCTTGCATTTTACCAGACGTTAAGTGCAGGAATGGGTGGAGGCCCTGTATATCCACAGGCATTTTCACCTGCCATACAACCCTACAGCAGCAGGGCTGATTGAACAGATGAATAGACTGTTGAAGCCACAACTCTGGCAGGTGCTATCTGGCTCTGTGGACACACAGCTTACCAGCAGCTGTCCACACACTGAACAAACATGCCCATTCCCATCGCCCCAGCACATACACTCTTCTGATGCAAGGAACTGATATCACCATCAGGATCCAGGTGGACAATGTAAAGGATGGCACACTTTTGCCCCAACCTGGGACTCAAAGTAACCTGATATTGCCCTGGCCACAGGACCTATGCACCGGAAAACACATGGCCCTGGGAATGTCAAACCAGCCCTTGGTTGGTTCAGTTTTTCTGCTCCATGGAGTAAGGGTCTAGAACAGAATATAACAGGTAACACCTATTTTACACCCTACTCTTCATACTTCTAAAATAATGAATCCTAGTGCTCCCTTGTTCAAGGGGACAATAATCCTCTCATTACAGAACATTATGATACTCCATTGTCTTACTCTGGCCTCCTGCAATGAGTTACACACGGGGCCAGTCCATTTGTGTCTTGTTAAATGGCCATGACTTGCCCTTTTTTTTTTTTTTTAACAGAGTCTTGCTCTATTGTCCAGGCTGGAGTGCAGCGGCACCATCATCCTTGGCTTACTGCAACCTCTTGCTCTGTGGTTCAAGTGATTCTCTTGCCCCAGCCTCCTGAGGAGTAGCTGGGATTATAGGCACCCACCACCACGCCTGGCTAATTCTTGTATTTTTAGTAGAGATGGGATTTCACTTGTTGGCCAGGCTGGTTTCAAACTCCTGACCTCTAGCAACCCACCCACCGCAGCCTCCCAAAAAGATTACAGGCATGCACCACCACGCTCAGCCAGCTTGCCCTTTCTTATACGCACCAAACATCTCACCTTCCACCTATAGATAGTCTGCAGCAAACCTCTTCACTGACTGGGCATAGACAGTAGTCTCCCTCCAGAATAAAATAAACCATTGGGTCTGTGGAGAGCTGCCACTCTCCACCACAATGGAACTGCCATGGTGCATCCAAGCAGCTAATCTGAGTATACCTGGAGCCACTTCTGTACTTGGTATAATGACCTTCACCCATTTCCCTTTAGTGACAACAGCACCTCTTGCAGCAGGTTTCCCACCATCAACAAGATGAGATGACGTATTTTCTACTTACTATGAAAGGAAGTTAATGTTACCCTCACTGTGGAGTACATTGTACACAATGGTCTAGGGTGGATGACAGGAGTGCAGAAACAGGTGGTGGGGTATGCACCCTTCCTTGCAAAATCGCATGGCTATGGACACCTTAATTGCTGCCCAGGGCAGAACCTATGCATTAATTAAAACTGAATGTTGTGGATACATCCTTGATTACTCTCACAACGTAAGCCAGGCCACACAGCTCCTAGACACTCGCATGTCCACTCTAGAATCTCTGTCTTACAATCCAATAATTGCGTGCTTCAATCAACTCCCAAGTGCTTGGAAAAACTTTCTATACAGTATGATTGTTATATTAATTATTCTTTTGAGTTGTGGTAGTTTGTATTGCTGCTGTGGATGTCTGGCCACAGTGCTCCTCCGCATGCCTGGCCCCAGGGAAATGCAGGAGAATGGCATGATAAGAATGTGAGGGCCACTCAAGGGTGTGCTGGTGAGGAGTGTATAACTGATGCACCTGACAACAGTAACTTAAGAATAACCTGAGAATGATCCTATGGTCTAAGGAGAATGTGTGTTTGGAGTTCCAAGCTAAGGAATCTAGGAGTACCCAACCAGGAGATTCTTTCCTTATCTATGAGGAACATCTGAACTCTTGACCCAACTTGTAGAATGCAGGCCCTATAGGGGATCAAGACCCTTTATTTTGGGTTATATGAAGGTTACCAGGTTGAGGTTGCTGGGGGAGGGTGCTAAGTGAAAACACTATGTAAACTGTATGCTTTTTATAAGCAGTTGTGGTTCTTCCATCCAGCCCTCTGCCTCTGGACTGCCCTGTATGTAAGTCCCCTCCATAAACCCCATGTCTTGGTAGCTGGCTCTGGGTCTCTTTTTCAGCTTCTCAAACATGGTGCCATTTGTACTGAAGTCAATAGGAGTCCAGCACAACACAAGCTCATAACTAAATTATCTGAACAGTTTTCTTTAATGAATAGATGGTGCTGATGAATTTGGAGGATAGTTGTAGTAAAAATTGTTGAATAAACAAGCTTGAAGAGAGGATTCTGTGCAAGAGAAGACAGCTAGAAGTGGAGTTTTGAAGGTAGAATAGGTAGGGTTATGAAGGGCTTAGAACAAATGCTAAGAAAGAAGAAACTCTGCCACCCAAGTATGGGTCTATAAACTGTGAGTGTGTGAACTACAATTAGAGATTGAATACTGACAGAATAGGCATGAATAGCAAAAGCCCCCAAAGGTGTAGTAGTCCTTATTTAACGGAGGAAAGGTAGGATTACTGCAAGATTATAAAACGCAGGTGGAGACTGGGGCCAGGTCTCCCTTGGTGACATAGTGCAATAATTTTCCACCCACTGGGGAACTGGTCAGGCAGAAATCTTCCCTACTTAGGGACCCTAACAATAATTTCCAAGATAGAATTAACAGGGAGTGTTCTGGAAAGACAGCGCCCAAGTCCCCCTTTGTCAAAGTGGAGGTGAGTGGGGATTGGTATTCCACAGAGACAGTGAGGGATTGCTGGCGAGATGGTCGAATAGCAACAGCTCTGGTCGCAGCTCCCAGTGAGATCGACACAGAAGGCGGGTGATTTCTGCATTTCCAAATGAGGTACCTGGGTCATCTCACTGGGACTGGTTGGACAGTGGCTACAGCCCAAGGAGGGTAAGTTGAAGCAGGGAAGAGCAATGCCTCACCTGGGAAGTGCAAGGGGTCAGGTAACTCCCTCTCCTAGCCAAGAGAACACATTAGGGACTGTACCGTGCACTCCAGCCGAAATACTGTGCTTTTCCCACGGTCTTTGCAACCCACAGACCAGGAGATTCCCTCCGGTGCCCATGCCACCTGGGCCCTGGGTTTCCAGCACAAAACTGGGCGGCCGTTTGGGCAGACACAGAGATAGCCACAGGAGTTGTTTTCTCATACCCCAGTGGTGCCTGCAACACCAGTGAGAACCTGGAACACAGAAAGGTTAACCCCCCTGGAAAGGGGACTGAAGCCAGGGAGCCAAGTGGTCTGGCTTGGCGGGTCCCACCCCCACAGAGCCCAGCAAGCTCAGATCCACTGGCTTGAAATTCTCCCTGCTAGCACAGCAGTCTGAGCTCGACCTGGGACACTGGAGCAGGGTGGGGGGAGGGGAGTCCGCCATAGCTGAGGCTTGGGTAGGTGGTTTTACCCTCACAGTGTAAACAAAGCCTATGGGAAGTTTGAACTGGGCGGGGCCTACTGCTGCTCAGCAAGACCACTGCGGCCAGACTGCCTCTTTTTTTTTCAAACACAGCAGCCTCAGTCAGGGACTTATAGATAAAACCCCCAATCCCCTGGGACAGAGCACCCTGGGGAAATGGAGGTTGTGGGCGCAGCTTCAGCACACTTACACTTCCCTGCCTGGCAGCTCTGAAGAGAACAGCGGGCCTCCCAGCACAGTGTTTGAGCTCTGATAAGGGACAGACTGCCTCCTCAAGTGAGTCCCTGACCCGCATATATCACCACTGGGAGACACCTCTCAGTAGGGGCCGACAGACACCTCATACAGGAGAGCTCTGGCTGGCATCAGGTGGCTGCCCCTCTGAGACGAAGCTTCTTGAGGAAGGAACAGGCAGCAACCTTTGCTGTTCTGTAGCCTCCACAGGTGATCCCCAAGCAAACAGAATCTGGAGTGGACCTCCAGCAAACTCCAGCAGACCTGCAGCTGAGGGACCTGACTTGTGGAAGGAAAACTAGGAAACAGAAAGGAATACCATCAACATCAGCAGAAAGAATGTCCTCTCCAAGAACCCAGCTGAAGGTCTCCAACTTCAAAGACCAAAGGTAGATAAATCCATGAAGATGGGAAGAAACCAGCACAAAAAGGCTGAAAATTCCAAAAAACGGAACACCTCTTCTCCTCCAAAGGATCACAACTCCTAGCCAGCAGGGAAACAAAACTAGATGGAGCATGAGTTCAACAAATTGACAGAAGTAGGCTTCAGAAGGTGGGTAATAACAAACTCCTCCAAACTAAAGGAGCATGTTCTAACCCAATGCAAGGAGCTAAGAACCATGAAAAAATTTAGAAAAATTGCAAACTAGAATAATCAGTTTAAAGAAGAACATAAATGACCTGATGGAGCTGAAAAACACAGCACAAGAACTTCATGAAGCACACACAAGTATCAATAGCCAAATTGATTAAGCAGAAGAAAGGATATCAGAGACTGAGGATCAACTCAATGAAATAAAGTGAGAAGACAAGATTAGAGAAAAAAGAGTGAAAAGAAATGAACTAAGCCACCAAGAAATATGGGACTATGTGAAAAGACCAAATCTACGTATGATTGGTGTACCTGAAAGTGACGGGGAGAATGGAACCAAGTTGGAAAACACTCTTCAGGATATTATCCAGGAGAACTTCCCCAACCTAGCGAGGCAGTCCAACATGCAAATTCAGGAAATACAGAGACCACCACAAAGACACTCCTTAAGAAGAGAACCCCAAAACACATAATCATCAGATCCCCCAAGGTTGAAATGAAGGAAAAAATATTAAGGGCAGCCAGAGAGAAAGGTCAGGTTACCCACAAAGAGAAGCCCATCAAACTAACAGCAGATCTCTCTGCAGAAACCCTACAAGACAGAAGAGAGTGGGGGCCAATATTCAACATTCTTAAAGAAAAGAATTTTCAACCCAGAATTTAATATCCAGCCAAACTAAGCTTCATAAGTGAAAGAGAAATAAAATCCTTTACAGACAAGCAAATGCTGATAGATTTTGTCACCACCAGGCCTGCCTTACAAGACCTCCTGAAAGAAGCACTAAACACGGAAAGGAACAACTGGTACCAGCTACTGCAAAAACATACCAAATTGTAAAGACCATCGACACTATGAAGAAACTGCATCAACTAATGGGCAACATAACCAGCTAGCATCATAATGGCAAGATCAAATTCACACATAATAATATTAATCTTAAATGTAAACGGGCTAAATGTCCCAATTAAAAGACACAGACTGGCAAATTAGATAAAGAGTCAAGACCCATTGGTGTGCTGTATTCAGGAGACCCATCTCATGTGCAAAGACACACATAGGCTCAAAATAAAGGGATGAAAAAATATTTACCAAGAAAATGGACAGCAAAAAAAAAGCAAGGGTTTCAATCCTAGTCTCTGACAAAAAAGACTTTAAACCAACAAAGATCAAAAGAAACAAAGAAGGCCATCACATAATGGTAAAGGGATCAACGCAACAAGAAGAGCTAACTATCCTAAATATATATGCACCCAAAGCAGGAGCACCCTGATTCATAAAGCAAGTTCTTAGAGACCTACAAAGAGACTTAGATTCCAACACAATAATAGTGTTAGTAGTGGGGAGTTAACACCCCACTGTCAATATTAGATCAACGAGACAGAAAATTAACAAGGATATCCAGGAATTGAACTCAGCTCTGGACCAAGTGGACCTAATAGACATCTACAGAACTCTCCACCCCGAATCAACAGAATATACATTCTTCTCAGCACTACATTGTGCTTATTCTGAAATGGACCACATAATTGAAAGTAAAACACTCCTCACCAAATGCAAAAGAACGGAAATCATAACAATCTCTCAGACCACAGTGCAATCAAATTAGAACCCAGGATTGAGAAACTCACTCAAAACCACACAACTACATGGAAACTGAACAACCTGCTCCTGAATGACTACTGGGTACATAACGAAATGAAGGCAGAAATAATTAAATTCTTTGAAACCAATGAGAACAAAGACAGAATGTACCAGAATCTCTGGGACACATTTAAAGCAGTGTGTATGGGGAAATTTATAGCACTAAATGCCCACAAGAGAAAACAGGAAAGATCTAAAGTTGACACCCTAATACCACAATTAAAAGAACTAGAGAAGCAAGAGCAAACACATTCAAAAGCTAGCAGAAGTCAAGAAATAACTAAGATCAGAGCAGAACTGAAGGAGGACGAGACACAAAAAATCCTTCAAAAAATCAATGAATCCAGGACCTGTTTTTTTGAAAAGATCAACAAAATTGATAGACCACTAGTAAGACTAACAAAGAAGAACAGAGAGAAGAATCAAATAGATGCAATAAGAAATGATAAAGGGGATGTCACCACCGATCCCACAGAAATGCAAACTACCATCAGAGAATACTATAAACACCTCTATGCAAATAAAATAAAAAATCTAGAAGAAATGGATAAGTTCCTGGACACATATACCCTCCCAAGACTAAATCAGGAATAAGTTGAATCCCTGAATAGACCAATAACAAGTTCTGAAATTGAGGCAACTATTAATAGCCTACCATCCAAAAAAGTCCAGGACCAGATGGATTCACAGCCGAATTCTACCAGAGGTATAAAAGGAGCTGGTACCATTCCTTCTAAAACTATTCCAAACAATACAAAAAGAGAGAATCTTCCCTAACTGATTTTATGAGGCCAGCATCACCCTGATACCAAAACCTAGCAGAGACACAACAAAAAAAGAAAATTTCAGGCCAATATCCTCAGTAAAATACTGGCAAACCAAATGCAGCAGCACATCTAAAAGCTTATCCACCACACTCAAGTCGGCTTCATCCCTGGGATGCAAGGCTGGTACAACATACGCAAATCAATAAACGCAATCTATCACATAAACAGAACCAATGACAAAAACCACATGAATATCTTAATAGATGCCAAAAGGCCTTTGACAAAATTCAACAGCGCTTCATGCTAAAAACTCTCAATAAACTAGGTATTGATGGAACATATCTCAAAATAATAAGAGCTATTTATGACAAACCCACAGCCAATATCATACTGAATGGGCAAAAGCTGGAAGCTTTCAAAGGTTTTCCCTTTGAAAACCGGCACAAGACAAGGATGCCCTCTCTCACCACTCCTATTCAACACAGTATTGGAAGTTCTGGCCAGGGCAATCAGGCAAGAGAAAGAAATAAAGGGTATTCAATTAGGAAAAGAGGAAGTCAAATTGTCTCTGTTGCAGATGACATGATTGTATATTTAGAAAAGGATATGAACAGACACTTCTCAAAAGAAGACATTTATGTGGCCAAAAAACATATGAAAAAAAGCTCATCATCACTGGTCATCAGAGAAATGCAAATCAAAACCACAATGAGATACCATCTCACACCAGTTAGAATGGTGATCATTAAAAAGTCAGGAAACAACAAATGCTGGAAAGGATGTGGAGAAATAGGAATGCTTTTACATTGTCAGTGGAGTGTAAATTAGTTCAACCATTGTGGAAGACAGTGTGGTGATTCCTCAAGGATCTAGAACCAGAAATACCATTTGACCCAGCAATCTCATTGCTAAGTATACACCCAACAGATTATAAATAATTCTACTATAAAGATGCATCCACATGTATGTTTATTGTGGTACTGTTCACAATAGCAAAGACTTGGAACCAACACAAATGCCCATCAATGATAGAATGGATAAAGAAAATGTGGCACATATACACCATGGAATACTATGCAGCCATAAAAAAGGATGAGTTCATGTCCTTTGCAGGGACATGGATGAAGCTGGAAACCATCAGTCTCAGCAAACTAACACAAGAACAGAAAATCAAACACTGTATGTTCTCACTCGTAAGTGGGAGTTGAACAATGAGAACACATGGACACAGGCAGGGGAACATCACACAATGGGGCCTGTCAGGGTGTGGGGGACTAGGAGAGACATAGCATTAGGAGAAATACCTAATGTAGATGACATATTGATGGGTGCAACAAACCACCATGGCATGTGTATACCTATGTAACACACCTGCACTTTCTGTACATGTATCCCAGAACTTAAAGTATAATTTAAAAAAAGAGACAGACAGAAGAAATAGATAATGAGGTACTGCTTTTTTGTGTAAAGGGTTAATTACCCTGAAAAATCCCACCCATTATTTACTCTGAAAAATAGCCCCCCTCTGGCAAGGTTGTGGAGTGCTTAGAGTAGTAGTGACTAGAGCTCCCTATACTCTTGCCTGCCTCTGACACCACCATTATAAGTACAAACAAAACGTCTGCATGGTTTCAAACAAACGCCCAAAGTTCCCCTTCCAACCAAATGGCTGTCTAAATCCCTCCTGCAATAGAAACTCTGATCTCATATTAACGTAAACTGGGAGTGGGGAAGGGGATTATGGGACCAAGGAAACCACTGGGAATTAGGAAAGTGATCAAAAAGGAAAGAGGGCCTGTATTAGTTTCCCAGGGCTGCCATAACAAATTTTCCCAAATGTGGCAGCTTAAAACACCAGAAATTTATTCTCTGTCACTTCTGGAGGCCACAAGTCCAAAACCAAGGTGTTGGTAGGGCCATATTCTCTCTGAAACCTCTATGGGAAACATGTTTTTGCTTATTCCAGCTTCTCATGGCTCCTGGTGTTCCTTGGCTGGTGGCAGCATCATCAATCTCTGCCTCTGTCTGTCTATGGCCTTCTTCGCCGTCTGTATGTGTCCTTTTCTGTCTCCCATAGGGAACTTCTAATTGGATTTACGGCCTATCCTAAGCCAGGATGATCTCACCTCAGTCCTTACCTTGACTATATTTGCAGCAACCCTATTTCCAGATAAGGCCACATTCTGAGGTTCCATGAATTCTGAAATGTATGGAGACACTATAACTGATTAGGAGAGTACCCTGTGGACTAGGTGAGGAGACATGGAGACACAGTGAACAGACTGATTAGGCCACTGCTTAATCTCTACCAGCCTGGAGACTCGGTATGGGTTGGAATATTTCACCTGAGCCCTGTACATTCCCTAAGATTCCATGATATGTTTTCCTGGCTGACAGCCATGCCATTTTGTTACAAACTGTACTCCTCCTTTCCACAGTGAGGTGCTTGGTGCTGGGTTTACACCAAAATGACCAAAATAAAATTATTAAGGAGAAGTGAAAAGTGTAACACTGTCCAACCTTGGAATCAATATTTGATTAGACGATCTCTCTATTTGTGCCTTTGGTTTTCCTTGCCCAGGTATATCAGCTCATACCTAATTCTACTCTATTTCTTACCACCTCCTTGTAGAAATGCAGGCTCTGACCTAGAAAGTAAGTTCCACGAGGACAGGAAATCAGTAAGTGCTCGATAAACATTTGTTGGATGAATAAAGAGAAGGGGATGATGTGGGGCAGAAAACAAAAAGGAAGGGGAAAAGAATGTTTCTGAACAGTGAATCTGGGCTGGAGTTCCCTTAGCTAGTGCCACCACGTTTGATGATGTGCCTTAAATCCTCATGACTACATCTTCCTGATTTGTGAAAGAGGAATAATTATGTACATCTTGCAGGGCTCTTGTGAGGATTAGAGAAACATGTACAAAATATTCAGCACTGAGTCTTATACAGAGGAGCTCAGTAAGTGACAATTAGGATTATTATTGGCTTGTTTATTCTATGTATACAATTCTTCTGCTGCTGTTTTAACTACTGCCAAGGACATTCTGAGAAAATTAAGCCCATGCTAACCTATGTCATTTGCAATTTGATGTTTTTTAACTCAGCAATATCCTAAATTATTGTTAGTATATCCTTTTCTCTCAATTGAAAAGATGCCCAGAAGCAAGTAACTAGCCACATATAGGTTAAGCAACAATTTTCACCCAGCATACAAACACTCTGATAGTACTTTCAACATGCAAGTCAATGGCACATTGGATTTTTCAAGCTGACTTTCAGCTTTCTGTATCATGAGGATTATATTTGCCATCTACTCTCCCTGGCTTTACTGTAGTGAGGATTACTGATTTGATATGTATTAAGTACTTTGAGCTTCAGGGAGGAAAATGTGTCATAGGAGCACAAAGAAGTATTAATAGTAAACGCCAAATGAATTGCTTTAACTCAATGGCATGTTAAAGGCTTTACCCAGAAAATCATCAGGAAACAGTAAATCATGATTTCTACAAATAATTCAATTCCCGTATGGTTTTTCATACATGTGTGCACTAATGCATAAAATAGACAGTAATTCTAAAATTTATGAATTTGCTGTTTAAACTTTAAACATCTCAAAGCTAATGAGTTGTTTAGTTTTCTTAAATTTTAATGAAAGCACTTCATACATGTATGTTGGGTCCTCACAGCACAGTCAAGATTCATCAAATATTTTATGTGATAGCATTTATGATCAAGGCAGAATGCCTTAATTAAACAAATAATTAGCCTTGAGGACAGTAATGAACACAACAGTCTAATTAGTGAATTTGTTAACTGTTCCTCTCAGTGACTGAATCAATAGCCAATAGCCAATACACAGTCAGATACTGTAGTTACTTTGGTTATGGGAATTACATGTTATCTCTGCAATGCACAATGGCAAAAACAAAACATTACGTGAATTAATGAACTTGAATATGTTGTAACAGAATAAAGATTAGACTAGGAGCTAAGAAATGCCGGTTTTACTTCAGGCTGCCACTCATAAGCCATGTGACCTAGGATAACTAACTTAACCTTCCTGGCCTCAGTTTCCTCAATTATAAATTATGAGAGCTGCACTAGATGATTTCTAGAGCCCTTTCCAGTACTAGCATTTCACACACTTGTTGTGAGGAATCCCTCCCTTTCATTTCTTATTTTTGAAGCCACTTGCTTCCTAGCACTGTGTCTGTCAAATAACACTGCTGCCAGCAATTTACAAGGTAGGTCTGTGGGTGCGGGAGAGAGGCTTCTGCCTGATCTAGTTTTGTTTACAGTGGCAACATTTCAGCACATCCTCTGTGCTTTCAGCAGGAAGCAGTCAGGCAGCAAAATTGCTCTAGCATAAAACAAATCCAGCTGCAGGGCATCTTCAAAATGCTCCCTATGTGTTTTTCGATTTAGCCTGCTATTAAAATTTTAAGGCACAATTTAGAGCTACAGTGTGCAGTCTTCTGTTACAAAATGAATCCAGGTTTCTCATTACTGGCTTTGGAGTGTCAGGGCAGGGTAAAAGGAAAATGAGATGTGCAGAGAAAGAAGACATTTTGCAATGTGGAGCACGATTTGCCTTTGGCTCCCTCCTTTCCAAGCATTCATCATCTGTAACTCACGCAGGGCTTCAACCCATTCTGCCCACAAGCCAGCCAGTCAGTTCAGAGCTGCAGGATGAGAGAGGAAATTGGAACAGGGCCAACCTACTCTGCAGGACTGGGTGGTTTGAATGAGACATGTGATCCAAGGAGCTGCGGGTCCAGGATTGGCATAAGGGGTGCAAGCAGTGGGCAGAGGACATCCAAGCCGGAGATGCAGCATGCACAAAGCAGTCAGGAGGAAGAGCATGGTGGGTTTGGACAATACCAGCCACTTCTCAGTGGATTTGCCTTTAACGGAAGAAAAAGCAAGCCATGAGATGGAGAGAATGGCAGTGGCCACTGATGTAAAGTCTTGCAGGCCTGTGTTGCACTGCCCAGATCCCCTGCAGGGCTGAAGAACTTATTCCAGAGCTGCTACTGCCCAGGAATTGCCCTCAGCTGCAGAAAGCTATCTTTCCCAAGGCCACACACCCCCTTCCCAAGGGCAACCTATCTCCAATAACTAGTCAATGCTGGAGGGCTGAGATATATAAAGACTCTAAATAATACTCCCTAATGCTTTTTCTACTTGATAATCTGCACCTCAGGGTGCTCCTTAAGAAGCCCAACCTGCAACTCGATGCTGGAGAGATTGATATACCCTCATGGCAATGGTGAGTGGCTGAAAGGTTTGAAACAGGGGGTTAACCCTGGTCTTATCTGCAATTTTAAAAGATCACTCTCATGGCAGTGTGTGGAGGGTGCATTGAAGTGGGCAAACACAAAGGAATAGTGTTGTATGGAAAATGACTTTGATGCAATGCAGCCTCCAAGTACACAATCAGGAGAACTATCCCAGAAACAGAGCTATGCCATGCAACAGAAAATGCACAGAGCAAGTGAACTCTTTGTAAATTAATATTCAAGCTACACAGTTCATTAAATCTGTTCAAAACACACAGTGAGAAGCAAGGCGAAGTAAACAGAGTGTTAAAACACTTAGGATAGGGTGTGAGCAGGTGAAAGGACTTTTTTTTTTTTTTTTGAACAGAGTTCTGCTCTGTCACCCAGGCTGGAGTGCAGTGGTGCTATCTTGGCTCACTACAACCTCCCTTTCCCAGCTTCAAGCAATTCTCGTGCCTCTGCCTCCCAAGAAGCTGGGATTACAAGTGCCCGCCACCACACCCAGATAATTTTTTGTATTTTTTGTAGAGATGGGGTTTTGCCATGTGGACCAGGTGGTTTCAAACTCCTGGCCTCAAGCAACCCATCTGCCTGGCCTCCCAAAGTGCTGGGATTATAGGCATAAGCCACTGTGCCTGGCCAAGACCATGATCCTTAGGTCTTGTTCATATGTACTCTCTCTCTCCCAACTCCCCAACCCCTGCCCTGCCCCATCATCCTTCTCCACTGATGGTGATGTGGTTATCTGGACTAGAGTTGAGATCTGAGCAAGGGGCTCACTGACAGAAGATGCCCAAGGCCAAAGACACACAATCACTCTGCTGAAAGAATGCAGAGCAAGTACACCTGGCCACAGCTATAGTTTTCCAAATAGCTCACTGAACAGCTACAGTTTTTATCTACAATTATTGGACAAAGCACATGTAGGACCAGAAAGGAATCCTAATCATACTGGGTGTCAGCATTGGGTGGCTGATTTAGAGATAGCATAACTGTCAGCCCAGTGACAGCATAATCCTCTCTGTCTGTAAGCAACTCTCTTGGTTGGTACACCATATTTTTTATTTATTTTGTGTACTCTTGGCAAGTCTTACAGCTAACAACTTGCTATCTATATTTAACACATCTTACAAATTATGTCTCACATGGTACTTAATTAATCATTAATTATACTTTACACATCCTATGAGTTTTGCCTATATCCATAAGCTCTTTACTTACTGAGCAATGCTTCATACTTCTTATGAGTTGCAGCCATCCTTCGTTTGTCTTTTACAGTAGAATTAAATATTCTCAAATACTTCTGCAAATGTACATGACACACTGAGACCTCTTTGGAGATTTTTTTGCAAAAAAGGAGTCTATAGATGATGTGGTTTTGAATTAGGTAAGTGGTTGTGGAGATTCAAAAGCTACTCTACAAAGGGAAATGAGCAGGAATGATGATAGATTAGACATAGGTGAATATGATGGACACTGTTGACTGGGTGACCGTCTATAGCAGACGCATTTGACAGAATAACTTAAGCATACTCTGAGAATGACCCTGTATGGCAGATGCACCTGAATGCATGTTTGCAGATCTGTGCTAAGAAATCTGGGAGCAGCCAACTGGGAGATTCATTCCTTATCTACAAGGAACATCTGAACCCCTGTCCCATCCTGTGGAAGGTGAGGAGGGGGATTGAGGCCCTTTATTTTGGGTTAAATGAAGGTTGCCAGGTGGAGGTTGCTAGTGGCAGGGTTCTACGTGAAAATGCTATATAAACTGCTTGCTTTTTACAAGTCGTTGCAGTTCTCCTGTCCAGCCCACCGCCACCGGGCCGTGCCATTCTTCTGTCCAGCCTGCTGCCACTGGACCATCCCTTTGTGTGAGCTACACTCAATAAACCCCATGTCTCGTTTGCTGACTCTGGGTCTCTTCTTTGGCCTCTTGAACCTGATGCCATCCTATTGGAGTTGATAGGAGTCTGGCACAGCAGACCTAACATCCATTCCCATTCCCTTTTCCCTTGGCTGTTTCCAGTGTAGAGACCAGAAAACCTAAATATTCATTTACAGCATCTCTTGTGGCTGAGGGTGGCCAAAACACATGGCTCTACCCAATGAGATATATGTGAAAGTCTGCTAGGAGGATTCTATGGCAGCTTTTGCTTTTTATTTTAATAATGAAATGGACAGATACAGTTGGATCCAGCCCTCTGGTCTTCTTCCTGTCTTAAACAAGAACATGAGGCTTTGAACTGTAACAACCATTTTGTTAAGTACCATGAGGCAAGGAGCCACTGTGCTAAGAACGGCAGCATGCAAGTATAGGAAGAGCCTGGGACTTGATGACATCTTTGAGCTGCTGCTTCAGCCCTGGACTGCGAGCCTCCAGGACTATTGTTATGGAAGAAGAATGAACCCCTGTTGTTGAACCATCATGAGCCAGATTTTCTGCTACTCGTAGCCAAATATACCCTAAATTCTCAGTGAAAAAGCAGTGGAGACAGGATAAATTAATCAAATGGCCAGACCTCATTGCAAAAGGCACTGGGAAATAAAGCTTTTATTTTAGTTGGTCATGCACCCAACTAAAAATTAGAAGGTCTCTTACTAATATAAAAGGACAACTAGCAATGTAATCCGTAGGAAGATGCAAGCTGCACAGAAATACAAAGTCAACTTTCCTGTCTTCTCTGGCTCTCTAGTGTCCCACAATTGCAAATCAATTCAGAATGATTAAACTAGAGCCTTAGAGATGATGTAGGGTGGAGGGGAGTGTGAGGCTTAACATTTTTAAAAGCTCCTCAGATGATTCTGAAAGAGCAGCCAGAACTGAGAACTTCTGCTTTTAATAAATATACCTATTTTGGCATACACATGTGCTCAATCCTTCTCTCTAAACTTTATGTAATGTTGAGCTTAGTTATCTGCATCTGAACAGAGATGGGGACACCAGAACATTAGGAATGTACAGATACCTATTTCTCCTGTAGACTCACTGTATTGCTATGAATCTGGGATGCAAACTGCAGGCTGTGCTTTCTAAAGCATCAAGATAGTCTATTGAGTGACATATTGTCATTCTGCTACATTTTTCTGTCAACAGCTGCAAGTGTCACCAAAATTTTCATCTACATGGCAAAGAGAAAATAATCCCACTGCTCTCTTTTTCTGTCTGCAAATTTTTCTATAGAATCCCTTTTTAAGTTGAGCCTTTTTCTCACCCCAGAGTGAAAACATTTCTGGCCATGCTTTCAGTAAAGTTCTTTTCTTGTGTCTCAATTCAGCCTTACATTTGCAGTGATCATACATTTCTGGCAACAGCTCGGGTATGCAAAAATGTAAAAATCTCTATTTTTCATGACTAAGTTCTATCATATCTTGAGCCCCCATTGTACTTGATGCAGTAACTGGAAGCAAGTCAATTCCCGGTAAACTCTGCTCAGTCAGGGTTTTTCTCCCTCCCCACTTGCCCTGGGAGGTGGGGAGAGACTGATAGAACATCTGGACATGGAGGGGGCTCATCTGGTCCTGGGCTGTCATCTGTCCATGCTGGCATCCTCTGTCGTGTCCTTGTTCCCAGGAGTCACCAATAGTCAGCATCTATCCCTGCTGGCATCTACGAAGGCAACTGAGTTCCCATCTGGCCTTTGATGCAAGGACAGGGCTGACATCTGCTCTTGGGCCACCCCTTCCCAATACGAAGCATCTCCTAATCTGCCAGACCTCTCTGTGATACTTCTGTGCCATCTTGAACAAGGGGGGATGCGCTCCTGGCCACTCTAGGTTATAGGAGACTCACAGAATTCTCTTATGCCCTTTCCACCCTCATCTGCCACGCTAAGATGCTTCTTCTCGACTCTCACACTAGAGCAAAGAGACTCTCAGACATTCAGCACTTTTCTGGGACCCTTTAGGAGAAAAGGCAGACCCTGTGTTCCCTGAGTTTTCTCTTGCCCCGGTCCCCCATCCCCATCAGGCCAGAAAAGAGCCAGCTCGGGCCTCCCCTTAGAGACTCATAGCAGCGTCTCCCCTCTTCTCCATCATTCCCAGCCACAGCATCTTTATCTAGTCAGGGAAGCAGGAAAAACGCAGTTTCTATGACTGGGAACGGAGTAGGGGCAAAAATATGAATCCTTTAATGTACAGTAATTAAAGTAATGAGTATATCAAATCTATTTATCATTCATACTTCAAAAATATCCTACCACAGCCATAAAGAAGAATAAGATCATGTCTGTTGCAGCAGCATGGATGCAGCTGGAGGCCATAATCCTACTCAATTAACACAGAAACAGAAAACCAAATACCTCATGTTCTCACTTATAAATGGGAGCTAAACGTTGGGTACTCATGGACATAAATATGGCAACGATAGACACTGTGGACTAACAGAGGGCGAAAGGGGATGTGGGCTGAAAAACTAACTGCTGAGTACTCTGCCCACTTCCTGGGTGATGGGTTCAATCACACCCCAAATCTCAGCATCACACAACATACCCTTGTATGCACATGTACCTCCGAATCTAAAATAAAAGTTGAAAATATTTTTTAAAAATTCTACTGCACCTCCTTGTCAACCTGGAAAATACATCTCCAAATTGCTCATTATTATCAGGGCTAGAAAAATTGCATGAAAAACTGGGCACAATAAAACAGACCTTTTCTTCTAATAGTAGGAATGTCAGTGCTAATTTTTTATATCACCTTTTCTACATTTTTCAAATTTCCACTGTGAAGTTTTTTGTTGTTTCTATAATAAAAACTACTGCCGAATGCCCACAAATCTCTGCTGAAAAAGAAAAGACATAAGAGAAAAGATTGATGAATCTGACCATATAATAATATAAAATCTAAATAAATTTAAAAATATCATAAACAAAATAAAAAGACAAATGACAAAGAAAAAATCTTTCACATCTTTCACACAGGTGACAGAAGAAGTACTTATGAAAAAGATCGAAACAATTGAAGTATAGACAAACTATATAAATAGCCTATTAACAAAAAAAGCAAATTGCCAAAGATATAAGAATCTTACTCAAAATTACAGAAATGCACATTAAAACAAAGCTGAGATACCATTTTCATGTATATTTGTGAAATGAAAATTTTATACAACTTAGTATTTAGTGAGGGTACAGAAAAGGCAGATCCTGTGTTCCCTGAGTTTTCTCTTGCCCCAATCCCCCATCCCCATCAGGCCAGAAAGAGGCTGGCTCAGGGCCGCCCCTTAGAGACCCATAGCAGCGTCTCCCCTCTTCCCCATCATTCCCAGCCACAGCATCTTTATCTAATCAGGGAAGCAGGAAAAATGCTGTTTCTATGGCTGGGAACACAGTAGGGGCAAAAATATGAATCCTTTAACATACAGTAATTAAATTAATGAATATATCAAATCTATCATTCATACTTCAAAAATATCCTACCACAGCCATAAAGAAGAATAAGATCATGTCCTTTGCAGCAGCATGGATGCAGCTGGAGGCCATAATCCTACTGAATTAACACAGAAACAGAAAACCAAATACCACATGTTCTCACTTATAAGTGGGAGCTAAACGTTGGGTACTCATGGACATAAAGATGGCAACGATAGACACTGTGGACTAACAGAGGGGGAAAGGGGATGTATGTACATGCAGGGAAAAGGTATTATAATGCTGGTGAGTATATAATTTAGTAACTTTTTTGGATAAATTTGGTAAATCGGCCAAAACTAAAAAAGTGTAATTCTAGGAGCCCCTTGCAAAAGTGAACCAACTGAACAAGGATGTGAGCCAGGTTAATCATGGCAGTAGTGTCTACAACAACAACAGCAAAAAGTGGAGACAACTTAAATGACCATCAAAAGGAGATAGGTTACATAAGTTATAAATTATAGTAAATTAATATAATTAAATATCATGTAACAATTTAAAACAAACATGAAGTGATGTGTTATATTCTAACATGGAAAATTCTCCAAGACATATTATTAACTGAGAAAATCATGTGTAGGGCAGTGTGACAAGTATAACGGTCCTTTCCATGTAAATAAACAACTATATTATACAGATATTGGTACTCATTAATTCACAGAAAATATTTCCCGGGAGTAAGCAGAAAATTGTTCATTTCTCTATAGTTCTGATTTTCTAACCAAGTCCATGTTTACTTTTTATTATTTTTAATATCAGCCACAATTATCTGCCTATGGAATTACAGAAAATTCTTTTTTCATGTAGAATTAATTTTAAAATCAGTATTAACAAAAAATAAATAAGATATGTAAAATACACACTGGATTCTGAAGACTTAATACAAAAAAGGAATGTAAATGATCTTAATTCTGTATATTGATTGCATGTTGAAATTATAATATTTGGATATATAAGGTATATGAAATTAATTTCTTCTGTTTCTTTTTACTTTTTTTTTTTTTTCGAGATGGAGTCTCGCTGTGTCACCCAGGCTGGAGTGTAATGGCCCGATCTCAGCTCACTGCAACCTCCACCTCCCGGGTTCAAGCGATTCTCCCACCTCAGGCTCCTGAGTAGCTGGAACTACAGGTGCGCGCCACCACACCCGGCTAATTTTTTATATTTTTAGTAGAGATGAGGTTTCACCATATTGGCCAGGCTGGTCTCGAACTGCTGACCTCAAGTGATCCACCCACCTCGGCCTCCCAAACTGTTGGGATTACAGGCATGAGCCACCGCACCCGGCCTCTTTTTACTTTTTTAAAGGTAAGATATGACTGTTAAAATTTGCTGTTAAAAATCACAATTCTGAAAATTTTAAAATTACAAATGCAGTTAGCATCATATTCGTCACATTACTATTAGCACTATTGTGGATTTGCTCCACATGCTCAATGCAAAATGTCATTTGCAGGTTCAGGTCCAGTCATGGACCCCAAGTGAAGCACCCTCCTCCAGGTACGGATGAAGCAAAACCAACAGAGAGCCACGTATTTGGATTGGGCTATATTGAGTCACCATAAAAATGTATTTCCTGAGCTTTATTTAGGGTGATGTTAATCTTGGTTCAGGATCACTGTTATGAACATCCCTATGAATGGCTGGAAAGCAGTGGCTCACACCTGTAATCCCAACACTCTGAGAGGCCAAGGACGGAGCCCATGAGTTTGAAACCAGCCTGAGAAACATAGGGAGACGCTATCTCTAAAAAAAAAAAAATTAAAATAACACACAAAAAAACAGGTATAGTGGTATGCACCTGTGGTTCCAGATACTTGGGAGGCTGAGGTGGGAGGATTGCTGGGGCCTAGGAGGTTGAGGCCGTGCTGAGCAGTGATCATACCACTTCACTCCAGCCTTAGTGACAGAGGGAGACCCTGACTCAAAAAACAAACAAAAAGCATCCCTATGAATCTTCTGTTTTAGCTGAAAATGGATATTTTTTATTACTTTTATCACAGACTCTTCATAGAGAACCTTTATAAAGAAAGTAGCATAGACAGAATTGTGCTTCTACTGATTAATTTGTCACTGGAATATCCAGCATTTACTGAGCCCTTGCTACACATTGTACACAGCTTTAAGTTCTTTACATTGATAACCTTCCTTAATCCTCAAAACTTAGTGAGGTAGGTACCATGATTATTCCCATTTTACAGGTGGGGAAATGGAGAGTAATTGCTTACAGGACTGAGTCCATAAATGGTGGAACAGACCCTGAAGCCTAGGTTCTAAATCTCTACAGTACCTTATAGATCCTGTGAGTTATAGACCCCACCAGGTTTCCTTTTGGAAATGGCTGCTGGGAAGCCTGACTCAGTGAAAAGTATCTAACTGTGGTATAGTCTTACAATATTCTCATTCCTGGCTATACTGTATATCCCTACATTTGTGTTCCTTATTCTTCTTTTCAATATCCTAATTTAATCTCCTTTCCATATTTATTTATCCAGGTGAGCTGCCACACAGCCTTTGCAGAAGATGGCATTGTATGCACCTCCTCCGATCCTCATGGCCTTGCCAGCCTCTCGGATGTTGGCAGCTTCCTCTGCCTATGTCACTACTGTGATGATGGCTCTGTGCAGGTCCATGCAGACCGCAGCCTAACATCCACACTTCATGTCGTTAACTCCTCTCACTGTTTTTGCATTCAGAGGAAGTGGCAAAGGGACCCCATGATGCAACCAGGAAATGTGGGACAGTTATCCTTTAACCAATGGGCAAGAGGGATGGCAGGAAGACACCAGGTAAGTATTCTCTCTGTTTCTATGTTCAGTAGAACGTTCCAAGGCACAGGTTTTCTGAACAGACTCCCTGGAGATCAGCCATGTGGCCAAGCTATTCACTGTGTCTCTTCAAATCTTGTAAAGAAGTAGCCCACTTGGTATTTGCTTCTTACCCTTCCCTGTTTTAATTCTCCTTTCCTCACTTTCACTGCCCTGGGATTACACCTCCCAATAAAGCATTTCCTCTCAACCTTGCCGTAGACACTTGGGTTCTAGAAAACCAAATTAAGGCTGTATGGTACAAATTAATTAATCTTAAAAATAAACTGGCCAGGTTGTAACTATTATACTATTGTAGTGGGGTGGCTGTGGCAGTGCTATGACAGCGATACCAGAATTTTTAATTGTAGTTACCAACCTAGTACAATTTTAAAACTTGTGTCATTTTTGTCATTACCACAATCACCTTTCCCCCTGGATAATATAATGGGTTACTAAGAGAATGTAAAACCACAGAAGGATATCTTCCTCTGAGCAAATCCTCAGTAAATATTTGGTAGATGAATAGATAGATAGATAGATAATCTGGATAAGGGATACTGAATGGATTGATAAATTTTGTGGGTTTTTAATGAAGAAGAGTAAACTTCCTCTGTCTCTTCCATCTGGATCCCTGCTTGTTCAGACCACAATCTTAGTAACCAGCAAAGACAAAGCTCAGTGAAGGAGATAGATTGCCATGAAACTAATGTTCCATATTCTCATCTTCTCTAGTCTCCAACCTTTTGGCTCTGCACCATTACTCCTAATCCCTGCCTCAGGCTTTCATTGCTTTGTCACCCAATCATAACTGCTTAGCTAGCTTTAACTCTTGGCCCTTTATATCTATTATATGCCTGGCTCTCTGGCTTGGTCCCTTCACTGTTGCGGATATAGATTGTTTTTTACTTTCTATTAACCCCAGACCACTAGGACCCAAGCCTCCCCACCAGAGGGAAATCTGTTAGTACATGAGTTCTCCAGTTCTGCCCTTGAAACTCATGTGCAGTATTTTCCCAGGTGCATCGCCCAGCACCACAGTCCCTGGAGGAATGGGGCATTGCTGTGAATGGTGGATCAATTTCTTTTTTGCCCAACATCTGCCACTGCCCAATCAGAAGCAGCGTATTTGCTCTACTTTTGAAGTAGTACAAAGAGAGAGAAAGAATGTTGGTGGCAGATTGTCCTCAGAAGAATCTGGGAGTAGAGCAAGAAAAGTCTATTTTTTGTGCACATATTTCTTTTTATTGTAGTATGAAAATATCTTTCTACATAGATTTTTCTTATTTATTTCCCCTCTTGCATCAGTTAGGGAATAAGTTCAGCTGCAAATAGTAAAACCCCAAAGAACAGTGACTTACATAATTCACCTTAGAGGGAGTTCACTTCCCCACATTTCCTGGTTGCATCATGGGGTTCCTTTGGCACTTCATCTGAATTCAGAAATGGTGGAGGGAGGTGGAGACATGAGGTGTGTACCTCAGGCTGCAGTCTGCATGGACCTACACAGAACCATCATCACAGCAGTGACAGAGGCAGAGCAATTTTATTTTTCTCAATGAGTAATGAGAAATCTGGAGGGAGACAGTTGGCAGAAGTGAATTCATTGTTCAAGGATGTCAAGGCCAAAGTGTTTATGATTCTCATGGTCTGTCCTTCATCGTCACTGCATATTCTATCTTTACTATAGTGTCTACATTGCAGGCAGGAAAAAAACAGAAAGGGCAAAGTACAAAAGGGCACATGTCAGCTCAGTCCTTAGAGCTCCCCCCAGTGTCTTCTGATTGCATCCTGCTGGGTAGTGTAAGTCACAGGGCCGTCCCTATCTTCAAAGGAAGGGTATGTAGTTATGCATCTATGCACATGCCTAACCCCCTCCCCACCCCATCAGAAAATTAGAGTTGTACAAAAAAAAAAAAAAAAAAGGAAGTAGAGACTGATATTGATTGGACAGGCAAGGAGCAGTGTCAGTTTCTGAAACTGGGCAAGGAAACAAAGGATGCTAAGAGCATCCAAGAAAATCTGAAAGTATGGCTATGAGGAAATGTGTTTATTGCATAAACATTTATTTTTATTGTCAGGAACAGATGTCTTCCCATATAGCTTTCTTTACTGATTTCTGCTAACATAGTGATATAAAATTAGTTGATCCCAGCCAGGCATGGTGGCTCAGCACTGTAATCCCAGCAGTTTGCGGGGCCAAGGCAAGTGGATCACGAGGTCAGGAGTTTCAGACCAGCCTGACCAACATGGTAAAACCCCGTCTCTACTAAAAATACAAAAATTAGCCAGGCGTGGTGGCACGCGCCTGTAATCCCAGCTACTCAGGAGGCTGAGGCAGGAGAATCGCTTGAACCTCGGAGGTGGAGGTTGCAGTGAGCCGAGATCACGCCACTTCACTCCAGCCTGGGTGACAGAGCAAGACTCGGTCTCAAAAAAAAAAAAAAAAAAAAAAAAACCAGTTAGTTGATCCCCTGTAGCATGACCCACTGTGTGGTAACACCCATCTGGGCCCACCTGCATTGCCGCCATAGGACAAGGAGTCCTGATACATACAGGCTGATACTCATGATGTTTGCTGTGCTATGAGTAAAAATGTTTTTCTTCCCTGACCCAGGAATCTTGTGTCTTTGGCCAGCATCTGTGGCAGGCTAACTCGTCAACTTGCAAGTTGGGTAAAAATCTCAGACCCTTCACAATTCTCAACAGTTTTCCTAGATAGAATAGTTAAAGAAGGCTTTTGTTAGAAGATGAGATTCCATGTGAGACTTACAGGGTAAAAAGGAGCTGGCCATGGGAAGAGACTGGAAAAATAAAAGAAGAAATGGGATCTGCAGAGGCCCTGAGACCTTTGAAAAACTAAAAGACCAGTGTAGCTGGAGTGAGGTGAAAAAGCAGGAACAAGGCAAAGTAAATCTTGAGGGATGAACTGGCGTACAGTTATGCAGGGTTTTAGTGACAATGCAAAGAGTTTGGGATTTTATTCTCAAAGCAATGGTAAGCCACTGAAACTAATGACATGATCCCATTTCTGTTTTATAAAGATCACATTGACCATTAAGCTAGGTGTATCTTAAATGTGAAAAGAGAAGAATAGGAAAACTAATTAGGACATTCCCATAGTAATCTACTTAAGAAAGTTGGCTGGGCACCGTGGCTTATGCCTGTAGTCCCAGCACTTGGAGAGTCCAAGGTGGGTGGATCACTTGAGGTCAGGAGTCCAAGACTAGCCTGGCCAACATGGTAAAACCCCATCTCTACTAGAAGTACAAAAAAATTAGCTGGGCATGGTGGTGCATGCCTGTAGTCCCAGTTACTCTGGAGGCTGAGACACAAGAATCACTTGAACCCAGAAGGTGGAGGTTGCAGCTAGCTGAAATTGCACCACTGCACTCCAGCCTGGGCTGCAGAGTAAGATTCCATCTCAAAAAAGAAAGTGACTGTTTTCCTCATATAAAAGATCTCCCATAAATCAGTAAGAAAAAGACCAAACACCTAATGATAAAATGGACAAAGTATATAAGGGATTGATTACAGAAAAGGCTGTTAAAATGGAAAAATATGCTTAATCTCACAATAAAAGAAAAATAAAATCATACTGGGATAATAATTTTTTGCCTATCAGATTGCCAATGATTGATAAGTTTTATATATATTTCAGTGGCAACACTCTGGGAAATAGGCACCGCCCTCAGGTATTCCCAGGAGTAGTATAAGTCAATGCAACGCTGTGGAGGGTAATTGGCACTACAATCAAGATTAACATATTCATACAGTATGACTTAGCAATGCTACTTCCAATTGTTCTTAACGTTGACTGAAAAACACAAGATCTATAAATTTGGAAACGAGAGTTCTATTTCTTATAGAAGTTACAGCCTGCAGGCTGAGAAGTATAGCTTCCAGTAGGAACCAAAAGCAGGCACTTCAAAGGAGGAAAGGTGAGACAGGAATTTATGCTGAATAGGTTGGCTAACTATACATATTCAACAAATTATAGGAGAAGCTATGAATATTCACGAAGGGGTGCTACACACATGCGTAGTAAGCAAATATGCATGTTATATATGTTTTATGTTCACTTTGGAGTGGAGACTTTTCTTTTAATTGCTCTGTCACCTAGGCTGGAGTACAGTGGCGTGAGCACAGCTCGTTGCAGCCTCAACCTCCCAAGCTCAAGTGATCCTCCCACCTTAGCCTCCTGAGTAGCTGGGACCACAGGTGTGCACCAGCATACCTGGCTACTTCTTTTTTTAAATTTTTTGAAAAGACAGTCTTGCCGTGTTGCCCAGGCTGGTCTTGAACTCCTGGGCTCAAGTGACCCTCCCTCCTCAGCCTCCCAAATTGCCGGGATTATAGGTATGACCCACCACAATAGCTAAACTCAACATTTAAAAGTAATAAAATTAGGCCATATGTCAAAAGATAAAACAGAGGACACAGAGGTGCTCCATATGCAGCTTCCATGGACCAGCCAGAACCAATCTATGTTCAGTGATCTTTTATCAGGACGAAATGCTGGTCAGTTGTTATGCCAAAACTGCAAAAAAGGAATGGGAGTCCAGTTCCAGTGTCAGTTAGGTGGTTGAAATCAGTGGTGGCTGCTTTACAAGCTCTCCGGCCCCCTTCAGGTTGCCCTAAGGACACTCCTTCAGGTAACTGACATTGGTGTGGAAAGCCAGGCCACTGGAATACAAACTGTCCCGAAGAGATAAATGGGGAAAAGCCCCACACAGCTTATCCCCTCTACCACAAGCTCTACAGCTGGTAATGGGAATTCCCTGAGGGTCAAAGGGGCCCCAGGACAGAATCTCAACCTATCCATCCTGATGGCCTTGAGCTGAAGGGCCTCTCTGTTCTGGCTGGCTTCCAAATCAGACATCATCATCAATAAGACAAAGCCAAGGGCAACTCTGGAGGCTGAAAGTAAAATAAGTTTCCCTTTTGGGTTAAAGAGCTGCCCACTCTGTGCTAATCTCCTTCTCTGAGCAACTCTCCTCCAAATCCTGCTTTCATAATGAGGCAAATGACACCTCCTCCCTCTAAAAGAAAGGATTCACACCGCTTTTGGGCAAAAATATACTTTCCAAGATGGGTGTCTGCTTAATATTTACCCAACCTCTGAATTCATCTTTCTCTCTAGTAGCTTTCTTTCTCCTGGGAAGACTACCTAAATCTTTAACCAGTAACTTAGACCTTGAAGGTTCTAACTAAGGGGCTTAGAAATAGCCCACACTTATTCAAACAAGCTCTAAAAAAAATCTAACTAAGCAATCTCCTGAGTGGGGAATAACATCCACAGTATGTAGATAACCTCCTTATCTGCTCCTCCTTCACCGGACTCGTGAAGCAACATGCAGTACAAACCATAACTTCCTAACAAAGGAAACTGATTTTTGTCTAATTCAAAGGTTATAAAGCTAAAGAGGTATGTTTGGTAAGGAGCATTATAGAGAAAAGAGATTTTGTATTAAAAGAATCATGTATGGGAAATTCTTGTCCTAAAGTAAAATAACTGGTTGTTTAAAAACAGGGATGTTTAGGACAAGTCAGAAGTTCCAAGCATATTGTAGTTGGTCTGTGTAAGTCATGAGAAAATAAAAGGGAATTTATGAGAGAAACATTCTCAAGTTGTTTTTGAGTTTTTGTCTGCAATTTAAACAACCCTGCTTATTCCTGCAAACCAACCAGTGATCTATGACTCACAAGAAACAAGAGGGATGGGTAATGTAAAAATCTGTATCAGTATTCTAATTCCGGGCACATATTGGAGTCAGCTAGCAACCACATGCACCCAAGTCTTAGCAGGCATAACTACAGCCACCAGCTACCTGGGCTGTCAGCAGCCTTAGGGTATTTTGGAGCTGTCTTCACCCCTTATTTTATTTTGACATTTATCTAAATATAATAACCTTATTTGTCCTCTCTTGTCTTAAGGCCATCAAGCTCCAGATGATCCTCAGTAAGGGATACCATCCTGTCAATGTTCAAGGGTCACCCTTCTACAAGGGACCTCTAGATTGCCCATCAGTGAAAAATTACAGAGGCAGAATCCTGCCCCTGTCTCTCTTAGACCTGGCTGGATACTGCTTCCACAAACCCACAGAGCCAACCCTGCCCTGACAGCCAGCAAGAGGCCAAAACCCACAGACCCACAACCACCACTCCTCTATCAGGAAGAAGCAGTTACAGAAGACTGACCTTCATCCATTTTCTCCAAAGATTTGGGGTCTTGAATTCGTGAGGGGGGAAATGTTACAGTCAGGCATGAGCAGGGCAGGAGAGGGCTTCCCCCAACACAGACACACCGGGAGTGTTGGGCAACCATCAGGTGATGGTCAGGCGATTGTTAACTATCTCTCTGAAGTGATAATTGGTCACAGCTGCACCAGGAAAAGGCAGTCTCCTACTAGATAGAAAACACCTGAACTGATCAGCTACTTCCTGATAAGATCTCAGGAGTTGGGAGAAGACCCCAGAAGTATGCCAACATGTAAACCCCCAAATCAAAAGATCAAACCACACACTTGTCTTTCAAGTCACCTGCTTGGCCCTCTTCCAAGTGTACTTTCCTTCTATTCATTCCTGCTCTAAAGCTTTTTTTTATTTTATTTTTATTTTTGAGATGGAGTCTCACTCTGTCACCCAGGCTGAAGTGCAGTGGCACCATCTCAGCTCACTGCAAGCTCTACCTCCCAGGTTCATACCATTCTCCTGCCTCAGCCTCCCAAGTAGCTGGGACTACAGGGACCCGCCACCATGCTCGGCTACTTTTTTGTATTTTTTTTACTAGAGATGGGGTTTCACCGTGTTAGCCAGGATGGTCTCAATCTCCTGACCTCGTGATCCGCCCGCCTCGGCCTCCCAAAGTGCTGGGATTAGAGGTGTGAGCCACCACGCCTGGCCACTAAAGCTTTTTAATAAACTTTCACTCCTGCTCTGAAACTTGACTCAGTCTTTCCTTCTGCCTTATGCCCCTCAGTTGAATTCTTTCTTCTAAGGAGGCAAGAACTGAGGTTGCTGCTGACCCATATGGATTCACCGCTGGTAATAATACTGGCAGCCTGGGGACCCTGGAATTGCTACTGGTATCTGAGTGGGACAGTCCTGTGAGACTGAACCCTTAACCTGTGGAGTCTGCACTAACTGTAGATGTTAGTGTCAAAACGGAATTGAATTATTGAACATCCAGTTAGTGTAGAAATTGGAGAATTTGGGTGAAAAAATAGCATGTATTTGGTGCCAGGAAAAAATCACACAACAGAGAAGAGCATTGGTTGCCTTGGAAGAAAAAAAAATGACTGGATTGAAAACAGCTGGCTTTTGCTATATGCTATTTTGCAGCTTTAAAAATCTTAACCATGAATGTGTATCAATTCAAAAATATAAATAAATAAAATATTAAATGAGTGAGATACATGCTAGTGGCCTTTTCAGGATTTGACAGGGGAGCTGGAAAGAAGTCTATGGATTCAAGACATATTTAAGGTAGACTCAATAGAATTTCCTGATGGAACAGATAGGGTGGATAAGGAAAGAGGAGCAGTCAAGGATGACTCCCAAGTTTCCAGTCTGTAAAATAGGCAAGTGGAGATAACATCAACTGAGATGGGTAAGACTAGGAGGACAGAGGGGAGTGTCTTAGATTCAATTCCCTACAAGTGAAGCCTTTGGGTATGTGTAGTTTTTTGAGGGAGTGCTCTACAGGAAAAGCATGAAGTGGACGAGGGAAACAGGATAGGGAAGGAGAAGAAAAAAACAAGAGAAGGCTAATGCTCCACATAAACCTCCCATAGAGTTGTCTGTGCCCTATTAAGACAAGAAGGCCAGTATCAATCTATCATTGGCTGTAAAAATAACTTCCAGCACAAGGTGGGTCATTTCAGCTGAAGGTGATTCTCCAGAGCAGAGGGCAGCTGTGCACCATTAGCAGCCAATATTCACAGCCACTGAGGAAGGGGTGCTCCAGCCCAGTAATGGGGATTGGGCAGGCCAGGAAGATAGCATCCACAACAGGAAGCAAAAACAAGAGTTTCATCTTGTGCTTGGAAAGCCTGAGATATCTTGGAGATATCAAGAGTGAAGAGGGAAGTCAGAAAGTCTGGAGCTCAGAGAGTAGGTCTGTAACAGACATACAAATATGGTAGTGTTCAACAGATAGATGGTGTTTTAAAAATTATGTGGGTATCTCTGTACTGATGCAGAAAGAGCTTTAAAATATACAGGAGAGTGAAAAAAAGCAAGATGCAGAATGGTGTTTGTAATACTGTTTTTTGTGCAAGAAAGGGAAAGAATAGGAATTAACACATGAGCTCACACATATAAACATACATAGCCACACATGTTCATTTACAAAAGGAAGCACTGGAAGAGTAAACTGATAAAAGTGCTTACCTGAGGGGTAAACACGTAGGGGTGGATGAGAATAGGTGTAAACCTGAGACTCCTCAAAGTATTTTTATGTGTATTCAACTTTTTAAATGATTGCCTATTGCAAATATAATTTTTAAGGGAAAGAAAGCCATGTGGATAGTTGAGATCAATGAGAAAAGAAAGAAAAAAACAAGGTTCAGATCCAAGTCCCAAGGATCAACATTTAGAATTTTGCTAACGGAGGAAGGACCAACAAAAAGATCAAGAAGAAACAGGTCAGGTACCAGGTGAAAGGAGAAAAGCAGCATCCTGGTGTTACAGCTCCAGCCATGGCTGCAGTGGCCACTATTGGTAACTTGATATTGGCCACGATGGAAGGATTTACACTATGGAAAGTGGAAAATGCCACCATTCAGGGCTCTTCCCCCACCCCAAGCCAGTTTACCTGCACATCACTGCAGAGAAGTGAGGAGAGACAAAGTTCTGAGAAGGCAGAAGAGTGTTTGCAATGTGAAATGTGACTGAGAGGGCAATGGGACAACGACAGAAAGATGTCTGTCATTTGTGGAGTTATCAATGTGGAGGCCATTGGTGATTTAGCAGCAGTTTTGGTGGAGAGGTGGGAATGGAAGCCTGCCTAGAGAGAAGAGCAACAAGAGGTGAAGAAGTAAAGATGCTAAGTGTAGAGTACTCTTCCAAGCTTTGCTATGAAGGGGAGAAATAAAAGCAGAAAGTTGCTGATTTGGGATCAAGGGAGGGATATGTATGTGTTTTAAGAAGACTACTATTAGAAGCAATATGTATACTGATAGAGAAGAGAGAGGACATTGAAAAGAGATCTCCACGGCCCACATGAAAGGACTCACATTTGATGGAAGGGACACCCTGTCCATTAGAGGAAGAAGTTTATGAATCTCCAAGCAGTGTTTGTGATGGGAGGTGCTCAGATACACCAGGCCCTGCAACCTCCCTGCCTGTGAAATTTCATTACCAACACCGTGACATTGTTCTTAAGACAGGGTGCACACATACGCCTTTCTCTAAGACATGTAATCGGTAAGTAAATACATTTCTAAGAGCCCTCTACATCTCAAAGAAAGCTGGGATACGTACCTAAGAACCCAGCACTCCAGCTGCAGGGAGAAGGGAACCTGCTGAAATGTGTAAATATTCCAGGCAAATGAGTTCCAAAAAGAAGATAGAGGTAATTATATCTCAGGTTTTCACTGTCTGCCACTTCTAGAGTATACTTGACTTCAAAAAGTGTTAATGTTTAATTAATACATTCTTGCTTTTAGTAGCTCAGCTAAAAGTGTTGCTTCTAGTGAACAGGAAGTACATTAAATTGAAACATAAAAGAGACTTAAAGTGCTTGGAATGAAGAAAAAGACCTTAAGAAGGTGGAAATGATGATTACCTTCACTGTTTTGAAAAGGAAAGGACTGATCTTTCACTCAAGAGGGAGGAGTTCCAGCCATTGTACCATCGTCTTTTAACCTGACTTCCATCATCTTTTAACCTGATTTCGTAGCTATGAAGAGCAATACCTTGGACAAATCACACTTGAATGGGGTCCTTGCTCTGCTAACTGGGTAACCATAGAGTTGTGTAGTGAAAACCCTTGGAATAAAATGCCTAGCACTCTGCCTGTGACGAATAATAGGCAGCAATTATTATTATTATGCTATTCATCTCTGAGAATTCTGCTATTGCTAGGTTATTACCTAAATGTGTGTGCATGACACTAGACTCACATTCTTTCCCAACCTGCTATCACAGATGAATTATCCAGTGGCTAATAACTGTGACTTTTCCATGAAGGATGAGTTCCTGTTTGCAACTCTGCTGGATTTTAAGACATTTCTATTCCAATAAAGACCTCTGTCTGTGAACAGTGTGTCCACATTGATGTCTGTAGTAACTGCTGACCAATTGACAGATTAGTATGTTTCAGGTGGAGTTGGAGGCATATTAAGAGTTTCAAACTAGTGTTTGGGACTTAACCACTTTGTTCTCAAAGGCAAGTCATTATATTGTTGGGGAAGATTTCTCCCATTCTATTTGGAAATATACCTTAGGACAAGTTCTTTGGACGCAAAACCAGAGATGGAGATTCTTGTGCAGGCAATTGACTGAGACAATGAGACAGAAAAAAACCTGTAAGGGAGTGAAAAGCAGAAGGGGAATGGAAGTTAAGAAAAGATGTGGTTTAAGGAAAAGTTTAGCCTTAGCCTGATGTCATGGGGAACTCTGCAGCATGAATTGTACTAGTTTGTTCTACTGTGAGGCAAGGGAGCTAGGCTTTTATACCACCCCCTATCAGTTAGTGATTGGCCACAGGCCACCCTTCAGGGCAGAGGGGATCATAACCTCCCTGGCTTCTGTGGACGAAATGGTTCCCATGGACTATGGGCAGTTTCCCTAAGACAGGTGCAGCTGCCCACCATTACTAGCAGCAAACACCCATAGTGAATGGGGGTTGCAAGCTCCAGCCCAGAAATAGGGGATCCGGGTGGGGCGTTGTATTAGTCAGGGTTCTTCAGAAAAACAGAACCAGTAGGATATATAGAGAGATATATGAAGAGATTTATTATAGGAATTGGCTCATGTGGTTATGAAAGCCAAGAAGTGCCACGGCCTGCCATCTGCAAGCAGGAGAACCAGAAAAACCAGTGGTGAAATTCAGTCTGCATGTGAGAGTCTAAGTGGTTGATGGGGTTAGTCCTGGTCCCCATCTGATAGCTTAAGAACCAGGAGTGCTGAGGTACAAGAATAGGAGATGGATGTCTCAGCTCAAGCAGAGGGAGTGAATTTGCCCTTCCTCCACCTTTTTCTTCTATTCTGAACCACAATGAATTGGATGCCCACCCGCATGGGGGAGGGTCATCTGCTTTACTCAGTGATTAATCTGGATATTTGTCCCCACCCCCATCCCATGTTGAAATGTAATCCCCAGTGTTGGAGGTGGGGCCTGGTAGAAGGTGTTTGGATCATGGGGGCTGATATGGTGAGGCTTTGTGTCCCCACCCAAATTTCATCTTGAATTGTAATCCTCATAATCCCCATAATCCCCATGTGTCAAAAGAGAGACCAGGTAGAGGCAATTGGTCATAGCTCTTTGCCTTGATGAAGTAACCCAAACCTTCATTCCTGAAGAATTTAGGCCATTAGTAGTCCTGCCTGGATTGGGTTTGTTATAGTTTCCCATGGACCTTAATCACAGGGCATGGTAATACTGAGATACACTCTAAGGAATCTCCTGTATTCCAGACACACTCTACCTTACCTCCATTGTGGAGTAGTAGTGCAATTTCCCCTTGGTAGTCAGGATTAATCACCCCAGCTAACACTACAACTCACAACTCCCTTCTTTTCCTGTTGATTCAGAGGCATGAAGAGTCAAAGTCATCAAGTGGCAGTCTTAAGTTACACTTTAGTTGAATCGTTGCTAATGTCTCCTAGTGGAAGCAATTCTCCCTCAGGAACTAAGACTTCTATGCCAGCAGAGCATAAAGTCTTGGTAGCAGAAAGTAAAACTTTTGTTAGTGAGTCACTAATGAGTGTTAGGAGTAATAGTGAGAGGTACCACTCCCATTTACACCCCTTGATTCCTGGACCCATGAATCTTGGCTGTCTAAGAAACAGCACCACATATTGAATGTTGATTCAGAGCATATACAGCCTTCTGGAGAACCCTGCCCAGCCCTGCAAGGTATTGCCACCTGCCTGGCACTACGAGTCTTCAAAAAGGCCATCCACTGTTCCATCAAGCCAGCTCCTTCAGGATGGTGCGGAACAAGGTAAAACTAGTGAATTCCATGAGCATGAGCCCATTACTGCACTTCTTTGGTTGTGAAGTGAGTTCCTTGGTCAGAAGCAATGCTGCATGGAATATCATGATGGTGGATAAGGCATTCTGTAAATCCATGAATTGTAGTTTTGACAAAAGCATTGTGTTTTTCAGAGGAGACAAATCCAGAGTATCTACTCCAGCAAGGAAAAAACACTGCTCCTTCCAAGTGGTCCGATGTAATCAATCTGCCACCAGGTAGCTGGTTGATCATGGGGAATGATGCCATATCGGGGCCTCCGTGTTGCTCTCTGCTGCTGGCTAATTGGTCTCTCAGCAGTAGATGTAGCCAGGTCAGCCTTGGTGAGTAGAAGTCTGGGTTACTGAGCTCATGTATAACCTTCATCCCTGTCACCATAACTGCTTTGCTCATGAGCCCATCAGGCACTGACAGGGAGAGCTGGGGTAAGAGGCTGACTGGCAGTCACAGAATGGGTCAACCTATCCACTTAATTACTAAAATCACCCTTTGCTGAGGTCACCATTTGGTGAGCACTCACATGGGACACAAACATTTTTGTGGGTTTTTTGTTTTTGTTTTTTTGCCCACTCAGAGAGGTCTATCCACATACTTCTTGCACAAATTTCTTTGTCATCAATTTTCCTCCCAATTCTACTATGTCACATAGCTTTGGTCAATAGCCACTCTCAATATAATCTTGGGCATCATGCACAATTTCTGAACCTTCTAACATAGTCTTGGGAGCATCAAAACGAGATAAACAACAGCAAAAAGCAAATCATCACAAGGTCCCTGCATTTGTTTGTTTTCCCAAGGAAAGAAAGATAATTTTGAAACGTAATACTGGAATTATATTTACGTGAAATGGAAAATGACTATTCTTCGCAGAACCGGAAATCACTTTTTTGGCACCTGAATACACACGTATACAACATGTATCAATTCTGTTGCCTGCAGTCAAGCAAAAGTTCTCTGTTTTTAAAATAAGAGCATTACATTCTCTTCCATTATACTAATTTATGTAGGTTAATATCACCTTAAATACTATATAAAGTATAATTTCTATCTGATCGTTTCACTTCATTTATTTAAATATGTAACACTGTCTTTTTAACCCCATATGTTGGAAAAATTTTATACTGAACACATTGGTTTTTCAGTATAAAATAAAGTGCAAGTTTAGCACACTGCAACAAACCAGCAGAGCCGCAAGAAGAATACCTTGGGCTGGATTTGGTCCATGATGTGAGCATTCTTGGTGGCTTCTTCTCTACAGCAGGGTGTTTAGGAAGTCCTAGCAAATCTGGCTCTGTACCAAGTAATTCAGGGGCACATTTTTTTGCCTGTGAATCAAATGAAACACCCCTTGGCAGACCCACCCATGGAAGGCCCCAGGAACAGCTGGGTGAAATTAAATGGCATTTATTCCTGTATTGGTTATGGCCAGGAGCCAGGAGTTCTACGCCCAAGACACAGCCTGCAGTGCACATGAGCAGCGGTATTGATTGTGGCTGCAGCTCCACTTTCATTTTGCACAGGATGTGAAGCATTAATTTTTCTACTTAAAATATTACTGAAGGATATGGACGGACTGTTCATTTTTTGCTCTTGGCCCAATTTTTCTGATACCCAGATAATTCTCACATGTCTGTACAATAAAGGGGAGAATTGCACGATTTTGTTATAGAGTCAGATGACTTGTGCAACTAATCCAGTCAGAAATGTCCACAACGATCTGGTCTCATATTCACTAAGTAACTGTCTAGTAATTTCGTGTGACATTTTGAGCACTGGACTTTGGAGTCACAAAGACTCAATACTATAAAATATCATTTCCCTCAAATTAATCTGTTAGTTCATCTGGGAGATTAAATGTGCTGAAAAAGCTGAGAATCTTTCGGGGAAGGGGTGAAAGACTTCTGAGATGGCGACCCACCTTATCAGATGAAAAACTTGCTGTCAAGCTATAGTAACTTCAGCGGTGTGGTAGTAGGTGAGAAGAGCTATTCAGGCGGATGGGACCAAACAGAGAGCCCAGAACAAGACTCATATGCCTATGGAAATTTAGTATGTAATACATTTTGTGATTCAAATCTGTGAAGAAGGTATAGATTATTAGGGAAGTTGTGTTGAGACTTGGAAAAAAATTAAATTACAATGTTACCATTCAGGATATACTACCACTCTCCTCAATCCAGATGAATTAAAGATTTAAACACTTTAAAATCTATAATTGACGAGAAGAAAATATCAAATTTGTGTGTGTCTGTCATGTGGAAATAGAAAAAAGCCTTTCTAAACACAAGCCTAAGCCAGGTGCAGTGGCTCACACCTATAATTCCAGTGCTTTGGGAGGCCAAGGAGGGAGGAGCACTTGAAGCCAGGAGTTCAAGACCAGCCTAGGCAATATAGTGAGACCCCATCTATACAAAAAATTACAAAACAAATTAGCCAGGCATAGTAGTGCATGCCTGTAGTCCCAGCTACTTGGGAGGATGAGGCAGGAGGACCACTGGAGCCCAAGAATTCAAGGCTGCAGTGAGCCTAGGATCATGCCAATACACTCCAGCCTCGGCAGCAGAGGAAGACTCTGTCTCTAAAAAAATTTATTAAATAAAATAAATAAACACAACCCTAAACCCTGGAGTCATAACAGAAAAGATGACTTCATTTGATTCTACATAACTAAAATAAACAGTTTAGGGAAAAAGAAATACAAATTCCTATTTACATGTAAAAAAGATGTTCACTCTTATAATTAAGGAAATACAAACTAAGCATTAAAAAAAATTTGCCCATCAGGCAATTTTTTAAAGTTTCAGAATCAATATTAGTGAGAAAATGAGGAAAGGAGCACTTTCAGAGAAAAGAGTGTTTGTATGACTTTTATAAAAGCAAGTTGACAATATCAATAAAAATTTTAAATGCACATACTTTCCTGACAATTCCATATTGACATGGCAAAAATATGTCAAGAAATTTATTGCAGCATTGCATATATCAACAAAAACTATAATAGAAACAACTTAACCAGTCCACTATTGCTGGCTATTTTGATTGTCTCCATTAACTGTACAACCAGAAAAATAAGTAAATTATGATATATCCAGGTGATAGAATATTATTTAGTCACTAAAAAATCCTGATATATAAAATCACAAGACATATAAATAAATGGAAAAAAATTTATAATACAGAAAATTCTTTATATTTTTTTGGAGATGGAGTCTCGCTCTGTGGCCCAGGCTGGAGTGCAGTGGTGCGATCTCAGCTCACTGCAAGCTCCCCCTCCTGGGTTCACACCATTCTCCTGCCTCAGCCTGCCGAGTAGCTGGGACTACAGGCACCCGCCACCACGCCCACCTAATTTTTTGTATTTTTAGTACAGATGGGGTTTCACCGTGTTAGCCAGGATGGTCTCGATCTCCTGACCTCGTGATCCGCCCGCCTCAGCCTCCCAAAGTGCTGGGATTACAGGTGTGAGCCACCGTGCCCGGCAGAAAATTCTTATAGAAAATTCTTATAGATATGTAATAAATGAAAAATGATCCAATGTGTACTTTTTTTTCGTTTTTGAGACAGAGTCTCGCTCTGTCACCCAGGCTGGAGTGCAGTGGCACAATCTCGGCTCACTGCAACCTCTGCCTCCCAGGTTCAAGGGATTCTACTGCCTCAGCCTCCCAAGTAGCAGGGACTATAGGCATACACCACCATGCCTGGCTAATTTTTTGTCTTTTTAGTAAAGATGGGGTTTCACCATATTGGCCAGGCTGGTCTCAAATGCCTGACCTCAGGGGATCCACCCACCTCAGCCTCCCAAAGTGCTGGGATTACAGGCATGAGCCACTGTGCCCAGCCTATGTGTACATTTTTTCAAAATGATATATGTATATAATAGAAACATAGGCATATGCATATCACTTTTTTCTAAAGTTAACATTGTTCATAGTGATTACCTTTAGGGAGATGTTCTAGGGATGGCAGTGGGGGGCAGGAGGGGAGGAGCAATAGCAGGAATCAGCTGTGGAAAGGTTGATTTGTGCTAAATTGTGAATTGAATTGAATGCCAAGCTCAGGATTTGGAATGTGAAGGTAGGCAACAGTAAACCATTGTATAATTTTTTTTTTTTTTTTGAAACAGAGTCTCACTCTGTCGCCAGGCTGGAGTGCAGTGGTGCGATCTCAGCTCACTGCAACCTTTGACTCTCTGGTTCAAGCAATTGTCCTGCCTCAGTCTCCCAAGTAGCTGGGATTACAGGCATGCGCCACCTCGCCCAGCTAATTTTTGTATTTTTTAGTAGAGATGGGGTTTCACAATGTTGGCCAGGATGGTCTGGATCTCCTGACCTCCTGATCCGCCCACCTCGGCCTCCCAAAGTGCTGGGATTACAGACATAAGCCACCACGCCCAGCCTATTTTTACTAAATACATTAAAAAACCAAAAGACAAATAAATGATATATAGTGAAAATGATATGCAATGATGGTAATAGAAGGTGTGACATTTGGGAAGAGATTAGGTCAGAGGAGCAGAGCCCTCATGAATGAGATTCATGCCCTCATACAAGAAGCCATGAGAGACCCCACACTCCTTCCACCATATGAGGTTGGAAGGAGGAGAGAGCTGCCTATGAGGAAGCAGGCCCTCACCAGACACCGACATCTGCTGGCAACTTGATCGTGGACTTCCCAGCCTCCAGAACAGTGAGAAATAAATTTCTGATGTTTACAAGCCACCAAGTTAATGGTATTTCTTACAGCAGTCAGAACAGAATGAGATGTCATTCCTTTGTGTGGCTGCATATTATTCAATTTTAAGGACCACCATAATTTATTTAACTAGTCCACTATTGCTGGCTATTTGGATTATTTCCATTATTTTTCTACAAAAAAAAATATACTCCTACATACCTACAGGGGTAATATTTAATGTTTTCCAATTTAAGTATACCATGGTCATCAACCTTTTAGGGGAGTACCAGGCATGAACCAACCAGTTGGGTGTTGTCTTAGTCCATTTGCACTGCTGTAAAGGAATACCTGAGGCTGGGTAATTTGTAAAGAAATTTACAAATTTCTTTACGATTTACAAAAATCGTTCTGCAGGCTGTACAAGAAGTGTGGCACCAATATCTGCTTCTGGTGAGGGCCTCAGGAAACTTCCACTCATGACAGAAGGGGAGAGGAGCTGGAATCACTTGGCAAAGAGGAGGAAAGAGAGAGGGGAGGGAGGTGCCAGACTCTTAACTGGCATAGCTCATGGGAACTAAGAGTGAGAATTCACTCAATCCCATGAGAATAGCACCAAATCATTCATGAGGGATCTGCCCTCCTGACTCAAACACTTCCCACTGGACCCTGCCTCCAACATTGAGGATCACATTTTAATATGTGATTTGGAGGGGACAAATATCCAAACTATATCAGGTCTTATGTGCTTCAGTTAAATACTAGTCCTGAAAAATCTTTTGGCATGTAATTAAATACATCTGTAAAATGTAGAATCTATAGAATCCACAACTGCATTTTCAGAAACAGAACTGCTGGACCAAAGGGTATAGGCATCTAACATATATTGCCAAATTGCCCTCCATAGGAGTTATATTCTCTCTGGCTCTTGATGATAGTGACTGCTTCTCTAAAACCACCAACAGAGTATGGTATCAAATTTTGGCATTTTTGCCCATCTAATAGCTGGCAATGATATCTTAGGATAGTTTTAATGTTCATTTCTCTTTATATAAATGAAGCACAGTTGAACAAGTTTTCATATGTTTAAGAAATCTTTGTGGTCTTTTTTGCAAGTTGGATGTTCATATCCTTTGTTTTTTCTATGTTATTCTGTATATTGATGGTTTTTTTTCTTACTAATTTCTAGGAGTTCTTATACAATCAGGAGATTAGCTGATTATCTATGATATGAATTACAATTTCTTCCTCAGTTAATCAATTATCTTGTGGCTTTGCTCCTGGTGTTCTCCAGTGTGTTCATTTAATAGCAGTAAAGTTTTCACATTTAGTTCTATGATCTATTTGGAATTTATCCTGCTGCCAGCTGGCAGGTATGGACCTAACTATATTGTTTCATTGAAGATTTTTGCAATTTGTCTTACATAACACCATGGCCATTTCCTGTGCTGATAAACGATGAACCTGATACAGAGATTAGTGATATATTTTCCACCCAATGCCTGACAACCCATAATTGACATTGTAGCAGATGCTGCAGGCTTCCCAGCTGACAGCGATTTCTTCCATCTTCCTCACTGCCAAGCCCGAACTTTGCTTGGGTGACTATCTCTCCTTTGTATGACTTACGGTAAATCTTGGTTAACTTAAGCCTCCCATCATCATTCCATTCTTCTCTCAGTGATTGGTTTCATGGTGGTCTGTGATCTAGTTCTAGCCAATGAGATGTGGAAATGTGGAGAAGTTCTGCTGGAAGGCTTCTTCAAAAAAGTTTTGTTTTTGTTTTTTTTTTTGACACAGGGTCTCACCTTGTCACCCAGGCTGGAGTGCAGTGGCACAATCACAGCTCACTGCAGCCTCGACATCCTGGGCTCAAGTGATCCTCTCACCTCAGCATCCCCGAATAGCTGGAGCTACAGGTGCATACCACCACACTTGGCTAATTTTGCTGTTGTTGTTCTTTTTTTTTTTCAATGCTAGCCCAAAATATTACCAGCTAATTTTTGAATTTTTGTAGAGATGGGGTTTCACCATATTGCCCAGTCTTCACTCTTATGAGAATAAAAAGGGGGGGAAATCCCCTCGTTTCCTTTTGAGAGGCATTTTTAGATTTGCATGGGCCTCCAGGAACCAAGGCAGCCTTCTACCTGTGAGAGAAGGCAATCAAAGATGAAGCCAACTGCTGCACTTGACAGTGCAGGAAGATGCATCCTAAAACCTGGTGGGTATCATTGACTTGTTGAATTAACCATCCTGCAGCCACCTCCCTCTGGACTTCTGTTTAAATGAGAATACATTTTCTTCACTGTTAAGCAAGGTAGATTATCTGTTAAGGTTTTTGGAAGTTGTATGATATTTTAGTTTATATCACATTGACCTGTATTTAGCATTTATAGATGCTGGGAAAAGTCGTCATTTTGAGGGTGGCCATGTGCCCATCAAAAAGTCAGCGTCCTCTTTCTGAGAAAAAATGAGAATAAACATTAGATGACAAAAATCAGTCTTTGCCAGAATAACTAACTCTGCCTTTTTTCCTACCTCCCAAATTCTTATTATGTGAGATAATGAGTATCATTATTATTTGAACCCCTTGGTTTGCTATCCTAAGTGATGTACCTTATTCCATTAGCCTTTCTACTGTACGAATGATGGCAAAATTTCACCGTATGGCTGAACTATGATTTAGTTATTGCTTCCCCTAATTTTGAATATGTAATATGTGTCCACTTTTGCTCTTGAAAATACTACAATGATGAGCACTTAGGCTCATTGCATTCGTGATATATTGCATTTCTGATGATCACTTTAAAATATAAATTCCTAGATAGGTTAAAGAATAGAAACTTTAAAAGTATTTATTTTTTTCATTGACCAACAAAAATTTTATATATTTACAGTATATAGCATGTTGTTTGAAAATATGTATACATTGTGGAATGGCTAAATTGAGCTAAGTAATATATGTATTACTTCATATACTTATCTCTTTTTTGTGGTAAGGACACTTAAAATCTACTTTTAATCATTTTCAAGAATATAGCACATTATTATTTACTGTAGTCACCAAGTAGTACAATAGAACTCTTGAAATTATCCCTCTTATCTAGCTGAAATTTTGTATCCTTTGACCAATATCTCCCCAGTCCCTGGCAATTACCTTTCTATTCTCTATTTCTATTAGTTCAACTTTTTAAGATTCCACACATAAGTGAGATCATGCAATATTTGTCTTTCTGTGCCTGGCTTGTTTTATTTAATGTCCTCTAGGTTCATCCATGTTGTCACAAATATCGGCATTTCTTTCTATTTTCAAGGCTGAATAGAATTTCACTGTGCATATATACCACATTTTCTTTTTTTCCTTTTTCTTTTTTTGGGGACAGGGTCTCTCTCTGTTGCCCAGGCTGGAGTGCAGTGTTGGGATAATAGCTCACTGCATCCTCAAACTCCTGGGCTCAAGGGATCCTCCTGCCTCAGGCTCCTGAGTATCTAGGACTACAGGCATGTGCCACCATGCCCAGCTAATTAAAAAAAAAATTGTTTTTAGAGATGGAGTCTTGCTCTGTTGCCCAACCTGGTCTCAGACTCCTGACCTCAAGGGATCCTTCTTGGCTCAGCCTCCTAAAGTGTTGGAATTATATGTGTGAGCCACTGCATCCAATGAATACTACAATTTTTTTATCCATTCATCTGTTGATGGACACTGTGGTTGATTCCATTTCTTGGCTATTGTGAATAATGCTGCAATGAACACGAAAGTGCAGATGTCTCTTTGAGATACTGATTTCATTTCCTATGGATGCATATCCAGTAGTAAAATTGTTGGATCATATGGTAGTTCTATTTTTAAGTTTTTGATTAACCTCCATACTGTTCTCTGTAATGGCTGTACTAATTTACATTCCCACCAACAGTGCGCGAGAGTTCCATTTTGTCTTTCTGACAAAAGCCATACTAACAAGTGTGAGATGATATCCCATTGTGTTTTTAATTTAAATTTCTCTGATGATTAGTAATGTTGACCTTTTTTTCATATACCTGTTGGCTATTTGTAAGTTTCCTTTGAGAATGATCTATTCAGCAAAGTTGCAAAATGAAAAATCAGCATACAAAAATCAGTAACATTTCTATACACTGACAATGAAGTATCTGAAAAAAAATCAGGAAAAAATCTTATTTACAATAGCTACAAAAAAAAATACTTAGGAATAAATTCAGCCAAGGAAGCGAAAGATCTGTACGCTGAAAACTATAAAACATTGATGAAAGAAAGAGAAAAACACACAAATAAATGAAAGATATCTCATGTTCTTAGATTAAAAGAATTAACATTGTTAAAATGTCCATATTGCCCAAAACAATCGACAGATTCAATACAATCCCTATCAAAATTCCAATGATATTTTCACAGAAATAGAAAAACAAATCCTAACATTCGTATAGAAAAACAAAAGACCCCGAACTGCCAAAGCAATCTGAGCAAAAAGAACAGAGATGGAGACATCACACTATCTGACTTTTGCATTAATTTTAATTTTTTAAAATATTGCATAAAATTAGTATTATCTTGATTCTTAGGTTTTTTAGTACCACCTTACATTTTGCGCCTGAGGTAAGCACCTCACTGGCCTCATTTGAGCCCCAGCCACCACATCCCCGGGGCACATAACAGCATGTGTGCAGGGTTTCTAGATGATATGACCCTAGCTTCTGCTTTTTAACTTTTGGGACCTAAGTCTCCTCAATTCTAAAAATGACTACTTTTCCAGAGACTCTCTGGGTTGCTCACCCAACTTTTCTCTTTACCTTACTTAGCTTCTTTATGATAGGAAAAATGCCAAAAAAAAAAAAAGAATCTCAGCTGAATAAGCCCTAACAACAAATCTGTGTGGGGAACTTTGAAATATGATTTAGAACCACAAAAGCCAGTTGTTTATTTTGAATCAAGTCAGCAGATTGTCATGCTTAAGGCAATATATGTACAAAGCTCTTTGGAAGTTAAATTTGTTTTATTATAATAGCAAGTGTTTTTATCTTTTCTAACCCATAGGCAACTGATGTATTTTTCTGCAGTCAGGTTGGGACAGGAGGCAATTTCAGATAAATTACCTCTTACTACACTCTTGAGACACCGTTCAAGCTGCTGCGTAGGAACTTGCAAGAAAGGGTATTTGGTGGATTCTTAAAGGGGACAGAAAAAGAAAATTTAAAGAGTCGTTCCAGTACAGTAGCCATTCAAAGAAAAGGGTTGGGTGAAGTGGTTTTTATATTCAGCCCCTATGTATCTTCTTCAGCTTGGGATTCAAATAGATTAGTAAGTGCTATGATAGAAATAAAAAATTGAAATCAGTGGGAAAATGTCAATTTTTCACCAAACAGCATTTTGAAATGTCTGTTCAGCAGGAGGCTGAAAATGTGGCTGTTCTACTGTACAGCTTGTGTAGATATAAGACAACCCGCAGCCCAGCTGAGTTTCTGTGCTCTTGTGTCTTCCCTCTGCTGTCAGACTACCAGCTCATTAGTATTTAAATTAGCTCATAAATATTTCCTGGAAATCCACAGTTGCTTAAGCTTCACCTCTATTCATCTCTTCACTCTCCTTCTTTAGTCTTACTTACGCCTTTGTTTCTTAGGCTGATACATTGCAGGAGGGTGGATCTCATTACATATTAATCTTACTGATATATGGTGTTGAAAAAGGAAAGGAGGAAGCCCTGTTGGAAGATAAAGATGAGAAATAGAGAAAGGATGTAGAAGGAAATTTTATTCCATTTCCTTTGTACAAATAAAATTATCTAATGATGGAGCAAGAAGTCTGTATAAAATAAGAACAGCCCAAAAGCATATGCCAAGGCAATTCGACCTGAATAAATGTTTCTTTCACATACTCCTTAAAAGCTTTGAAACACAGACGAAACATTTCACTGGGGGCAGGCCCTGGATGTTCCCACTGGGGAAATGGTTGCATAGTTACCAAACCTCTTCTGTTCAACATGAGAGCTGTAATTCTAATTATAAAATAATGATGACAGAGAGGGGCCAGTTCCATCATGATATTCTGTATGTTCCTTAGCACTCTGCAAGAGTTCAACACTAATACCCACATACAATGCCAACAGCCAGTTCTTTTAAATGAGTGTGAATAAAATTTAACCAATGACAATGAAAGAAAACAAATATATTTCATTGAATTTAAAGTTCCATTGATCAAAAGTGCCATTATTTTATATAAAACATTTGTAAGTGCTACCAATAAAACTTGGGTACATTATTGGTCATAAGTACGTCCTGATTTCAGAGATGTGAAAAAAATGTGAATCAGTGAAATATGTTAATTTTTAAAACAGGGTATCCAGGAAAGAATAAAGATTATTTGGTGGCTGTATGATTTGAAAGGATGTGAAAATAGTGTTAATCTCTTTAGCAGGAGCATGCGCTCTAAGAAGCAATCACTTTTCTAATATCATATACTTGAGAGATATAAGAAGCATAGAGAAGCAAAACTTTTGGGAACGATCCTGACTGTTTGCACAGGCTGGGGACAGTAAGGGCCTTGTCATTAGCTGTCTCATGTCATTTGATCACGTGCTCCAAAGGTCTTCTAGAAATAAACTTCAGAATAAACATGGAGACCCGCCAGGCCCAGTCAATGAAGATATAATTTTAGGCTAAGAGGTATCCAGTCCTATTAAGTGCAGTCTAGACAACCTAGGCTGGCATTCAAGGCCCCACAAAATCTGATTTAAAGCTTTTTTTTTAGTTTTTTCCTCTTTTGTTTTTCCATATGTAATTGATACTTCCACCAAATTGAATTACTGGACTTTCTAAAACCTATAGTGTATTACCTCAATCCCCTGTCTTTGTTTATACCAGAGTTTCTCAACCTTGGCACTGTTGACATTTTGGGCTGGAAAATTTTTTTTTGTGGGGATGTCCTGTGCATTGTAGGATTTTTGGTAACGTCTCTGGCCTCTATCCGCTAGATGCCGGTAGCACCTCCTCCCAGTTGTAACAACCAAATATACCTCCAGACATTGTCAAATGTCCCTGGGGGTAAAGGGAGAAAATTACCACTGGTTAAGAACCACTGTATACAACCATGCTGGCATAGTGAAAGGATGCAAACTTTGGCATCAAATGTACATGAGTTGAACTCTAGCTTTCTGGGGTGAACATTTGAATTTGGGGGGCACTCTGTGCCCATTCCCTCTTTCTGATAGTAACTCATTTTCCTTTGGGGGAACAATATTTTTGTTCCACTGTATGTAGACTCGATGAAACTCTAAGTCTTGGAAACCATGTCTTGCCCACCCTTCTCCAAAGTGGAACTGAGCTCAGTCCATCTCATACTTTCTCCCAGCACTTCTACCATCTTGAGCAGAATGATAGCAAGAATGGGAAAAAACTTTGGCGTGAATTGACTGCTAGATGGGATGGTTGTATCTGTGTCTATCCAATACTCTATGCTTGTATCTATCCTAACACCTGTCCCTTTTCTGATTTGGGTTTCTAGATTCCCATTCTCTCTGTATCCCAGTATCTCTCCAATTAATGACCTTTTAGGCTAAATATGCCAGAGTTGTTTTCTGTTGCTTATCTGCAAAGATACCTCTATTTACTAGCTTTGTATTTTGAACCAGTCTCTTCATATCTCCAAACCTGTGTTCCCTTTCTGCAAATTGAAAATAAAACTATTTACCTTTCAAATGCAAAAGATGCTCTCCCCATAATCTCTTTAAAATCTACCTTCATTAGTCTAGGTTCTGTGCTAAATCCTGGAGATGAATAAGACAAAACCTATGTTTTTATGAGACTCATTTTCTTCCAGTGACAAAAGTAACAGCAGGACTCAGACAAAAAAAACAAAGCAAAAAAAAAAAAAAAAAAAAAAGCAAAAACAGTACCAGCAGGTCAAACAGCATTGGCTGAAATTGGCCTTTATCCTCAGCACGGCTCCAAACCACTTCATTTTGCGCTTACTCCTTGCTAATGGCCTCCCTCCCTCCTTTTCAGCACAGAATGCAGTGTTGGGAGGGGAGAGAAGGTTCCTGTCAAGGAGCTTTATGCATTCATTATTCTATACCCCCAGCCTGGCCAAAGCTGCTGAAGTGTCTGAGATTCTGCAGTACTGCTCTGTTAGCAGCAGGAGCAAATGAAAGAATTCAGTGTCAGCATTTTCTGTTTCTCATCTGACAAACAAGGTCAGGTACTTCTTTGAACAACCCAGTTCCAATAGCTGTGAAACATAAAGAGACAAGCAGGGGAAGATTTTCCAGAAAGGCTGGTGGCTAGGCACAAGGTGGGTTTAAGTTTACAGCTTTTGTTGTGGAAGAGGAAAGTTCCCCGCATCCCAGGCATCCCTTTTTCAGAATGGGGAAAAAGAATCCGGGGTGAAAGGCTCTTTTGTACTTCTTTGCTTCTTGCACTGAAGTGGCAGGTGCAGACCTTGGTTCCCAGGGGAATCAGAATGTCATTGCCATCCAGGTTTATGGCCATTAGTCCTGATTCTTACTGTTTGTCAATGCCGCTGAAAACTCTGAGCATTGAAGCAGATGAAAGAGAAAGTTCTACAAGCGGTTGGAAGAAATGGGTGCTCTGGAGGTCAGGGCTGAAGTGAGGAGTTTTGAGAGTTGAGGTTCAGGCTGTGAGGATTGTATCTCTCCCCCAGCAATCCTCTGCCAAGTGAGCCCTTTATATGCAAGGCAGTTTATATCTCACACACCTCTCTGTGCACCTTCTGTTTTTAACTCCCCAGGAGTAAATTTTTCAGCCTCTTTCTTTATAGCAAATTACACCATTAATGTCATCCTGGCGAATGAAACAAGAGAATAGTATTTATCAGAGAAAGTCTGGTGAGTTGAAGTCCAAGACCCCAGGAAACAACTAGCCCTGCTGGGCTGCCCCTCCTTCGGTAAGTAACTAAGCACTACATATTCTGTTTTCTGTGGATTAGTTTCTTTTTTAAATGTTTGGGGGGTTTTTTGTTGTAGCTATTTGTTGGTTTTTGAGACAGAGTCTTTGCTCTGGAGTGCAGTGGTGCAATCTCAGCTGACTTCAACCTCTGCCTCCCAGGTTCAAGCGATTCTCCTGCCTCAGCCTTCCGAGTAGTTGGGACTACAGGCATGTACAACCATGCCTGACTAATTTTTGCATTTTTAGTAGAGACAGGGTTTCACCATGTTGGCCAGGCTGGTCTTGAACTCCTGACCTCAAGTGACCCGCGTGCCTCTGCCTCCCAAAGTGCGGGGATTATAGGCATGAGCCACTGCGCCCACCCTCTTTTTAAAATGTTTAATGAAACATTGAAAGCTTTTTCTGGGCAGAGAAAAGTGTGACATCAGTAGAGACCCCAGATTTTCTGTTGGATATCTTTACCTGGATGCCCCACAATACCCTCAAAACTAACATGTCTTCAGACAATCTCATAACCTTCATCCATAAACTTATCTTTTTCCTGTTCCCCCTCTCTTAGTGAGTGGCACCACCATCCACATAATGCCTATCCAGACAGCTGGGAGTCACCTTAACCAATCCCTCTCCCACACATCCTGCCTGTCCTAACATTCCATAGGTCAACAAAGCCTGCATCCTCTCAAAACTATCATCTGCTGTTTATCCCCACTGCCACTCTCTTATTCCAGGACTGTATTGTCTCGGGAATTCCAGTAAGGAGAAAGACAGTCAGCCCCAAACAATATAAGTAAACTCAAAGTCACTTTCTATAGTACCTCATCCCCAATTGTAGTCCCCTCCTCAAGGTGAGTACTGGCTATTGCTAGGAGTTTGATGTGTAAGCCTTCTATTGTGTTTACATGCCTTTTCAGATATATTCCTGTACATACAAAAATATATGACTGAATCACATAAATGTTCTGTATAAAATATCCTGCATTTAAAAATTTTACCCAGCAACTATATTGAAGGTATTTCCAAATAAGTATAAATAAATATGTTTAAATCTGTATAGTATTCCAGGGTGGAGGACATCTGTCCTTTTGCCAGAACCTTGATTTTCCCTTGGGAAATTGCCTCCTACACTGTTTGTTCATGTGACTCACCACCTTACCTCTTCCCTTCAGGAGTGGGACTATATGATCCTCATCAGGCCAATCCACGTCACAGAATGGTCTAGGCATTGGATGAGTGCCTCAATCTGAGCCAATGAAGGTCATTGCTGAGACATTTTACTGGTTGCCAGGCTGCAGGCATCCCAGGCTTCCTGCTGCCCTCATGTCTACAACCTGTCGTCTGGAACATTCCAGGAGCCACTTTTATCACTTGCAGCAATCTTCTTCAGTGAGTTCCCCAGGACTTGATTTCATCTTACAATCTGATTCCATGTGTCTCCCATATTTTAAGGATTCTTTATTATTTCTGGCTTACAGAGAACAAACATTATTTTTTGCTTTCCTGGTCTGTTCTAGATTTTCAAAAATAACTCTGTCACTTCTGTTATATGGTATCATTGCTTGTAATTATCTATTTACTTATCTGTCTCTGGACTGGACTCTTTACAGACAGGCAATAACTAATTATCTGTCTGTCTGGCATTTGGTAGTCACTCATAAATCGTTTATTGCATTACTAACTAAATAAAAAAGTTGACCTTGCATTCACCTCCTCTGGATGTTTCAAGAGACTCTAATGCTTTTTAAAGTAAAACTTTTTATACTAGTTTATAGTGGATTATTGTTGAGAAAATATTTACTTCCCCTATCAGAATTCTATGAAAGAAATACATTTCTTCTTCCTTGATGTTAACCTTGGCCATGGGACACTCTTGGGCCAGTGGGATGTTAGTGGACAAGATGTGAGTGAAGACTCAGCATGTGCGTGAGGGTCAGGTTTGCCATCTCACACAACTGTTTTTCTCAGTGAGAAGAACTTTCCTCAGACAGATGCTGGTTTAGGGAGGATGAGAGACACATGGAACAGATTTGGAAACAACCAATAGCTGAAAGCCAAGTTCAGGCTAGATAAACTGAACTAAACTTTATCTCCATGTGGGTGAGTGAGAAGAAGATGCTTATTTTCTGCCACTGAGATTTGGGGGGTGAGGGGGACATCATGACACAATATTGCTATGGCAATACCAGCTGAAGCACACCTACATCGGAATCACCTAGAGTGCTTGTTGTAAATGAGGTTTCTGAGCCCCAATCTAGACCTAGTAAGTGATCATCTCTGGAGTGTTTTTAGAACTTTGTATTTTAGCAAGACCCTCAGAAAATTTTTACACTCACTACTGGGCTACAGACAATATTTATCAGCATGCTACTTTCAGTGGCAAGGAAAGAGCAGTAGGTTAGCACCCAGAGAGCTACTACATTTACCTACATAAAACTTCTGAGGGATGTAGCACTGTAAAAAGGACAGGAAACGAGGTTTTCTTACCAAATCATTTAATTAAAGGAGTAGAAATTGAGAAACATAAAGGCACCTTGAGGTGATTTATAAACACAGTGTTGCTCAAAAAGCTATCCTTTCACACAGGTATACAGTTGACATCATTTACTTAAATTTAAGGAAATTAAAACTAATCAGTCTGAGAACATCAATGGCAACACAATATTCATTATTTGAACATGTATTTAGTAAGGGCTTACTAAATACTAGGAATTCTGGAGAACACTGAAAAAATCAAATGTGCCTAAGATAGTATTTGTCTGTCTGTTTTCCTTTGCTATAACAGAATACCACAGACTGGGCAATTTATAAATGATGGAAGTTTATTTGGCTCATGGTTCTGGAGACTGGGAAGTCCAAGAACATGGCACTGTCATCTGGTGAGTTATCTCATGGCCTAAGAGTAAAAGAGCAAATGAGTGCAAGAGACACAGAAAAATTTGTGGTCAAACTTATCTTTTTATCACAAGCACACTCCTATGAAAACTAACCCATTCCCATGATAACAATATTAATCCATTCATAAGGGCAGAGCCCTAGTGACCTAATAACCTCTTAAAGGCCCCACCTCCCAATACTGTTATATTGGCAGTTAAATTTCAGCATGAGTTTTGGAGGGGACATTCAAGCCATAGTCATATTTTCACCCAAAGAATTTCCAGTCTACCTAGTCATGATCCCTCTGTGTGCAGGTGTGGGTGTTTGGGAGTTTCAAAGAAAATAGGTTATGCCATTCTTGCCTTCTAAATGCTTGCATGGAATGACTTGATCACCTTTCTGATCATTTTTTCTCTTTGGAACCTACCTTGACTCTTGTCTCATGGAGGAATTATTTAAAGTAGATGACAAGACAAAATTCTTTCTCCTTTTGGCTCTGAATTCACCTAAGCACTCTTCTCCCAGAATGCCTCCTAAGTGTACTGCATCCTGCCAGGAAATTTTACCACTCAGCTCCCATGTAGGAGGCCAGGGCTCCTGAACTCAGGCTCCACAGTTTTATTCTGGGCACAAGCATAGCTAATGAACAAGAAACATTGCAGTGGAGCACTATTATAATCACCCTTTCAGTTCACAGAATTCATGTCTTGAGAAAGCATTTTCAGTAGCAGATGAAATAAGAAGATTGAAATTTGTAGGGAGTCTTACTCTGTGATTAATATGTTATAGAAACAAATATTGATTTGTTGTTTGTTCATCTGAAGTTTATCTGCTAACCTCAGAAGATAGTTTACTGAAGTAACCTTTGGTCACTGACAATAGAGAACACCTGATGTACTTACATTTTTTCTAATAATATAACATCATGTACCTAGTGATAGAGGCAGGAGGCACACAAATGCCTAGGCAGATAGGGGCAGATCTGCAGTAAAACCCCACCTCCAAGCCAAAGACATTTTAAATCCTGAAAGCCAAGCTACAAGTCAAATCCACCAACTGGGTTGAGACCCTGTCTTCCCATTTGGTGTGCTTTCCTCTGATTGATCCCCACCCTTCACCTATTTTACAGATACCTACCATTCCCTAATTGGTTTTTTACACTGTCATGTCCACCTTTGAGTGGTGTCTTTGTTTTAACCTTTTTTTGCATACTCACAAACCAATCAACATGCATGCCCCTATTCTGAGCCCATAAAAGCCCTGGACTCAGCCACACGAGGGGAGAAAAACCTCCTGACTCCAGGTAGTTGACCACCCTCACAACCCCTCTCCACTGAGAGCTCTTTTCTCACTCAATAAAATTATTCTCTGCCCCCTCACACTTCAATTGTCAGCATATCCTCCTTCTTCTTAGACAAAGGACAAGAGCTCAGGACCCACCGAACATGGGTACAAAGAAGGCTGTAACAGTGATGGGGCTGAGCCAGCCTCAGAGCCACAGGCCAGAACAGGGCTGAGAGGGCTGTTAACGTGCCACCATCCTCCTGGGCAGGGTTGTCACCAGCCAGGGGTCTCCAGCTGGCAGAATGACCAAGAAGAATCCTGCGTCACTAGCAAATTGCCCTGTGATATATTTCACATTACTCTTCCAAACCAAGGCTTTGTCCTGTGGGGCTTAACTTCTAAAAAAAATCTAGACTCATATCATAATGATGTCATCCTTATATAAAATTATAGAAGAGCCCTTGCTTTCTGAGCTCTCAGAGACAGTACTTCCTAACATACAAATTGCCTTCTAGCAAGGTTTGAAGCAGACATTCTTTTCCCAACTACACATGTTTTGCAATGACATTTAAAAAAAATGAATCCCACAATAATAACCAGAGATTGTATTGTTTTATATTTTCTTTATAGTACAGTAATACTACTAGAGTTATCTCTCTTTTGAATATTATCATTAATTCCATTTTTTTCAAGTCATGTTGAAATAATCAATGCAGTTAAACAATCCCAGATAGACTTCAGTATGGTTTGATTTTTTAATGTGATTTAAATTCAGTTACAAAGCGTTTCACTGAAATGCCACTTATTGATTTGTGGCTTAAAAAGTTCCTTCTTGGTGACAGCTTAGAAGCCAACTTCACTGAAAACAACAGATTGTACTGGTTTCCTTTAGATATTTACAATACTTCATCAAACCAGAGAATTTAATTGCTGTGAAGGGCGCTCTAGAGATTACCCAATCCAGCCCCATCATTTTGCAATTGAGGAGAATGAGGTTTACAAGAGAGAAATGGTAGCTGAACTACAGTTACACAAGTAGTTAAGAGGCAGAAGTGAGACCAGCAACCACTTTCCTGACTCCTGATCAATTCACAATTTTATTTATAAATACTCTTATGACACTTTCATTGCTTCCAGTGTGAGTCAATTTTTTATAGTGGATAATCTGGAGAATATAAACTTAAAATACTCATGTTATTGTTTTACTCTTTCTCCCTTTGAAGTACTAATAAATTCAAGACCTCTTCCTTGATGACCCCAACTTTTCCGCCTTAGTAGTCATTATTTAAAATGGAACCACTAATGACTTAGAAAAACTTGCATGGATCTCTGTATTGTTGGCCTTATCCAGACAAAGCTTCCATTCAAAGAAAAATAATGTTGTGGCTGTGGTCTGAGAGGGACCTGGAGCACTAATCTCACTGTGTTTGAACACACTATTGAGTACATGATATCCAGCCATGACACAAAATCCTCTGTGCCTAAGCCACTATGAAATAGTTGCACATAATTTACTCGAGTGAAATTCTTTTAACACTTGTTAGGGCAGGAAACTCAACACCCCACAATAATGACAACAGAGGTGGTGGTATAACAGCTGGGGGTCACAGGCTTACTGTGGTGCAGGTCCAGCTCTCAAGTTACAATCTGTTCTGGGTCCAGCAGCAAAGGCCTAGAACAGTAAACACCCGATTCAGTGTGAAACTGTGAAACATCCTTCCCCCAGTCTAGATAGTATTAATAGAACCAAATGATTCCTGAGGTCTTCCTGTTTGTTAGATTTTTCTGGTCTGGATGTCTTTCCCGTGCCAGTGAAGAATCAAGAGCAAGAGCACTACTGACAAGCAGGGCGTTGGATTGCACATACCAAGTGGGTATGGGAAGTGGGGAAGAGGTTGGTAGAGAACAGAGAAGGGAAACTTCTGGGTAGGGAAAGTGTGGGGTCCAGGTGCTAAAGCCAGTCCCATTTTACCCTGTCCTGATGACATCAGGCTTCTAATGCAGCCATTCAGGACTTCTGGTTGCAGCTTCAACATGTAAAGGAACCCTACTTGGAGATTATCTTGACATGAGGCAGAGCAGGAAATTGAAGGGGGAGAGAGGGCTCTTATTGTGCCTTTTGGCACCAGGCCTGACGAGTCAGAGGTAGAGGTAGTAATTTTGTGGGAAAAGCTTAAGATAAGTGTTATGTGTTTTCACATGTCTTTTACAAATTTTCAGTTCAGGCGTGTGAAAAGTTGGGTTGGCCCTTACATTTACTGTGGCCTTGAATTCCATAGTCTTGTTCGGTTACATCTCACTGGAAAATTAATTCAATGTCTTTTTCTTCTATCATAACACAGATTTTCTTAGGCACAATGTATTCATTCACTTATTTATTTATTTTAACAAATAATTATTGCTATGTGCCGGCATTTCCTGGGTGCTGGGGATGTGGTAGTGATTATAGCTGCCTTTGTAAAGTTTACAATCCCATGGGGGAAGTGCACAATTACACAAGTCATGACAATAAAGTGTATTAAGTGTTACAATAAGCAAAGTAAAGGAATGAAAAGCTGAAACACCAATCTTGTCTACTTATTCACTTTGTAAATTGGGAATGATTAACAAAAACCTACTTTGTGGGGCTGGCATGAGAACCAGCTGAAATCATGTGGTTAAAATGCTTTGTAAAGTGTAGTGACTCTTAGTTGTACCTCCTAGTCAAATGCCTTATCTAAATAATTTAAATGTTGCAGAGAAAGACTGAGAAGAACACCCCTCTTATTTTGAGAGCCCAGACTCTGATTCCACAGATATCAGAGGCCACCCAGGGACCAACCACCAAGTGCTGAACAAAGACACTGTACTGTGAATGGGTTACTCCCCATGAAAGCCCTGCCCCACTAGGTATCTGTGTTTCAGAGCAGACCATAAGGCCACAGGCAGGAGACAGCCAAGTACAAGAGACAGAAAGGGCAATGCCCTACAGGTCTCAGCTCACCATGAACCTGCCAGGCTCACCTGCACCCTCCCAGCTTCCTACCTTGCTTTACTCAGCACTTCTTACAGTTGTAATCACTTATTTGTGTAGTCATTTTCACCAGTCTCTCTCTCCCCTAGTAGATAGCATGCTCCACTAGGACAGGGCCCAGGGCTATTTGCTCACCACTGTACACTCCAGCCCCAGCCCAGGACTGTCAAATAATGCTGCTCAACTGATACTGCCTGAATGAATGACAAAATGCATGCTACTTACTTTGACTTACACCATTTGGGAAGTACAATTTTCTCTCTGAGCAATAGTTTCCACTTGACCTCTCTCAGTAATGAAATTCCTACAAACCTATTCCTAGGAGACAGGACAAGCAGGCTGAGGCAGTCACCTGGAAATGAAAGCTCAGGCCAAAAGGTGTCAGGGTAGTTACCTGGGGTCCCTTTCAAGTGCCTAGAGCAGAAGCTTCTAGAATCTTGCAGCCCACCTCAGGCTAGGAAACATTCTCAGAAATGAGGGAGACACAGCCTTTTAAAAATTAGGCAGCCTGAGGAGGCAGCTGGGCTCAACTCCCTGAGATGGTGAGGTCCTTTCTCTCAGGGCATCTTGCCAAAATCTCTGGTATGTCTTGCAAGGAAATAATAAATACTGTCTCTTGACTTCCAGTGTCTGTTTTTATGCCCTGGTTGTGGGCAGTAGTTTGTTTTGTTTTGTTTTATTTTCTTGGGACAGGGTCTCGCTCTGTGGCCCGGGCTGGAGTGCTATAGAACAATCTCAGCTCACTGCAGCCTCCACCTCCTGAGCTCAAGCAATCCTCCCACCTCAGCCTCCTGAGTAGTTGGGACTACAGGTGCATGCTACCACACCTGGATAATTTTTAAATTTTTTGTAGAGACAAGATCTTACTATATTGCCCAGGCTGGTCTTGAACTCCTGGGCTCAAGCAATCTTCCTGCCTCGGCATCCCAAAGTGTTGGGATGACAGGCATGATAAGCCACCACACCTGGCCTGTGGACAGTAGTTTTAATTGGAAGGGAGAAAATGGCAATATGTTTCAAGTATGTGTGTTTTTACCCTGCTGTCTACTGACTTCCACAGAGGCTGTAAATTTTGAAATCTAAGCACAAGAAGCCTCTGTCAAGAGGCAATGACCTAACATTTTGGGCATCACTCCATGTCCACATGAAGAACATCCTTGGCAAAGAGCAGTTGTAGCATATTAGTGGTAAAAATAACAACCATTCTCCTAATTTTCAACTAAATATAACTCTTAATGGCTAAAGCACTGTAAGCTAATCAGATTTTTTTGACCTTCAAAAATATCAGTTTGAAAAGCAGTATTACCCATAACATACAAAGTCAGTATTAACTATGACATGAGATATTCTGGACTGCTGTACAATTACTTGTTTTATCATTATCTTAGAATTCTGAGTGTTCCAATCTTTCCCATCGTGGAGTGAAGGGAGAATAAAAGAAATGGGATTTACTTTATGCATTTTTCTATATAACAAATTATACATTGCATATGTGGTGAAAAAAGTAATGCCAAAATTGTCTTCAGTCTAGAGACAGAGCCAGGACTGGTGGCTCACACCTGTTATCCTAGCACTTTGGGAAGCCGAGGTGGGTGGATCACTTAAGCCTAGGACTTCGAAACCAGCCAAGGCAATGTGGCAAAACTTCTTCTCCTAAAAAAAAAAACAAAACAAAAAAAAAAAAAGTTGGGCATGGTGGCATTCACCTGCAGCCCCAGCTACTCAGGAATCTGAGGTGGGAGAATCACCTGAGCCCGGGAAGGTCGAGCCCGGGAAGGTGATGGCACTCCAGCCTGGGCAGCAGAGTGAGACCCTGTCTCAAAAAATAAAATAAAATAAAATGAGACTCAGAGAATGAGTCTAATAAGCAATGGAGAATATTGCAGCCTTTTGGTTCAGGTAAACCTTCTAGGGGTACACAGAAGGATGGAGGGAAATTTAGGTTAGGCAACTGGTTCCTAAATGTTTTTGCCAAGCTGAGGCATGAGAGTGGACTTGTTGACAAATGAACCCTTCAGTAGACAATTGCCCAGTGAAAAACTGTTACTGATGAGGAAATGACAGTGGCTTAGGAGGTACAGTGTAGAGAAAGGGACACTGGGCCGGAAGAAATAGGTTAAAATTTGAACAAGTAAGGGAAGGAGAGGAGAGTTTAAAGGCAAAAATCATGCCCATTATGGTTCCTTGTCAAACTTTTTCTAATGAAACACTAAGATGACCATCTTGTCTGCAAATTTTATTCACTCAAGAATATCAGAATCAACTTCACTTTCCCCTAAGAGAGGCAATTCATCAAATCTCTCTCCTACACATCTTAACCAGGAGGCAGACTAGGTCAGGCCCCTATTATGCTATTTTAAGCCCCATGAATTTTTCCTTCATAGCACTAAATAGGGGTTATAATTTGAAATTTATGTATGAGGCTATTTGATGAAGGTTACCCACCCCTCCCCCTCCCCTGTAAACTACAGTTTAAGTATCTCCTATCTGTAATGCTTAGGACCAGAAGGGTTTCAGATTTCAGGGATTTTTGGATTTTGGAACATTTCCATATATATAATGAGATATCTTAGAGATGGGACCCAAGTCTAAAGAAAATTCATTTAAGTTTCACATGCACCTTATACACATAACCTGAAGGTAATTTTATACAATATTTTAAGTAATTTTGTACATGATGCAAAGTTTTGGCTGTGTTTTGAGTATGACCCATCACATGAGGTCAGGTGTGACATTTTCTACTTGTGGCTCACGTTGGTGCTTTAAAAATTTCAGATTTGGAAGCAGTTTGGATTTTGGATTTTCAGATTAGGGATGTTCAACCTGTAAAAGTTCCCCAGAGGCAAAAGTGTGTCTTCTTTTTTTGTCAGCCGTTAGTTTCCAGTGTCTAGCACAAGGCTCAACACGTTGCCTGGCATGTAAGAGACACTCATTTAGTAACTAAATGAATAAATGTAGTTTCACCATCCTTCCCTTTTATCTCTTCTTTTCATCTTCCTTCCCTAGTCAATATTTTCTGGTTTTCCTCTACTTTATTTTATTTCATTTCATTTTCAGATCAAAATTATAATTCATCTCAACTCTTCTACGCAATGGGTTCTTTTCATCAACAGCCCTGCATAACACTAGGAGTAGCCTCCTATGCCTCCAAATTTCTTGTGTCTCTAACACATAAAACAAAGATTGGGAACCTTAGAGGTCGTTAAACTAACAATCCCCTGGAAAGGTCAGAGTATAGGGCTGTGATTAAAAGTGCAGACACCAGAGCAGGATTTGAACTATACTCAGGTAACTTACTAATTTTGTGCTCTTACACGAGTTGCTTAACCTCTCCAAGTTTTAGTTTCCTCAACTGTAAAATGAGGATAATAATAAAATCAACCACCTCAGCCAGATAGAGTGGCTCCCACCTGTAATCCCAATACTTTAGGAGGCCAAGGCCAGACGATGGCTTAAGGCCAGAAGTTTGAGACCATCCTGGGCAACATAGCCAGACCCTGTCTCTACAAAACATAAAATAAAATAAAAATTAGCCAGGCATGGTGGTGTACACCTGTAGTCCTAACTACTGGGGAGGCTGAGATAGGAGGATTGCTTGAGGCCAGGAGTTTAAGACCAGCCTGGATAACATAGCAAGATCCCGTCTCTACAAAAAAAAATAGAATAAAATAAAATTATCTTGGCATGGTAGTGCACACTTGTAGTCTCAGCTACTTAGGAGTCTGAGGCAGGCGGGCCACTTGAGCCCATGAGTTCAAGGCTGCAGTGAGCTATGACCCTGCCACTACACTTGCCTGGGCAACAGAGTGAGACCCTGTCTCCAAAGAAAAGAAGAGAAAAGAAAGGAAAGTAAGAGGAAGCACTTCAAAGATTTATTATAATGATAAAATAATTTCTATAAGTGAAGCGCTTCATACAGTGTCTGTTACATGGAAACATTATAAAGTATCAGCTATTATTATCTCAGTGACCACAAATCCCAAATGTGTATTCTGTTACACATTCCTGCAACTGGTCCACAATTTATACTCCCAAAATGGGCAAATGGACTCAACTTTAGACCCCCTGTCACTGCTCATTGGCAGTCTCTTTACCCGGCTATCCATGCTACCAGAGTGTCTGGTCTGGATTAGGGGATGGGGAAGCAGTGGAGGGCAGTAGAGTAGAAGGGGGAACAACCCAGTCAAAATCAGAGCTCAATAACCAATTGTTATTCCAGGGCAGAAATTTCTTCTTGGCCTCCAGGCTATTATGGCCTAAGGCATTCCCTTGAATCTCCAGGGAGGCAATCTGTGTCTACAAAACACAGCATTCTTCTTAGAGCTCTACTCTATAAGAGCTGCCTCTCCCAAAACTAGCAAGAGTTGAATGTGGTTGAATGCTGTGTCACTAGGAAACAGGAATGCTTTATAACCTTTCTTCAAGCATTTAAATCCTTCTCTCCAAATAGGAGAGATGGGATTTCTGCAACATGCAGCCCACAACAGAACTGATGGAGCCTATGTAGCGAGAAGAGGTCAGAAGCTGCCCAAAGCAGCTCTGAGGCTGGGGTCACTGCACCCACCAGCTGCTGCCTGGAAGAGAAACGGGAAAGGGTGGATGCACTGTTTTGCATTTTTTCTCCAGACAACCAAAGAAATCGGGATGACAGACAGAGTTCCCTGCCTGGGGAAAACAGCTCTTTCCAACCCAACTTATAGGATTGGGAGTGTTGGGGAGGGTGGAGGAGTCATCCTCGACACACTTATGTCTGTGCAAGATGTGGAGAAAAGTAGGAAAGAAGCAGAACTCCAGCACATCTTCAAATGGATGGCCCCTGAAACTGAACAGACAGTACACAAAGGCACACTACAACTTTCTGGGCAAGAGTCTGTGGCTGCAAAGATGGAAACTGATTTGTCGAGGACCCTAGGAGGTGAACTGAAACCAGAAAGCAGAAATGCTGGGAGAGGGTGAATGAGGCTGGAGATGGCCTATACACATAATTGTACGGAGATGAGAAAGGCCACTGGGATGTAGTACTTTTTTGCCTTTTAGGCCACATTCAGGGGCTGCTGCAGACAGGGCTGTGCCCAGTAAGCAAGAATGAAAGGGGCAGGGGCAACCTGAAGCTGTGTGCTTAGGCTCACAAACCTGTCTCCAAAGAAAGTTTTCCAGATCATTCTTTTATATCCTGTATGGAATCAAACAAAATTACAGTACCTCCTTTTTCATGACTGAGTCTCTCGGTGAGAACTCGACATTTCCTTACAGTCAACTCAAAATTTCCCACTTTGTGGGAAATGAGTAATGGGGTTGAGGACATGCTGCCCCCAAATACAGCACCTTGGCATTTGAGAAAAAGCAGAAGCAGTAAAGTCTCTCTGAACTTCTCCCACCCTTTTCTCCTGCAGCTGTTCATAAAACCTAGGGGAGATTTTCTGACCTCACCCTGAAGCAGTTCCTAAGATCCTCACTTTAGAGATGCCCTCACTATATCCAGAAGAAAGAAGCATCCTTATCTCCGAACACAAAACGTCACAGAGAAGAATCTGAACAAACAGGCCTTGCTAAGTTTCCCTTGGTTTTTTACCATCAGATCACACTGTTTTGCCCAATCATATTTCTCCACAACTGTCCACTCTTCACTAAACCTAAGATGTATATATATATATTTCACTGTTTCTTTGGGTTTTCATTTCCTTATGAAGACTCATGTCATGTAAAACCTACATTAACTAAATATGTCTAATTTTCTCTGTTAATCTGTCTTAGGTAAAAGGGACTTCAGCCATGAACCTAGGAATGGGGAGATAAAGATGTTTTTCCTCCTACATGGTGAAGAGAAGAGGGTTTGCTATCACTCTCCTCCCTACCACGTTTCTCTTTTGGAGGCCTGAGTTCAGAACACTTATATAGTCATCACCTTTGAAATTAGTTTGAATTTAATTTCTTACTGATTTAAATTTTTTGGAAGTTTCCATTTAGATAAATCTTTTTCACTGGTGGAATATCTAGTGAAGGTTGCAGGGGGATCTAACTGAGAACATTTTCTTAATGATTGTACCACTTCAGAAGAAAGAGAATATACTTAAAATACTAAAAAATTAAATACTGGATTTGTTTTTCCAATGCTGCAAAATAATTAGGACTGCAAAGAAAAAAAAATCTTGAGGAGGACCCTTTCCTCTTTATTTAAAAGGAAAAATAAGTCAATTTCCCAAAGAAACAGAAGCTTAGATTTTTATGGGACCTCAGGGTGCTACTAATACTACCCTAACACTATTGTTATACTCCAATACAACTTACGCCAATACTTGACACTACTGTCAATACAATAGTCAAAATTACTATTATTTTTATTCACATATTTTAAGCCACACATACTTATTTCAGCATCCATGTGTGTTTAGGGCTTCTGTATCTTCTAGGCCAACACTCTCTCAAGCACAGACTTGAATCCAGACAGTCTGGCTCCAGGACCCAGGCTCTTAATAAATGTACTGTACTGTCTCTCTGTGTCTTCTATGAACAATTAAATCTGAAAAGTCAGGTAACACTTTACAACTAGAGAAACTGAGAGCAGAGGCATTTGTCCCTGTGTCTGCACAGCAGGTAGTGGCTGAGTGGAACTGGAAACCAAGTCTCCCAATTCCTAGGCTTTAGTCATTCCACTATCCCTTGGTGACATGCCAATGCTTTCAGAATGTTATCTCTGAATTCCTGGGAAGTTCTGAACACTTAGACATGAATGGAGAGTCTACATTGAGCAGCAGTTTAGGAGACTCAGAGACATGGGGCAATGAATAAATTTACTTCTTAGAGTCTTTCTAACACTCAGATTCTGCATTAGTAGATACTGTAGTTAAAGCAGATGCTACCACAGAACATATTTAATGTAAAAATTTACTTTTCGAGTTCCAAGTTAAGAGATAAATGACACAAATTTTATTCAATGTTACCATTCATTTTTGGCTATTACTACAGAGAAAAATGTATCAAGTCACGAGCTGAAAGTTTAGAGTAAAGAAAGCATATCAGACTTAATCCTACCTAGCTACTCACTTACCATAGAGAAAGTGGCACAGAACCAATATCTTCCCCAGCTTGGGAACTGCACAGCTGTGCTCTATATCTGAAACCATCGTCCAAAGTGCTGGGCAGCTCTTGAGAGCTGTGAGCAAAACTATTTTCAAGCACCCCCTTAGTTTAAATAGTTCAAGAATCTCCCTCAGATCTCAACACACTCATCCTCCCTGCCCCCACTTGATAACAAATGCCTTAGATTAAAAGCCAGAAGGCTCCTTAGAACTATCTAGCCCAACCTTTTTTTTTTTTTTTTTTAGACGGAGTTTCACTCTTGTTGCCCAAGGAGTGCAGTGGCTCAATCTTGGCTCACTGTAACCTCTGCCTCCTGGGTTCCAGCGAGTCTCCTGCCTCACCCTCCTGAGTGGCTGGGATTACAGGCATAAGCCACTGTGCCCAGCCTGGCCCAACCTTTCACCATCTAAAGGCCTCACATTGCCTAGTGCTTTACAGTCTTCCAATCACTTTGCCACTTGTAAGTTCCTTTGATTCCCATGACCACTCTATGAGAACAGGTACTGGGTCTTCACAATTTTTCTATCCCCTTCACCGAGACAGGGTCTGACCCACAGTGAAAGCCCCACAAACACTTGTCAAATCCTCCCCTGCTGATATGGTGTCCTAAAACTTCTCCCACTATTGTCCCAGTTATTGCCCAGAAAACCTGAGCTCTCTCAACAGCTAGGCAGGCTTGATGGAGAACAAGGCCCCCTGCCTGTGCTGCCAAAAGATGGACATGAGACAGGTTTCTGGGCTACATATTTAGGCTTATAGCTTTTTCTCTTTCATGCGTTAGTTGTGGACCTACTATTTGCCAGATATAATGCCAGGCACTGGATGTTCAGAGACGAACAAAAGAGAGAGTTACAGACTCATGCAGATGACAAACATAACATGTAACACAAAAATATATAATCATAAATCCTGGCAGATGCCCTGAAGGTACTGTGATGGAGACCACCAACAGAGATATAATTTAGATTGGCAGAACAGGGAAGGTATCTCTGAGGAAATGATATTTAAGCTGAGATCTAAAGGATGGAAGGACTCCAGCTACTCACAGAGTTGGGAGGAAGAGAAGTCCATGGAGGCCAAGGGAACAGCATGTAAGAAGCTACTAACACAAAAAAGAGCTTGGAGTAGCCTCTCAGCGTAGCCCCTCAGCCTTCCTGTTTTCAGCCACAGCTGTGATGAATAGTTCCCTGAAAGCCCAAACTCACCTCCAGCTGACAGCCACCCACCTCAAGCTTCTGAGCTTCTTTCTACTTTCTCTGATAGTGCCACAGGGCAGCTTGTGCTAATGACCCTCAGACAATCCTCAATTGTCAGGGACAGGAGCTGGTAGACAATGTCCCAGTCTCCTGTCCTTTAGGTTCACATCTCTGGAAGGCATTCTGTATACCTTTTGGGAGATCTCAGCAGAATAGATCCTTATTGCCCAAAACAGCAGTCTCAAAAAATGCACTTGTTTTGGTCTTTTCCTTTTCTTTCCACTCTCTTCATGCCCTCACTCCTTCCAGATCACCCCCTACCTTGCCCCTAAACCATTTCCAGGGAACTCAATCAAGGACGTGCACATATTAGAGAAAATGAAAAAAAGATTTGAAAGGGGGTGAGCAAGGAGGAAAATAAAGCAAGATGGGTTTGAACTTGTAGGAATGGGCAGACAATGAAGACTTGCAGGCCACAATGGGAATGTTATGCTACATGCTTCTTAGTGAAGCCTGGGTAGACATGCAAAGCAGGAGTCCAGGCCACAGAAGATGGAGGCTTGTACTGTGACATTAACAGAGGTGACGAAATGGGCAGGTTGGGATGTATTTTAAAAGCAGAATGGGGCCGGGCGCAGTGGCTCATTCCTGTATTCCTAGCACTTTAGGAAGCCGAGGCGGGTGGATCACCTGAGGTCAGAAGCTCAAGACCAGCCTGACCAACATGGTGAAACCCCGTCTCTACTAAAAATACAAAAATTAGCTGGGTGTGGTAGCAGGCACCTGTAATCCCAATCCCAGCTACTTGGGAGGCAGAAGCAGGAGAATTGCTTGAACCTGGGAGGCAGAGGTTGCAGTGAGCCGAGATCACGTCACTTCACTCCACCCTGGGCAACAGAGCAAAACTCCATCTCAAAAAAAAAAAAAGTAGAATGGTCTATACTTGCTAATGGATTGGGTGAAGCAAAGGAAGCGATCATGGATGATCTTGCTTGAGCAACTGAGTGGATGGTGATAACATTTAACTGAGATAAAAGAAACAAGATTAAGCAGAAAAATGAAAAGTGTAATTTTAAACTCATAAAATCTGAAATGTCTGTGTGACATCCAAGTGGAAACATCAAGTACACATTTAGATACATGAGTCAGGAACTCTAGGGAGTGGCCGGAACTGTAGACATGGGGATCATCTGGGTATATATATATATAATGTTTAAACTGGGAGACTGGATGAGCTTACCTGCCGAGATTGGATAGCTGGAGAAGACAAGAGGCCCTGTGATGGAACTCCAATATTTGGAAGTTAGGTAGAGGACAAAGAGGCAGCAAATGAAATTAAAAAAGAGCCACCAGGCCAGACATGGTGGCTTATGCCTGTAATTCCAGCACTTTGGGAGGCCAAGGCAGGAAGATCACTTGAACCCAGGAGTTTGACACTAGCCTGGGCAACATAGGGAGACCCTGTATCTATAAAAAAAACTTTACAAATTAGCCAGGAGTGGTAGTGCACAACTGTAGTCCCAGGTATTTAAGAGGCTGAGGTGGGGAGGCTGAGGTGGGAGGATCACTTGAGCCTGGGAGGTCAAGGCTGCAGTGAGCCATGATTGTGCCACTGCACTTCAGCCTGGGTGACTAAGTAGTGAGACTTTGTCTTTAAAAAAAAAAAAAAGAAAAAAAAAAGTCACCAGAACAGGAAGTTTATGGTATCACACAATCAAGACAGGACAAAAATTTAAGGAGGGGGAAACTGTTTTCAATGATGCTCAGAAGTGGAATAATTTGAGGACGTAGAAACACCATAATCTCTCATACCTTTCATCAGCATTAAATCATACACGTCACATACCCTCAGGCCAGACACCCTGAGTGCAACAAAGCTACTCCTAAAGACAAGCCGATGACTTGAAGCAGTAACTAAATACATGGTCGGCATAGGAGATATTTTACTTAGAGATCCTTAGATCTGTGTTCCTCCATCTGCCCAGGTCTCTCTCCTCTTATTTCTCTAGTAAGTGTATCTTCCTTTTTTATTCCACTATACTTCTGGCTGTGCTCCAAGTCTTTGAGCTGTTCTAGCCCCATTGAAGCAGATAAGGGGAAGTGTATACTATTCCTTCCTCAGGTCCAAGCCATGATTTAAGAATCCTACCACCATAGGCCTATCATTCCTGGGTGTCCAGGTCACAGATGTATACAGTTATTCAATTTCTAAACTCTTTCTTGCTTGACTGTCTCTCTTTTACTCATTGCATTCTCCTTCCATGTGTCTTTGGGCTTCCCTTGTTTCGCTATTGAGCCCATGGGAGTGCCTCAGCACAATAACTTGGGTTTAAAGTTGCCACATAGTAATTCATCAGGGATACCCAGACTGGTCCCAGGAAAATTCACTGAGATATATGCGATTTTTGTTCACCGAAGCCAAAAAAATGGTGGCCCCTGCAAGCCTGCCCAGTGCCCTAATGCCACAGAAAGTTAGCTTTCTAGGAATACTCCATTTCTTTCATCAATTCTATGGCTTAGATTAGCCAGTGATAGCTAATACTATAAGACTATAACTGAGTGGTAGGAAAAAATTGTTTATTTCATTTCCATTCCTTAAAAAAAAAATACGATGATATAATTAGAGAACTTGAAAGGCTCCACAGCTTGAAGCCAGATTTTTCAGGATAAGCAGACATACTCTCCACCTCCTAAAACAGCCCAAATACCTGCAACTAAACTAAAATACCCTGAGTCATGTCATTTTATGAAACTCTGTTCAAAAGTTTCCAGTGAGTTTCTGGTTTATTTCATTTAGTCTTACTCCTATCAAAGTCTTCTATAAGCCAGCCTACCATACGGCCATTCATATGATAATACAAGCTTTCCACCAATCCAGCCCTTTCTCCTCACAGCCATGGAATTTGGCCTTGCCTCACCCCACCTGTTCTGTGGTGCTTCCCCAGAATTCTTCTTCCCACCTGCCCTGTGGTGGAATGCCTCTCCCCTCCTGCCCTGTGGTGCTTACCCAGAATGCCTCCCCCCACCTCCCTGTGGTGTTTGCCTAGAATGCCTCTCCCCTCCTGCCTTGTAGTGCTTACCCAGAATGCCCTCCTCATGCAAGCCATACCCCATTCAGGGAACCCTGCCTGGCATCATGCTCCAGGCTTCATGTTTTTCTCTCTTAAAATCCCAGAGCCCTTGGTACAAACCCATAGTTTAGCCACTGGCTTTTTTTTCTTTGGAGATGGAGTCTCATTCTGTCGCCCAGGCTGAAGTGCAGTGGCACAGTCTCAGCTCACTGCAGCCTCCGCCTCCCGGGTTCAAGCGATTCTCCTGCCTCAGCCTCCCAAGTAGCTGGGATTGCAAGTGCCTGCCACCACAACTTTGTATTTTTAGTAGAGACAGGGTTTCACCATGTTGGCTGGGCTGGTCTCGAACTCCTGACTTTAGGCAATCCACCTGCCTCGGCCTCCCGAAGGGCTGGGATTACAGGCGTGAGCCACCAAGCCTGGCCACGCTGACTTTGTCTTGATTTTTAATTCCACTCTGCGTTAGTCTGAACTCTCCATCCAAATTAGAGTTTTTTTCTAGTCTCATGGCCTGCCACTGACCTAGGTCAAGCTCTTACTAGAAATAGAACTATTTTAACAGAACTTAACCTGTCTAACAGAGTCCCTCTTCTACTTAGAAACCCTTTACAAGCTCTCAGGTTGAAGTTTATTCTCTTAACTAGCACATACAACTTCTCATGCTCTAGGCTCACTGGCCTTTCTGGCTTCATCTCCTATCCTTTGTCCTCCACCCACCACTACACACAGCTGTGACCCGTCACATGGAGCTGCTTGTTCCCTGTACCTCTCATGTTAGTTCTTACCTTTCAAGTGTCATTACCTAGAATGCACTTCTGTGCCTTATTCATCTAACCAATCTCTATTCATTTTCCATCTTAGCTACAGTAAAAACCTCCTCCAAGAAGTCTTCCCTGATTTGGATACCCCTAGTCTGTGCCTCCAAAGCATCCTACTCCTACTACTCCTAACACTTCTTGGCATATTCATAAGCACGGGTTACTTTGGAAGCAGGGGATGTGTCTTTTTGTATTGTATTGGTATTTTGTATTAGAACAGTTATCTTATGTCTTCCCTACCTAGAAGCCAGTAACGGCTTATCACAGCTAACAAAATCCAACGTCTTCAGTTTAGAATTTAAAATCCTTGGCAATCTGATCTTTATTCTGTGAACAACCCAGTTCTACTTGCTGTTTAGTAAGAGTGTTTCCTTTGCTTTCCAATCCCTAGGTATTGATGCAAACCAGAACACTACCCAGGATGACATCCCTTTGGTCCCCCTTCCCATGTTCTCTTATACATGTCCAACCCATTCCCAAAGCCTCAGCTCAAATCCCATCTCCTCTGTAAAAATATATCCAGACTTCCCTTCTGCCTGAGTCATAATTAATCTCTTCCCCTCCTCTTCTTTTATGACATCTTGACATCTAATTATAGTATTCACTGCTGTTTGCTTTATACTTTTTTTGGGGGGGTGGTCCCTAGTAGATTATGGGCTCTTAGATGATGTCTCCCACAGTGCATATGACATTGTTCATACTCAATAATTGTACTAAACTGAGACCCTTTCATTAGAAGAAGTGCTGAGCTCCAAACCAGCTTCCATTCCAGGCTTGGCTGCTTATAACCTTGGGCAGGTCTCTTAACTTCTGTTGGCTTCCCTTGCCTCATCTCTAAAATAAGATTAATCATATTAAGGATCCTTGAAAAAAATTAATTATTTATTATTTTGAAAGTGTCTTGGGATCTTAGAGATTGGCATTTCTATTTCTGTGGTATCTTTCTTGCTAGAGCTTGCAGTTTTCTTAAAAAGAAACATGCGAAGGAAAGGCATGGTTTATTCCAAGAACGGTTTTTTTCAGAATCTGAAATAATTACATCCTATATTTCAGACAAGGTCATCTTTTACCTTTTATAGCAAATGGTGGAGTCTTGAAGAAACCTGCTTTTCCTACCAGTGACTTTAAAGTGATTACAGTATTTATGTTGAATTATAAAAAGATGAGTAAGTATTCCATCATGCAAAGAACAGGGATTTCCCTGAGGGGAGAAATAAATGAAGAAAATGTTTGAAGCATACCTAAATGTAAATGACCTTTAAAGAAACAGGTTTCCTATTTATCTGTCCTGGTCAAGGCTAGTCGCAGAAACACTTACTTGAGTGATTAATTCATTTTAAGACACTCAAAGCATATCCAAAGTCAAGGACAAAGACACCGAAGTCACTGGCTATAATAACTCATGTTTCATATACATTGACTCACTCAATCCTCACAATACTCCCACGAGATACTCAGGGCAGGTATTATTAAACCTGTTTTATGGTTGAGGAAATTGCAGTCAAGTGCGGTTATGCAACTTGCCCAAGGCCGCTCTGTAAGTAGTGAAGTCAGGACTCACATCGATCCTTTGAATCAAATCCAGGGCTCCTCCTACTCACATCACTACCTCTTGGCCCTGGTGCCCTGAGCACCGTAGACAGGAAGGCAAAGAGAATCAGGTACCTTAGAAAACTTCCTATGCAGCTTCAAGTTCCTCCTCTCAGTGAGGTCCCTGAACTCCTCCCAGAGGAATTCTTGATCCCCCTTTACCCTAATGCTTGTGCTCTCTCAATGTTTAGGTGAGCTTTATTTATCTGTCCCCTTCAGCTCAGCCAGAGTGCCCTTCTCCTCCCAGGCTTCCATCAGCAGCCTGCTGCATGGCAGTAACTTGAATGCATTGGGCAGGAAGACACACTAAGCGCAAGGATGGTGGCATCTCAGGGGATCTCCAGTCTGCATTCACAGCAGTTTACCCTGCAGTTCTCTGAAGAGAGAACTCAAAACCAGAGATTGCAGCTCCTACAGTCAGAGGAGTGGCTCTTTAAAAAATATCGCTGGTCTGGACACGAACCTCCTGACTTTGGTCCCCTCTGTTCAAACCCCTCCACTCTCTCCTGTGTTCCCACAACACCTGTATGTAGCTTGCACCATTCCTCACCTTGGGCCTTGAGCTATAGTTCTCTGCGGACATGTCAGATGTGTCTTATCTCCCCTGTCAGATAATAAGCTTATTGAGGGCAGGGGAAATGTTGATTATTGTGATAACAATAATAGGAAGCAGTATTTATTTATTGAATACTTTTTGAGTGTTAGGTATGGTGCTAAGCATTACACCTAATGGTGTAATCAATCTTCACAACAGCCTGGTGAGGCAGGTATTATGTTCATCCAAATTTTATAGCTGAGTAAATGTAGAACTGGAGCAATTATTTGTTCAAGATGTCACATCTAATACTCATCAAAGCCAGGACCAAGAGTGAGGTTTGTCATTATCTTTCACTGTAACCCCAAATGGCCTGGCAGGGACAACGTAACATTCATTGAATGACAGGACGACCTAGAATCACACTTAGTAGAATGTCATGAACATTTATTCGATTTCGGTAAACTGTTGTATAGTTTAATTTGGACAGCACATATCATAAATAGCTAAAACTTTAAATTAATGTAGTGTTAAATGTACTATGTGCTCAGGTTCGCTCTCTCCGCCGTCCTCTTTCTCTCTTCCCCTCCTCCAGAGCGAAACATCTTTATTTTCTTTTCAATTTATTTATCGAAGAAACTGAAACAGTCATCTTGTAGTGTTTCCTCCACTTTGGATTTTGTAGATTGTATTACATAATCCTCATAACAGTCATATGATTAATCTTATGAGGTAGGTGCTATTATCATCCGTATTTTGCAGGTCAGAAAAAAAAGGCTCAGAATGGTGAAAAATTGGTTTCAGATGACAAAGGACCTGCCCCCTCACTTTTCTCTCCTGGCCTCGCTTCTCACTCTTCCCCTGGTCCCATCCCTCACTTCTCACCACCTTCCCATCCTCTCTTGCTTTCCTCTTTCTCCTGCCACCTGCTTCCTTACTTCATCCTCTTGGTCCCTCCCACCCGCTTCTCCCCCACCTCCATCCTCTCTTTTGCTACCTCCCTTCCATTTGCCCCCTTGCTTCTCTCCTCCTGCCCCCACACACCCATTTCTCAACACCTCCATGCAAAAATAAAAGTGACGTAAGAAGTGATAAGTAAGGACACAAACCCAGCTCACACTGACTCCAGGTCACATGCTCTTTTTTTTTTTTTTTTTTTTGAGACGGAGTCTCGCTCTGTCGTCCAGGCTGGAGTGCAGTGGCGCGATCTCGGCTCACTGCAAGCTCCGCCTCCCGGGTTCACGCCATTCTCCTGCCTCAGCCTCCCGAGTAGCTGGGACTACAGGCGCCCGCCACTACGCCCGGCTAACTTTTTGTATTTTTAGTAGAGACGGGGTTTCACCTTGGTCTCGATCTCCTGACCTCGTAATCCGCCCGCCTCGGCCTCCCAAAGTGCTGGGATTACAGGCGTGAGCCACCGCGCCCGGCCTCCAGGTCACATGCTCTTAACCAGGACAGCCAGCCTCTGGTGTAGCCACACCCAGCAAACATCTGCTAAATGGACATTAGTGGCTTTGCTATAAATCATTTTACTACTTACCACAGAGACAAAAAATTAAAGGAGAATAGCACTTAGATGTTTTATATTCATTTGCAAGTTTTATGAGAATCATAACTAATAGTCAATGTTTGACTAAAGAAGAACAATTCTCTAAAATGACAAACTTAGATATTTGTCTTTAATAAATCAAAGACATCACTACTTCATCATGATTGGCAATTTACAATGCTCTTGAACTCATAAGTTAAAAGGGTAAAATACATAACTTCAAAAAGGATTTGGATAAAATAATAGAGCCATAGTGGTTTATGAAAGGAAGCAAAGGCTACTCATGATATATATCTCATCTTTTAAAATTGTAAATTAAAGTAAAAAATGTTTATTATTGAACATTTGGAAAAAATTTTTAGAGTACAAAGAAAATGAAAGCCACTTACGATGGTCTTACCCTCAAATCCCTCATCTTTTGAGTTGACATATGAAAAGTAGCTAGTCTCTTCTGCCATATGTGAGTTCAGGGATGAAGTCTGTCCTGCCAATAGCAAAGATCTGACCTAGTGTAGAATCTCTAGAGAACTTTTCAGAAGAGGTAGAGAGTATGTCCACAGACAATAAAGCAGGAAGACATTTGAGATAAGAAATACAGAAGAAATCTGTGATAATAAGGTAAGGATCATAAAACCTAGAATTTAAAGCTAAGGAAAAAAAAAGATATGAATAAAAAAAATAGATACTGATACTTACAAGGAAAAAATGAAAAATGAAGACTGGAAAGTGAAAAGGGATGTGGATTTCTGTTTTAGGCAAATTCCAGAAGTTTTGACACTAAAATCACTTAGGGAAACCACGTGCATTTCGAAGACATCTATTTTGACCCATGTAGCATGAGGTCAGGTCACAGGATGAAATGGAACATAAGAAATGAGCTGCAGTTCTTTTTTTTTTTTTTTCTTTTTTAGATGGAGTCTCACTCATCACCCAGGCTGGAATCAGTGGTGCGATCTCAGCTCACTGCAACCTCTGCCTCCCAGGTTCAAGCGATTCTCCGGCCTCAGCCTCCCGAGTTGCTGGGACTACAGGTGTGCACCACCACGCACAGCTAATTTTTGTATTTTTAGGAGACACTGGGTTTCGCCATTTTGGCCAGGCTGGTCTCAAACTCCTGACCTCTTGATCTGCCCGCCTTGGCCTCCCAAAGTGCTGGGATTACAGGTGTGAGCCACCATGCACACCCTGAGCTGCAGTTCATTTATAAAAAGATAGAAGACCTCAGCTCTCCCAAAGATGCCAAGCCAGGGATTAACTGCCACAGCAGGGCTGTATAGTACTTTACAAGCTTGCCATTACAGACGCATCCCGGCCAGGACTTCCCATTTGTTACAGTGTACCCAGATTCCTGAACACACCCACCTGGCCTTCAACAAGGTCACCTCTACCCAGCCATCATCTCATAGCTAGATTCCTCTCTGTAGAGATTTACCACCTCTGGCCTGATGTATACCTCCACTACCCTCTTTTTTTTTTGCCCGGGGAAGAAAGCGGCCTTGCTGACCCTGACATAAATGATCAGTGTTCAGCAGTCCACAGGGCAGATGGAAACAGTTTGACATTACACTGCAACTGGCCCTTCCTCAAACGGAATTCCTTCTGGAGACAGCCGCATTTTTAAAGTTAACCACATGCACATCTGTAATGTGATCTGTGGTGCTTATTATGTTCTTTAATAGATGAGGCATAACAGGTCATAAATAGTTTTATAGGGAGACCTAATAAGCAGGCCTATTTATTTCTTCCAATTGTATGGCCTTTGCTCCCTCCCTTAGGTTATTTCCACACTCAGAGGGCTGAAAACACACGTAGAACACTGAGGCAGGCTGTTGGTTGTTTCTTAGAAGCCAAAGGTGACAGCATGCTCAGCTCTTGAGACACAACCTTGTTGGTCTGATTTTTAAATGGAAACTTACCATACTTCAGTTTTTGGAAGTTTTATTATCATTATTTTTGTTCAGGCAAAATAATCAGTCATACAGTAATTTGGAGATTTTCTATTAAGAGAGGAGAAGAAAAACAGACCACAGCAAAAGGGAGCCAAGTGGGAGAGGGAAAGAAGCACGGAAAAGTTTTAAAACAGATACAAGGGAAGTCTTATCTCACAAACTCACTTCAGCCAGAAGGAAAGAATGCTCTCTTTCTCTCTCCTTCATAAACCCAGCCCAATTTACCCTTTGTTTTTTGAGTTTTGCTCTGTTGCCCAGGCTGGAGTGCAGTGGCACGATCTCGGCTCACTGCAACCTCCACCTCCCAGGTTCAAGTGATTCTCTGCCTCAGCCTCCCAAGTAGCTGGGATTACAGGTGTGCACCGCCAAACCCAGCTAATTTTTGTATTTTTAATAGAGACAGGGTTTTACCATGTTGGCCAGGCTGGTCTCAAACACCTGACCTCAAGTGATCGATCCACCTGCCTCAGCCTCCCAAAGTGCTGGGATTACAGGTGTGAGTCACCGCACCCAGCCCCAGTTTAGTTTTAAAAATTCTTCATTGCAGTATGTTTACAGAAATCCACCCAGGCATATGTAGTTATATATCTTCCTTCCAGAAACGTTTTGCTTTTATGGTTTCAAAAAGTGTACCTGTGGTGTCTAGGCCTAAATAAAATAACTATTTACATTTCCTTAGTTCCAAATCTATATCCATGTATACCCATCCTTTTTACATGATTTTTATCATAGAATATGTACTATTTTGTACTCTACATTTTTAAGTGTGTATTTCTACAAGAGTTTTTTTTTTTCACATCATCAAGTATGTCTTGAAACTGTTCTCCCATGCTTACATTTCAACATAATTTTTTTATTTTAAAGTGATTTAAATTATTATAATATGGAGGTGCAAGAGTTGCTTCAAAGGGAATACCAGCTTTCTCTAGTTTCTAGGTTAAGAGACTCTGCTTTAACTTCACGAGGTCATAATCTCCCCACTCATCAGATTCTGCCCTTTATTCTATGTCCTTCATGCAATAGTTCTAAAAATAAAATGCAAATGTGAAATTTATAGGAAAAAAATACTTCTTAAGAGATTCAGAACAGAGAAAATTGAGGTTATGAACCTGGTGATGCAGAGGAACAGCCACTTGTAATCAGTATGAACCAGAAGGAGAGAGCAGTAATGGCGTCAGTGACTGAAGTTATTAAGAATCCAGAGAATCCAAGAGGATTGTTAGAAGTAGGTGGGAAAAAACCCACAAAAGTTGAAGAGGTTTTTGGAGGCTACATTAAAGCTTTCTTTTGTCTAGAACTTGTAAGTGTCTCTATGAATTAAGAGCATTAACCTCTCCACATTGTTCTCCTTATAGGTAAAATGTGAGGGGGAAGGACACACTGAATAAATTACCTCTTCACTGTTGTCACAGAAATAAAATGACGAAAGTTGCCCCAGATCCCCAATGACTACGTATAATAAAAAGGAATGGCCAGGTGCAGTAGCTGTCACCTATAATCCTAGCACTTTGGGAGACCAAGGCAGATCGATTGCTTGAGTCCAGGAGTTCACGACCAGCCTGGCAAAACCCCATCTCTATATTAAAAAAAAAAAAATACAAAAGTTAGCTAGGCGTGGTGGTGTGCACTTGAAGTCCCAGCTACTCAAGAGGCTGAAATGGGAGGACTGCTTGAGCCCAGGAGGCGGAGGTTGCAGTGAACTGAGGATGCATCACTGCACTCCAGCCTGGGTGACACAGCAAGACCCTGTTTCAAAAAAAAGAAAGTGAAAAGCAAAGGTTAGGCCGGGCGCAGTGGCTCACACCTGTAATCCCAGCACTTTGGAGGCCGAGGCGGGTGGATCACGAGGTCAGGAGATCGAGACCATCCTGGCTAGCACGGTGAAACCCCGTCTCTACTAAAAATACAAAAAATTAGCCGGGCGTGGTGGTGGGCACCTGTAGTCCCAGCTACTCGGGAGGCTGAGGCAGGAGAATGGCATGAATCTGGGAGGCGGAGCTTGCAGTGAGCCGAGATCGCACCACTGCACTCCAGCCTGGGTAACAGAGCAAGACTCCATCTCAAAAAAAAAAGAAAGAAAGAAAGAAAGAAAAGCAAAGGTTAACATATTATGCCATATTCGAGGCAAAGAGTTAGTATCAAAGTTCTTGTTTACAATGGTGAAAAACTACACATTTTAAAAGGAGAGCAAAAAATATTTTTTAAAGTCAGCCTTAAATTTATCAAAAAGAGCCAAACTAGGAGATGGAAAAATCTAATACAATTTTATTATTAATAGTTATCTACTGCCACTTAACAAATTACCCCAAAACTCAATGGCTTAAAAGAACAAACATTTCTTTTCACAGCTTTTGTGAGCCAAGAACCTGGGAGAAGCTTAGCTGGGTGGTTCTGGCTCAGGTTTTGCCATCTAGAGACTTGACAGGTGCTAGAGGGTCCTCTTTCTAACTGTCTCATGCAGCTGTTGTCTGGAGGCTTTCATTCCTTGTGACGGCTCACAGAATCATCTTGTGGATCTCACTTCAGAGCTGGTGTGTAGCTTCACAATAGGGTAGTTGGCTTCCCTCAGAGTCAGTGATCCAAGAGTGTAAGCTGGGGGGAATCGGGATGCTTTTGATCTGCTAGTCACATACCCTTACTTACACTGTATTTTATTCATTAGAAGAGAATCATCAAGGCCAGGCATGGTGGCTCACACCTGTAATCCTAGCATTTTGGAAGGCCAAGGCAGGAGGATTGTTTGAGGCCAGGAGTTCAAGACCAACCTGGCCAACATAGCGAGACCTCATCTCTATAAATAATTTAATTAATTAAAAAGAAGAGAATCATCAAGTCCAGCCCACACTCAGGAGGAGGGGAATTAGCCTCTGCCCTTTGGAGGAAGAATGTGAAAGAATTTGTGGACACATTTTTAAATCATCATATGATAACTTAAAAAACTGTGAGAGGTAACTGGCAGGAAGGGCTTGGGAGGAGCACCAACTTCTAGAACAGAACAGAAAAGCCAGATACACAGGAAGGCTCAGCTCCTACCTTTACTGCTGCCCCCAGAAACAGTACAAGACAGTCAACAAAATCTTGAGGACTCTTACCAAAACCTCCAGATAAAGATAGAATATATGTACTGAGTGCATATGTGTATCTCTCTCATCTTCTGACTGAGAAATGATGGGAATGAATGCTGAAGGAAAAGGGATAAATAGAGAAGTGAGCAATGGCTCTGATGCTCTGAAAAGTATGAGAGGCTCCAGGGTTCCAGACTGAATTAGGAAAACAATCCAAAACCCCCGAGTAATACCAACACTGTTGGGGCCCTGCCCACACCCCTTCAGCATTCACAATTCCTATATCTGGTTTTTGAGCTTCCAACTGCAACCACCTATAGCTGAGAGTTGTTCTGCTTTGTTTTGTTTTGTTTTGTTTTGTTTTGTTCTGTTTTTGAGACAGAGTCTCGCTCTGTCACCCAGGCTGGAGTGCAGGTGGCATGATCTTGGTTCACTGCAACCTCCACCTCCCAGATTCAAGCAATTCTCCTGCCTCAGCCTCCCAAGTAGCTGGGACTACAGGCACGTGCTACTACATCCCGCTAATTTTTTGTATTTTTAGTAGATATGGGGTTTCACCATGTTGGCCAGGCTTGTCTTGAACTCCTGACCTCGAGTGATCCGCCTGCCTTGGTCCCTCAAAGTGCTGGGATTACAGGCGTGAGCCACCACACCCAGCCTCTGAGGGTTCTTTTGATCAGCAGAGCCCATTTGGCCTCTTGTGGGGCAGGCAGAAAGTGCTGGGAAGTTAATGCCTCCTTCCAGCAATGCTCAACCAATGACTGACAACAGGTGGGACAAATATCCAATTTCTCCACTCTCAATTGCAGTAACTCTGATATGTGTTCTGCACTGCCTCCCAGAGATCCCTGGTGGGATTGAGCTGCTCCTATGGCCCACAAAAGTAACCTTTTACTGGCTCACCCTTTACTGGCTTTCTTCCCTTCCCTTCCTCACTTTTTCCACTCACCTACCAGTGCTTCCTGGGACTTTCTCCCAAATAAACTGCTTCCACTCACTTTCTTGTCTCAGGTTCTGCTTCTGAGATAACCCAACCTAAGAACCAATGAAAAGAACAGGACACATGCTCAAATGGGAAGTATGAACCCTGATATAGAACAATTAACAAAATCCCAGAAGACAGAGTAGAGCCCAGGTAATATAAAAGATAGCATACCCATGATTATCTGTAGTATGTTTCCACTTTTATAAAAGTGTCAACCTAAATAACAGAGACAGAGTCTCTAAAAGAAAATTATACCTATTCAGGAATAAAGCATTGCAATGGGAATATGTGTGCCACGTAAACTATACGCATATTCAAGGGGGTAAAGGAAGACGAAGGCTTTTAAATGAAAAATGAGGAGGATTACATAATTGTTTTGAGATAATTTTCCTTGGGTTACAAGGATCAATAACAAGGGTGACACCAGTCCAAGTTTGGACAGGCAGTTGGGGGTAGATATTCTCGCAAAAGTATTTTTTGTGTAAGGTGGTGATGGCCTTTGTACAAGGTTGTGGTTTTTGCAGTCTTTTGTGACAGTTTTTGTCACCAAGTATTTATGCATGTGAACCCTTCTCTCCATGGCCTTCCTTGGCTCTATTTGTCAGAGTTTTTGTTGTTTTTTTTTTAAACACAAGGGACTATTTTTATTCTGACAACTTTTACAAAAGTACTCCACTCCTGTTCTTCAACAAGCCAGCAGCCATCTATTTGTCTATCTTTTATTCATCCACCTGTAGACATGCATAGAAATATGTGTAGGCACACGCACTATGCCATGCTGCCATGGCTGCTGGCACCCCCTGTGAAGCACTTTGGCTGTCACCACTCATTGGAGTGTTGTGGCCAGTAGACCAAGAACACCTTGGCTCCTCCAGTGCAGCAGGTTCCTAATTTCAAAGGGCCAGAGAACAAAGGCAGGGACCTGGTACCAGCCCCACAAAGCTAGAACATGCAAACCAGAGGTGTTGACCTGGGCCTTGGTTCCCTAAAATCTTCCAGTAATGAACTCAGTTGACTGAACCCACCTTTTACCACAATCAAACCCCCAAGGGTATCAAAGAAGATAAAAAGAAAAAAAACATTCAAAGGACAGCAACTTAAAACATTGAAGGATCACCAGCCCAGCCTACAGAGATGAGAAAGAACCAGCTCAGGAACTCTGTCAACTCAAAGAGTCAGAGTGTTTTCTTACCTCCAAATAATCACACTAGTCCCCCTGTTCTTAACCAATCTGAAGTGACTGAAATGACAGACATAAATATTATTCAGATTATGGATAGGAAAGAAGATCATTGACATTCAGGAGAAAGTCAAAACCCAGTCCAAAAAAAATCTAAGGAACACAATAAAATGACACAGGGCAGTAAAGATGAAATGGCCATCTTAAGAAAGAACCAAACGGATCTGATAGAACTGAAAAACTCACTTCAAGAATTTCATAATACAACCACAAGTATTAACAGCAGAATCAACAAAACTGCAGAAAGAATTTTAGAGCTCAAAGACAAGTTCTCTGAAATAAATCAGTCAGACAAAAATAAATAAAAAATAATAAAGAAGAATGAAGAAAATTTCTGAAAAATATGGGATTATGTATAGAGACCAAATGTATGATTCATTGGCATACCTGAAATAGAGGAAGAGAAAGCAAGCAACTTGGAAAACATATTTGAGAATATCATCCATGAGAATGTCCCCAAGTGCACCAGAGAGGCCAACATTCAAATTCAGGAAATGCAGAGAACCCCTGCAAGATACTATTCAAGATGATCATCCACAAGACACATAGTCATCAGATTCTCCAAGGTCAAAATTAAAGACAAAATGTTAAAGGCAGCTAGAGAGAAGGGTCAGGTCACCTGCAAAGGGAATCCCATCAAGCTAAAAACAGACCTTTCAGCAGAAATGCTACAAGCCAGAAGAAATTGGGGGCCTATATTTAATATTCATAAAGAAAAGAAATTCCAACCAAGAATTTCACATCCAGCCAAACTAAGCTTCATATGTGAAAGAGAAATAAAATCCTTTTCGGACAAGTAAATGCTAGGGGGATTGGTTACCATTAGACTTATTTTACAAGAGGTCCTTAAGGGAGTGCTAAATGTCAAAAGGAAAGACCATTACTGGCTACCACAAAAATACACTTAAGTATATAGACCACTGACACTACAAAGCAGCCACACAATTAAGTCTGCATAACAACCAGCTAAACAACATGATGATAGGATCAAATCTGTACATGTCAATATTAACCTTGAATGTAAACAGGCTAAATGCCCCAATTTAAAGGCAGAATGGCAAGTTGGATAAAGAAGCAAGACCCAACTGTATGCTGTCTTCAAGAGACCCATCTCACGTGCAATGACAGCCATAGCCTCAAAGTAAAGGGATGGAGAAAAAATTACCAAGCAAAGAAAAAACAGAAAAAAAGCAGAGGTTTCCATTGTAATTTCAGACAAAACAGACAATAAGCCAACAATGGTCAAAAAGACAAGAAGGGCATTACAACAATGGTCAAAAAAGACAAAGAAGGGCAATACATAATGGTAAAAGGTTCAATTCAACAAGAAGACCTAATTATCCTAAATACATATGCACTCAAAACAGGATGACCCAGATTCACAAAGCAAGTTCTTAGAGACCTATGAAGAGACTTAGAACCCACACACACAATAAATAGAGACATCAACACCCCACTGACAGTATTAGACAGATCATCAAGACAGAAAACTAACAAAGATATTCAGGACCTGAGCTTGACACTTGACCAACTGGGCCTAACAGACATCTACAGAACTCTCTACCCCAAAACAATAGAATATACATTCTTCTCTTCGCCATATGGCACATACTCTAAAATTGACCAACAATCAAACATAAAACAATCCTCAGCAAATGCAAAATAACCAAAATCATACCAAACACACTCTCAGACAACAGCATAATAAAAATAGAAATCAAGACTTTAAAAAAAATCACTCAAAACCATGCAATTACAAGGGAATTAAGCAATCTGCTCCCGAATGACTTTTGAGTAAATAATGAAATTAGGCAGAAATTAAGAAGTTCTATGATACTAATGAGAACAAACAAACAACATACCAGAATATCTGGGACACAGCTAAAGTGGTGTTAAGAGGGAAATTTATAGCACTAAATGCCCACATCAAAAAGTTAGAAAGATCTCACATTAACAACCTAACATCACAACTAAAAGAACTAGAGAAGCCAGAGCAAACCAACCCCAAAGCTAGAAGAAGACAAGAAATAACCAAAATCGAAGCTGAACTGAAGGAAATTGAGATGTGGGAAAACCATACAAAAGATAAGTGAATCCAGGAGTTGGATTCTTTGAAAGAATAAATAAGACTGATAGATTGCTAGCTAGACTAACAAAGAAAACATAAGAGAAGAGCCAAATAAAAACAATGAGAAATGACAAAGAGGACATTACCACTAACCCAACAGAAATACAAAAAAAAATTCTGAGAGACTACTATGAACACCTCTATGCACACAAACTAGAAAACCTAGAAGAAATTGATAATTCCTGGAAATATGCCAAGATTGAACCAGGAAGAAATTGAATCCCTGAACCAAACAATAATGAGTTCTAAAATTGAATCAGTAAAAACAAAAAGGCTACCAACATAAAAAACCCAAGACTAGACGGAATCACGGACAAATTCTACCAGACATATAAAGAAGAGCTGGTACCATTCCTTCTAAAACTGTTGCCAAAACATAAGGAGAAAGGACTTTTCCCTAACTCATCCTATGGGGCCAGCATCATACTGATACCAAAACCTGGCAGAAACACACAGACACATACAAAAACATCAGGCAAAAGATGAACATAGATGCAAAAATCCTCAACAAAATACTACAAAAACAAATCTAGCAGCACATCAGAAAGCTACTCCACCACGATCAAGTGGTGCTTTATCCCTGGGATGCCAGGTTTCAACATATGCAGATCAATAAAATTCATGTCGAACCCAAAAAGAGCCGGAATAGCCAAGGCAATCCTAAGAAAAAAAAAGCCAGTGTCATTTCACTATTTACATTTCAAACTGTGCTACAACGCTACAGTAACCAAAACATCATGGTACTGCTACAAAAATAGATACATGAATCAATGGAACAGAATAGAGAGCCCAGAAACTATGTCACACACCTACAATCATCTGATATTCCACAAAATCAACAAAAACAAGCAATGGGGAAAGGACTCCCTATTCAGTAAATCATGCTAGGATAACTGGCTAGCCATATGCAGAAGACTGAAACTGGACCCCTTTCTTACACCATATACAAAAATCAACTCAAGATGGATTAAAGATTTAAATGCAAAACCTAAAACTATAAAAACCTTGGGCAACAACCTAGGAAATACCATTCTGGACATAGGCCCCAGCAAAGATTTCATGATGAAGATGCCAAAAGCAATTGCAACAAAAACAAAAATTGACAAATGGGACCTAATTAAACTAAAGAGTAACTATCGACAGAGTAAACAGCCTACAGAATGGAAGAAAATATTTGCAAACTGTATATCTGACAAAGGTCTAATATCCAGAATCTATAAGGAACCTGAACAAATTAACAGGAAAAAACAAACAATCCCATTAAAAAGTGGGATGAACAGACACTTTTCAAAAGAAGGCATGCATGTGGTCAAAGGGCATATGAGAAGATGCTCAACATTACTAATCATTAGAGAAATACAAATCAAACCCACAAGGATACCATCTTGCACTAGTTAGAATGGCTATTATTAAAAAGTCAAAAAATAACAGATGCTGCAGAGGTTGCAGAGAAAAGAGAACATTTATACATGCTGTTGGAGATGTAAATTAGTTCAGCCACTGTGGCAAGCAGTGTGATGATTTCTCAAAGAACTTAAAACAGAATTACCATTTGATCCAGCAATCTCATTAATGGGTATATACCTGATATGGTTTTGCTATCTCCTCACCCAAATCTCAACTTGAATCATATCTCCCAGTATTCCCACATGTTGTGGGAGGGACCCAGGGGGCGGTAATAGAATCATGGAGGCCGGTCTTCCCCATGCTATTCTCATGATAGTGAATAAGTCTCACAAGGTCTGATGGGTTTATCAGGGCTTTCTGCTTTTGCTTCTTCCTCATTTTCTCTTGCCACTGCCATGTAAGAGTGCCTTTTTCCTCCCACCATGATTCTGAGGGCTCTCCAACCATGTGGAACTATAAGTCCAATTAAATCTCTTTTTCTTCCCAGTCTCAGATATGTCTTTATCAATAGCATGAAAACAGACGAATACAATACCCAAAGGAATATAAATAGCTCTATTATACCATAAAGACTTGTGCATGCATATGTTTATTGCAGCACTATTCACAATAGCAAAAACATGGAATCAACCTAAATGACCTTCAGTGACAGACTGGATAATTAAAATGTGGCACATATACACTATAGAATACCGCACAGCCATTAAAAAAAAAAAAAATGAGATCATGTCCTTTGCGGCAACATGGATGGAGCTGGAGGTCATTATCCTAAGTGAACTAACACAGGAACAGAATATCACATGTTCTCACTTATAAGTGGGAGTTAAACATTGAATATACGTGGACACAAAGAAGGGAACAACAGATTCTGGGGCCTACTTGAGGATGTAGGGTGGGAGGAGGGAGAGATGGAAAAACTACCCATCAGGAACTGTGCTTATTACCTGCGTGACAAAATTATCTGTACACCAAAGCTCCATGACACACTATTTACCTGTATAATAAACCTGCACATGTACCCCCGAACCTGAAAGTTTTAAAAAATTAAAACTAAAAAAGTAAATAAAAGAAAGAAGAGAAAGAAAGATGTCTAAAGTCATTTCTTATATTAAGTCTAATTATGTCTACGTGGTGCAATCTGGCCTGTTTTTAACCTTCGTATTTGTTCTTTTTCATTATACACATTCTCTATAATAAGCATGTACCATTTTTAAAACAACAATGATGATTGTTTTCTTTAAAAAGCAAGAATTGAGGGAGTGGAAAAAGTAGATATTGATCAAAGGGAACAAACTTGCAGTTATAAGATGAATAATTTCTGGGGACCTAAAGTATAGCATGGTAACTATAGTTAATAATAATGTACTGTGTACTTGAAATTTACTGAGTGGATCTTAAGTATTTTCACCACAAAAAAAGGTAACTATGTGAGGTGGCAGATATGTTAATCAGCTTAGTTGTGGCAATCATTTCACAGTGTATATGTATATCAAATCATCACTTCGTACACCTTGAATATATACAATTTGTATTTGTCAACTATGCCTCAATAAAGCAGAAGAAAAAAAGGTTAGAAAGAATTATGCCAAGAGGTAAGAGTAATTCATTCCAGATGGTGTGAATTTAGATGATTGTGACTTTCTTTTATGACTTTCTGTATGTTTAATGAGAAGCTGTTTATTTTTTCTTCCTTGTTCCTATCAAATCAGTCATGATTTTTAAAATCAATAATACACAGTGTTGATGAAAGACCATGAAATAGGCAATTTTACATGTCACAAGGTAGAAGGAGGTTGCTTTAAAGTAGTAAGTTGGCAAAACTTTTCAGGAAGGTAAATTAACAATATAAATCAGAGGTCTTCAAAACCTTGATGCTTTTGATCCAGTAATTCTTCCATGTATTTAGCTTAAGGCAGTGTTTCCCAAAGGTTGGTCCCAGTATCAGAATCACTCCGGCCCCACCAAAGACATCTGAATCAATATCTCTGGGGCTGAGATCTTGGAATTGTGCATTAACAAGTTCTCCTGATAATACTTATATATACTAAGGCTTAAGCCCTACTGGCCTGGGGAAATGAGATTCATTCATTAATGTTTATTCTCTACAAAGAATCAGGCTCTGTCCCCTGCACTGGGGACATAGCTGTAAATAACACAGAAAAAGTCCTTTGATTCATCTATGTTTTTAGTTTGTTTGTTTTTGAAGCAGAGTCTCCCTCTGTTGCCCAGGCTGGAGTGCAGTGGAGTGATCTTGGCTCACTGCAACCCCCGCCTCCTGGGTTCAAGCGATTCTCCTGCCTCAGTCTCCTGAGTAGCTGGAACTACAGGCACACACTGCCACGCCTAGCTAATTTTTTGTATTTTAGTAGAGACGGGGTTTCACCGTGTTGCCCAGGCTGGTCTCAAGCTCCTGAGCTCAGGCAATCGCCCACCTCGGCCTCCCAAAATGCTTAGGATTACAGGCATGAGCCACCACGCCCAGCCTGTGTCTAATTTTTTTAATAAAAAATTTAACATAAATATATGGATTATAGTAATATTTATTACAAAAATAAGAAGTAATGGTAATATTCAATGCTATTCCAAAGAATGGCAAGGGGACACCTTCATTATGTGTTGTCAGATGAAAATAGTTATGAACCCTTTTTTAAAAATATACATATGTGTTAATTAAAAGACTAAAGGGTAATATATATACACAAAAATATTAATATTAATTTTGGTTATCTCTGAAAAACATGATTATAGGTTATTTCTGTTTCCTTCTTTGTTCTTTTTGGTATTTTCCAAATTCTTGGAATAAACATGAATTACTGACATAATCAGAAAAATATATAATGTTTAAAGAGGTTGATTTAAACACTAGAGAAAATAGGAAATTTCCAGTGCTGGGTGTATCTTTTAAAATATGTTTTGATTTAACAATATTAGCCCATAGTTACTTTTCTTACTGACCTGAAGCTTAGAACATTCTATTCCCATTTTTGTAGCTATTCATTTTCAATTTCAGTCTTAAGGAGGTAAGCTTTTAAATTCTCTATAAAAGGAGAGCTCAAGAAGATTCTTAACATTTAATTTTTCTTTTTTAGATTTTTAGTATTCATTGCTTTCTTTGGCTTTTTGTGTGTTTGTTTTTGAGACAGAGTCTAGCTCTGCCACCCAGGCTGGAGTACAGTGGTGCTATCACACCTCACTGCAGCCTCGCTCTCCCAGGCTCAAGCGATTCTCCGTCCTCATCCTCCTGAGTAGCTGGGACCACAGGCATGCATCACCTTGCCTGGATAATTTCTTTTTTTTAAGACACTAGGACTCCCTATGTCACCCAGGCTGGTCTTGAACTCCTGGGCTCAAGCAATCCTCCTGCCTTGGCCTCCCAAAGTGTTGGGATTACAAATGTGAGCCACTGCACTTGGTCTCTTCCTTGGATTTCAAATATAATACATAATTGTCATGTAAAAATATTAGAGAAATGTAGACTAAAGAAAGAGAAAGCCATAATTCTAGCTCTTCCCCACCCCTAAGGAAACCACTTTACAGGGATGGGTTATGTTCTTCCAGATTCTTTTCCAGATACATATGTATGTATTATGTATACTTTATATCCAGTCATGTGTCACTTAACAACAGGGATAGTTCTCAGAAATGAATGTATCCCTGCTGAAGGAATACATTTTTCATTCTGAGAAATTAAGCAATTTCATCATTGTGTGAACATAATGGAGCATACTTACACAAACTGAGATGGTATAGCCGACTGCACACCTAGACTACAAATATATAATCTAATTCTCCTAGGCTATATATAGCTGTATATATAGATACAGTCTATTGTTCCTAGGCTACAAATCTGTACAGCATGTTACTGTGCTGAATACTGTAGGCAACTGTAGCACAATGGTAAGTATTAGTGTATTTAAACATAGAAAAGACACAATAAAAACGCAGCATAAACGATTTTAAAAAAATGGTGCACTCGTGTAAGGCACTTACCACAAATGGAGCTTACAGGACCAGAAGTTGCTCTGGGTAAGTCAGTGAGTGAGTGGTGAGTGACTGTGAAGGCCTAGGACATTACTGTGTGCTACTGTAGACTTTATAAACACTGTATACTTAGGCTACACTCAATGTATTTTAAAATTTGTTCTTGCTTTAATAATAAATTAGCCTTAGTTTACTGTAACATTTTTACTTTATAAATGTTTAAATTTGTAAACTTTTTGACTCTTTTATAGTAACACTTAGCTTAAAACACTGCTGGACATGGTGGCTCACACCTGTAATCTCAGCACTTTGGGAAGCTGAGGCGGGAAGATCGCTTGAGCCCAGGAGTTCTAGACCAGCCTGGGAAACATAGTAAAACCCTGTCTCTAAAAAATAAAATTAAAAAACCCACACATACACACAAAAACATTGCACAGCTATACAAAAATATTTTCTTTCTATCCTTATTTTATAAGCTTTTTTCCTTTTTTTTTTTTTTAACTTTTTAAGCTTTTGTTAAAAACCAAGACACAAACATACACATCAGCCTAGGTCTAAGCAGGGTCAGGATAATATCACTGTCTTCCTCCTACACATCTTGTCCCACTGGAAGGTCTTCAGAGGCAATAACACACATAGAGTTGTCATCTCCTGTGACAACAATGCCTTCTTCTGGAATACCTTGTGAAGGACCTTTCTGAGGCTGTTTTACAGTTAATTTTTTTATCTTTTTATTTATTTATTTATTTATTTTGAGACGGAGTCTCTCTCTGATGCCCAGGCTGGCGTGCAGTGGCACGATCTCGGCTCACTGCAACCTCCACCTTCCAGGTACAAGCGATTCTCCTGCCTCAGCCTCCTGAGTAACTGGGATTACAGGTGCGTGCCACCATGCTCGGCTAATTTTTGTATTTTTAGTAGAGACGGGGTTTAACCATGTTAGCCAGGCTGGTCTCGAACTCCTGACCTCAAGTGATCCACCTGCCTTGGCCTCCCGAAGTGCTGGGAATACAGGCATGAGCCACTGCGCCCTGCCTACAATCAACCTTTTAATATATATAAGTAGAAGGAGTATACTCTAAAATAATGATAAAAAGTGTAATACAGTAAACACATAAACCAGTAACAGTTGTTTGTTATCATTATCAAGTATTATACAGTACATAATTGTATTGCCATACTTTGTATATGACTCATAGTGCAGTAGGTTTGTTTACAACAGCATCACCACAAACAGATGAGCAATGCCTTGTGCGAAGACACTATGATGGCTACCACATTACTAGGCAATAGGAATTTTTCAGCTCCATCATAATATTTTTGGATCTCCGTCATATATGTGGTTCACCGTTGACCAAAAATATTATGTGGCACATGAGTGTATAAACACGTACACACACCCATATGCACATACATGTATACATATATAATTTTATTTACTTTGATACTTTACACACTGTTTGGACTTTGCTATTTCCTTTTACCAAATGTTTTAGATCTCTTTCCATGTCATGTTATAGAGATGTACACCATCTTTGTAATGACTGTAGTATACAGTTACATTGAATGCAAATATCTTGATTTAATTAAATAATTCCTCTCACTTACACATCATATTTTATAATATTATTGCTGATGTGTAAGAAACCTATTGATTTTGGCATGTTTATAGCCATTCCTGACTTTCTTACTGATATCTCTCATTAAACCTCATTGTTTTTCTTTGTCTTAAATTTTCTAGAAAGACAATCATATCATTTAAAGATCATGACATTTTTTATTATTTCTTCTCAATATCTCCTATCCTATTTCTTCCTATTGTCTTATGCTTTGGGTAAGACCTCCAGAAAAGCGAGTGATAAATGTCACCAAGCATGACCATCTGTATAATTTAGGTAAAAGTTGATATTTTGGGTTCTAGAATTATCGAGAGAGCTAAGTGATCTAATTAACTTGTGCAGACCTGGCCTGAATGTGCTTGTTCTCAAACACCACCTGCTTTCACATAACCTTATAATACACTTTGCAGATAGAGGGTTAGAATGAACCTGTTCAATTGCAGACTGCAAAGTCACAATGAGGAGGTGGCTGGGTGCACTATTGTAGGTGGATCTAATTTTCAGTTTTCCATCTTATACATAATCTTGTTCTATACCCAATTTCCTTTTTCTGCCACCTTCAATCATAAAGTAAAAGAATTAGGAATCCTCCTTTTCTACTGTTTTCATATCTGTCCTATCCCCAGACAGCTCTACTTGCAACTGGATGGTGATAACTTAGGAAGGTAGAGCTGATTCATCAAGTAGCGAAGGGCTTACGTGACTACCTAATATCTTTCTAAGTCTTGGTGACAGGGATAACTATTCGGTAGGATTACTGATATTATTAAGTCCATCTAGAAAGTTGCTTTAAATTGAGTGAGGGGAGGGCAGTTTCATTTTTAAAAATTATTTCCACTTGATCTAAAAATCAGGCTAGCAAGCTGGACTTATTATGGCTTTCGGTGGGTTGCAGGGAGGAAGCAAAGACTGTTTGAGGTCAGCACAATACTGTCAATACCCAAGTTGGAAAGTTATGCTGTTTTTACTTAGTCTCGTCTTGTTCTTAGTAATTGCTTCCTTTCAACCATAAAGTTGTTTAGTGTAGGAGATATATTCCCAGGCTTCTCTTTATATTCACTGCTGCAAGATCCCTTTTTAGCATAATTACAGTCTTGGAATTGAAGAGACAGGCTCACTCTATCTAGCTATGCAGCTGGCTTTCTCAAATGACAATACGATGCTCACCAGCTTAGCAGCATCCAAGGCTGTGAGCCAGGGGGAGGCCCTTATGCTGAAATTTTGCCCTTGCTTTGTCTGTATTTCCTCTGTGAAAATGGAGAAATGGTTTAGAATTTTTAAAAGCACAGAGTTTTTAATTCCCTGAGAGCTTTTAAAGGGACACGCTGAGTTCCAAATGCAGATTTCCAAATCCCAAATCAGAGATTATTCATCTTTACATCTCAAATAGGTATTACTGAGAAAAAAAAGATTTTGCAGTGCTTTTCTCCTTTTTCTTACAATCTTTTCTTTCTGAGAGAAGACTAATAAAATCTAAGCCAGACATGGTGGCTCACACCTGTAATCCCGCACTTTGAGATGCCGAGGACGGCGGATCACTTGAAGTCAGGAGTTCAAGACCAGCCTAGCCAACATGGTAAAACCCCGTCTCTACTAAAAATACAAAAATTAGCCAGGCGTGATGGTGGGTGCCTGTAATCCCAGCTACTCAAGAGGCTGAGGCAGGAGAATCGCTTGAACCCAGGAGGCAGAGGTTTCAGTGAGCTGAGATCGTGCCATTGCACTCCAGCCTGGGCAACAAGAGCGAAACTCCATTTCAAAAAAAAAAAAAAAAAGACTAAATAAAGTCTAAATTTGCCTACCTTCTTTACCTATAGTTGATTCCACATTCAACTTCACTTGAAGTTATTTTCATGATTTGAAATAATTAATAACTTGTTCACAAAAAGTTGTTCACATTCAACCCTCAGTTACCAAGAGACTTAAGTTTACATCTACACTGATTTATCTTCTCAAGAAGACCCGGGCCTCTCTTTTCTTCTACTCAGCTTGCCCAGATGTATTGCCTCCTGCCCCAAGTTCTGTTTGTCCTTCCTTCACACAAATTCATGCACCCTTCCCCTTTCTATCCCAATTATCACAACCTCGGTTTAGGTCTTTATATCTATTTTCCGAACTATTAAAAAAGCTTCCTAAATGATCCTTCTACTTCTAGGCTCTCCCTATCCACACTCTTTTAAAGGTAGGATCAGCCTGTGTATAGCACCATTTAAACTGTAATGAACAAAAGACTTAAAAACTATCCATACATAACAGGTGCCAAAATGAGCACTTGGAATACACGGATTTTGAAAGACACTCTCAGGAATGGACTTTCTGCCCTGTTCAAACTGATGTTTCCCTGAGACAGGTTCCATATAGCAGCAGTTTTCAAATTTGGGGTGGGGAGGGGGAGCTTTTTTTTTTTTTTTTTTTGCCCTCCAGGAAAGATTTGAAGTGTTCGGAGACATTTTTGATTGTTAAAATTGGGGTGAAGGAGGGAGTTACTGGTATCTAGTATGTAGAGGCCAGGGAAGATGGTAAGCATACTAAAATGTACAGGAAAGCTCCCACAATAAAAAGTGTACAGTACAAAATCTCAATGGTGCTAAAGTTAAAAAAGTCTGCACATGTTCATAAATAACTGACACATTTTCTCTGAGTTCAATGCTTCCCATCTCCATATAATCAAATCCTACCATTCTCCAAAGTTTGTTTCAACCTCATCTCTCCCAGTTCTCTCTCAAAGTTCCCAAAGCAGTTCTAATCCAAATTACTCACAGTGGGTCGATCAAGCATTATCTTCCTTTGGAGGTATTGTCTGTGTCCCATGTGCCCTATCTTCCAATACCCTATCTTGTCAGAGCATAGCTGCAAGTCATTGGGCCCATATTCCACTGTATTGCCCACAGCACTGACACACATTACACAATTATTTAATACTTGTTATTCAAAGATGAATCCATCAGCATAGAAACTGACAACTGAAGTGGTCAGAAAAGAAAATGCTGCAGGGCTCAGATTGGGGCAATTAATCTACAGCAATCTTATTGAGAGCAGAGATAAGGGAAATGGGAATATAGAGAAAGATAGGAATGAGGACTCCAGGATGTACTACCTAGAATAAGAGAATTAGAATGTGTATTTACTTTGATATGATTTCTTTTACAGGAAAAAAAAAGAATGTGCATTTAATCAGATTTTTTTTATTGTGGTGAAATACACTCAACCTAAAATTTATCACCTTAACCATTTTTAAGTGTACAGTTGTATGGCATTAAGTACATTTATATTGTTGTGCAATCATCACCACCATTCATTTCCAGAACTTTTCAATCTTCCCCATTAAAATTCTGTATGCACTCAACACAAACTCTGCATTTCCTCCTTCCCCCAACCCCTGGCAACTACTATTCTACTTTCTGCCTCTGTTATTTTGTCTCCTCTAGGAACCTCATCAAAGAGGAATCCCATACAATATTTGTCCATTTATGATTGACTTATTTCACTTAGCATGTCTTAAAGGTTCATTCATATTATAGCATGTCAGAATTTTCTTCCTTTTTAAGGCTGAATAATATTTTATTATATGTATATATCACACTTCATTTATCCGTTCTTCTGTTGATGGACATTTGGGTTACTTCTATATTTTGACTATTGCTGAAATGCTTGTTGTGAACATGAATGTATAAATATCTGTTCAAGTCCCTACTTTCACTTCTTTTGAGTATATATCCAGAGGTGGAATTACTGGGTCTTGTGGTAATTCTGTTTTTAATTTTTTGAAGAATTTCCGTACCATTTTACATTCCCAGAAGCAATGCACAAGGGTTCCAGTTTCTGCACATCCTCACCAACATTTGTTATTTTCTGCGTGATTTTTTTTTAATAATAGCCCTTCGAATGGGTGTAAAGTGGTGTTTCATTGTTGCTTGATTTGCATTTTCCTAATGACTAGTGAGGTTAAGCATCTTTTTACCTGCTTATGGATCATTTATATATATTCCTTGGAGAAATGTCTACTCAAGTCCAACTTTTAATCAATTTTTTTGCTGTTGTTGTTCAGTTGTAGAAGTTCTTTATGTATTCTGGATATTGGTCCATTATCAAATACATGATTTGCCAATATTTTCTTCCCTTCTGTGGGTTGTTTTTGCATTCTGTTAATAGCGTCCTTTGATGCACGCAAGCTTTTAATTTTGATGAAGTCCAACTTAAATAATTTTTTCTTTCATTGCCTGTGCTTTTAATGTCATAGCCAATAAGTTATTGCCAAATCCAATATCATGGAGCCTTTCCCCTATGTTTTCTTCTAAGAGTTTTATGCTTTCAGCTTATACATTTAGGTTATTGATCCATTTTGAGTTAATTTTTGAATATGATATAAGGTAAAGGTCCAACTTCATTCTTTTGCTTGTGGTTATCCAGTGTTCCCAACAGCACTGGTTGAAAAGACTGTCCTTTACCCCACTGAATGGTCATGGCACCCTTGTCAAAAATCATTTGACCTTGTATGAGAGAAATTGATTCTGAATTCTCTATTCGACTCCATCGGTCTATATGTCAGTCTTTACACTGGTACCACATGGGTTTGATTACTGTGTTTTGTAGCAAGTTTGAAAATCAGGAAGTAGGAGACCTCCCACTTTGGTTTTCTTTTTCAAGATTGGTTTGGCTATTCAGACTCCTTTGAAATTCCATATGAATTCTAGGATGATTTTTCTGTCTCTGCAAAAACTGTTGTTGGAGTAGGGATTGCATTGCATCTATAGAGCACTTTAGGTAGTATTGACATCTTAATATTTAGTCTTTCAATCCATGAGCACTGAATATCTTTTCATTTATGGTGTCTTCTTTAACTTCTTTTACAAGCATTTTATAGTTTTCAGTGTACTAGTCAATCAGATTTTTTTTTTATTATTACACTTTAAGTTCTAGGGTACATGTGCACAACATGCACGTTTGAAACATAGGTATACATGTGCCATGTTGGTTTGCTGCACCCATCAACTTATCATTTACATGAGGTATTTCTCCTAATGCTATCCCTCCCCAAGCCCCCTACCCCCTGACAGGCCCTGGGGTGTGATGTTCCCTGCCCTGTGTCCAAGTTATCTCATTGTTCAATTCCCACCTATGAGTGAGAACATGCAGTGTTTGGTTTTCTGTCCTTGTGATAGTTTGCTGAAAATGATGGTTTCCAGCTTCATCCATGTTCCTGCAAAGGACATGAACTCATCCTTTTTTATGCTACATAGTATTCCATAGCGTATATGTGCCACATTTTCTTAACCCAGTCTATCATTGGTGGACATTTGGGCTGGTTCCAAGTCTTTGCTACTGTGAATAGTGCTGCAATAAACATACGTGTGCATGTGTCTTTATAGTAGCATGATTTATACCCCTTTGAGTATGTACCCAGTAATGGGATTGCTGGGTCAAACAGTAATTCTAGTTCTAGATCCTTGAGGAATCACCACACTATCTTCCACAATGGTTGAACCAATTTACCCTCTCACCAATAGTGTAAAAGTGTTCCTATTTCTCCACATCCTCTCCAGCATCTGTTGTTTCCTGACTTTTTAATGACTGCCATTCTATCTGGCATGAGATGATATCTCATTGTGGTTTTGATTTGCATTTCTCTGATGACCCGTGATGATGAGCATTTTTTCGTGTGTCTGTTGGCTGCATAGATGTCTTCTTTTGAGAAGTGTCTGTTCATATCCTTTGCCCACCTTTTGATGGGGTTGTTTGGTTTTTTCTTGTAAATTTGTTTAAGTTCTTTGTAGATTCTGGATATTAGCCCTTTGTCAGATGGGTAGATTGTAAAAATTTTCTCCCATTCTGTAGGTTGCCTGTTCACTCTGATGGCAGTTTCTTTTGCTGTGCAGAAGCTCTTTAGTTTAATTAGATCCCATTTGTCTATTTTGGCTTTTGTTGCCATTGCTTTCGGTGTTTTAGTCATGAAGTCTTTGCCCATGCCTATGTCCTGAATGGTGTTGGCTAGGTTTTCTTCTAGGGTTTTTATGGTTTTAGGTCTAACATTTAAGTCTTTAATCCATCTTGAATTAATTTTTGTATAAGGCGTAAGGAAGGGATCAAGTTTTAACTTTCTACATATGGCTAGCCAGTTTTCCCAGCACCATTTCTTAAATAGGAAATCCTTTCCCCATTTCTTGTTCTTGTCCAATTTGTCAAAGATCAGATTGTTGTAGGTGGGTGGTGTTATTTCTGAGGCCTCTGTTCTGTTCCATTGGTCTATATATCTGTTTTGGTACCAGTACCATGTTGTTTTGGTTACTGTAGCCGTGTAATATAGTTTGAAATCAGGTGGCATGATGCCTCCAACTTTGATTTTTTGTTTAAGATTGTCTTGGCAACGCAGGCTCTTTTTCACTTCCATATGAACTTTAAAGTAGTTTTTTCCAATTCTGTGAAGAAAGTCATTGGTAGCTTGATGGGGATGGCATTGAATCTATAAATTACCTTGGGCAGTATGGCCATTTTCACAATATTGATTCTTCCTATCCATGAGCATGGAATGTTCTTCCATGTGTTTGTGTCCTCTTTTATTTCATTGAGCAGTGGTTTGTAGTTCTCCTTGAAGAGGTCCTTCACATTGCTTGTAAGTTTGATTCCTAGGCATTTTATTCTCTTTGAAGCAATTGTGAATGGGAGTTCACTCATGATTTGGCTGTTTGTCTGTTAATGGTGTATAGGAATGCTTGTGATTTTTCACATTGATTTTGTATCCTGAGACTTTGCTGAACTTGCTTATCAGCTTAAGGAGATTTTGGGCTGAGATGATGGGGTTTTCTAAATATACAATCATGTCATCTGCAAGCAGGGACAATTTGACTTCCTCATTTCCTAATTGAATACCCTTTATTTCTTTCTCTTGCCTGATTGCCCTGGCCAGAACTTCCAACACTATGTTGAATAGGAGTCATGAGAGAGGGCATCCTTGTCTTGTGCCAGTTTTCAAAGGGAATGCTTGCAGCTTTTGCCCATTCAGTATGATATTGGCTGTGGGTTTGTCATAAATAGCTCTTATTATTTTGAGATATATTCCATCAATACCTAGTTTATTGAGAGTTTTTAGTATGAACGGCTGTTGAATTTTGTCAAAGGCCTATTCTGCATCTGTTGAGATAATCATGTGGTTTTTGTTGTTGGTTTGGTTTATGTGATAGATTATGTTTATTGATTTGCATATGTTGAACCAGACTTGCATCCCAAGGATGAAGCCCACTTGATGATGGTGGATAAGATTTTTGATGTGCTGCTGGATTCGGTTCGCCAGTATTTTTTTGAGGATTTTCGCATCAATGTTCATCAGGGATATTGGTCTAAAATTCTCTTTTTTTTTGTTGTGTCTCTGCCAGGCTTTAGTTTCAGGATGATGTTGGCCTCATAAAATGAGTTAGGGAGGATTCCCTCTTTTCCTATTGACTGGAATAATTTCAGAAGGAATGGTACCAGCTTCTCTGGTAGAATTTGACTGTGAATCCGTCTGGTCCTGGACTGTTTTTGGTTGGTAGGCTATTAATTATTGCCTCAATTTCAGAGCCTGTTATTGGTCTATTCAGAGATTCAACTTCTTCCTGGTTTAGTCTTGGGAGGGTGTATGTGTCGAGGAATTTATCCATTTCTTCTAGATTTTCTAGTTTATTTGCATAGAGGAGTTTATAGTATTCTCTGATGGTACTTTGTATTTCTATGGGATCAGTGGTGATATCCCCTTTATCATTTTTATTGTGTCTATTTGATTCTTCTTTCTTTTCTTCTTTATTAGTCTTGCTAGTTATCAATTTTGTTGATCTTTTCAAAAAACCAGGTCCTGGATTCATTGATTTTTTTGAAGGATTTTTTGTGTGTCTATCTCTTTCAGTTCTGCTCTGATCTTAGTTATTTCTTGCCTTCTGCTAGCTTTTGAATTTGTTTGTTCTTGCTTCTCTAGTTCTTTTAATTGTGATGTTAAGGTGTCAATTTTAGATCTTTCCTGCTTTCTCTTGTGAGCATTTAGTGCTATAAGTTTTCCTCTACACTCTGCTATAAATGTTTCCCAGAGATTCTGGTATGTTGTGTCTTTGTTCTCATTAGTTTCAGAGAACATCTTTAATTCTGCCTTCATTTCGTTATGTACCCAGTAGTCATTCGGCAGCAAGTTGTTCAGTTTCCATGTAGTTGTGCGGTTTTGAGTGAGTTTCTTAATCCTGAGTTCTAGTTTGATTGCACTGTGGTCTGAGGGACAGTTTTTTTATAATTTCTGTTCTTTTACATTTGCTGAGGAGTGCTTTACTTCCAATTATGTGGTCAATTTTAGAATAAGTGCGATGTGGTGCTGAAAAGAATGTATATTCAGTTGATTTGGGGCGGAGAGTTCTGTAGATGTCCATTAGGTCTGCTTGGTGCAGAGCTGAGTTCAGCTCCTGGATATCCTTGTTAACCTTCTGTCTCATTGATCTGTCTAATATTGACAGTGGGGTGTTAAAGTCTCCCATTATTATTGTGTGGGAGTCTAAGTCTCTTTGTAGGTCTCTAAGGACTTGCTTTATGAATCTGGGTGCTCCTGTATTGGGTGCATATATATTTAGGATAGTTAGCTCTTCTTGTTGAATTGATCCCTTTACCATTATGTAATGGCCTTCTTTGTCTCTTTTGATCTTTGTTGATTTAAAGTCTGTTTTATCAGAGAGTAGGATTGCAACCCCTGCTTTTTTTTTTTTTTTTTTTTTTTTTTTTGCTGTCCATTTGCTTGGTAGATCTTCCTCCATCCCTTTATTTTGAGCCTATGTGTGTCTTTGCAGGTGAGATGGGTCTCCTGAATACAGCACATTGATGGGTATTGACTCTTTGTCCAATTTGCCTGTCGTGTCTTTTAACTGGGGCATTTAGCCCATTTACATTTAAGATTAATATTGTTATGTGTGAATTTGATCCTGTCATTATGATGTTCACTGGTTATTTTGCCCATTAATTTATGCAGTTTCTTCATAGCATTGATGGTCTTTACAATTTGGTAGGTTTTTGCAGTGGCTGGTACCAGTTGTTCCTGTACATGTTGAGTGCTTCCTTCAGGAGCTCTTGTAAGGCAGGCCTGGTGGTGACAAAATCTCTCAGCATTTGTTTGTTTGTAAAGGATTTTATTTCTCCTTCATTTATGAAGCTTAGTTTGGCTGGATAGGAAATTATGGGTTGAAAATTGTTTTCCTTAAGAATGCTGAATATTGGCCCCCACTCTCTTCTGGCTTGTAGGGTTTCTGCCGAGTGATCCACTGTTAGTCTGATGGGCTTCCCTTTGTGGTTAACTCGACCTTTCTCTCTGGCTGCCCTTAACACTTTTTCCTTTATTTCAACCTTGGTGAATTTGACAATTATGTGTCTTGGTGTTGCACATCTCGAGAGTATCTTTGTGGTGTTCTCTGTGTTTCCTGAATTTGAATGTTGGCCTGCCATGCTAGGTTGGGGAAGTTCTCCTGGATAATATCCTGAGGAGTGTTTTCCAGCTTGGTTCCATTCTCCCCATCACCTTCAGGTACACCAGTCAAACATAGATTTGTTCTTTTCACATAGTCCATATTTCTCGGAGGCTTTGTTTGTCTCTTTTTACTCTTTTTTTCTCTGACCTTCTCACTTCATTTCATTAATTTGATCTTCAGTCACTGATACCCTTTCTTCCACTTGATCGAATCAGCTATTGAAGCTTGTGCATGCATCACGAAATTCTCATTCCACGGTTTTCAACTCCACCAGGTCATTTAAGGTCTTCTCTACACTGTTTATTCTAGTTAGCCATTCATCTAATCTTTTTTCAAGGTTTTTAGCTTCCTTGCAATGGGTTTGAACATCCTCCTTTAGCTCAGAGAAGTTTCTTATTACCGACCTTCTGAAGCCTGCTTCTGTCAACTCGTCAAATTCATTCTCCGTCCAGCTTTGTTCCATTGCTGGCGAGGAGCTGCGATCCTTTGGAGGAGAAGGGGGCGCTCTGATTTTTAGAATTTTCAGCTTTTCTGCTCTGGTTTCTCCCATCTTTGTGGTTTTATCTACCTTTGGTCTTTGATGTTGGTGACCTATGGATGGGCTTTTGGTGTAGATGAACTTTTTGTTGATGTTGGTGCTATTCCTTTCTGTTTGTTAGTTTTCCTTGTAACAGTCAGGTCCCTTAGCTGCAGGTCTGTTGGAGTTTGCTGGAATTCCACTCCAGACCCAGTTTGCCTGGGTATCATCAGCGGAAGCTGTAGAACAGCAAATATTGCACAGCAGCAAATATTGCTGCCTGATCCTTCCTCTGGAAGCTTCGTCCCAGAGGGCAGCTGCCTATATAAGGTGTCCATTGGCCCCTACTGGGAGGTGTCCCAGTTAGGCTACATGGGGGTCAGAGACCCACTTGAGGAGGTACTATGTCCGTTCTCAGAGCACAAACGCCATGCTCGCAGAACAACTGCTCTCTTCAGAGCTGTCAGACAGGGGTATTTAAGTCTGCAGAAGTTGTCTGCTACCTTTTGTTCAGCTATGCCCTGCCCACAGAGGTGGTGTCTAGAGGCAGTAGGCCATGTTGAGCTGCGGTGGGCTCCACCCAGTTCGAGCTTCCCAGCTGCTTTGTTTACCTACTAAAGCCTCAGCAATGGCAGACCCCCTTCCCCAGCCAGGCTGCCGCCTCGAAGATCAACCTCAGACTGCTGCGCTAGCAGTGAGCAAGGCTCCTGCTGAGCCAGGCACGGGAGAGAATCACCTTGTCTTCTGGTTGCTAAGACCTTGGGAAAAGCACAGTATTTGGGTGGGGAGTGTCCCATTTTTCCAGGTAGTCTGTCATGGCTTCCCTTGGCCAGGAAAGGGAAATCCCCCAACCCCTTGTGCTTCCCAGGTGAGGTGATGCCCTGCCCTTCTTCAGCTCGCCCTCCATGGGCTGCACCCACTGTCCAACTGGTCCCAGTGAGATGATCCAAGTACCTCAGTTGGAAATGCAGAAATCATCCATCTTCTCTGTCCATCATGCTGGGAGCTGCAGACTAGAGCTGTTGCTATTCGGCCATCTGGGCAACTCCGAGCATCAGTCAGAGTTTTTAAAGAATGTTATTTTTTTGCAAGCAACATAATAACTGTATAGAAAATTTAGAATAAAAATTATTCATCCCAAATCTCACTTTCCAACAAATCATTTGGCCTCATTTTCCACATGTCTCCTTTAAGTTTTAGCTGCATATATAGATAATTTCAACATAATTATAATCATGTCATGAATCCAATTTTAAACCTGGGTTTCTTCTTTTTTTTTTTTTGGCAGGATCTCACTCTATTGCCCAGGCTGCAGTGCCGTGGCACAATCATAACTCACTCATTAAAGCCTCAAATTCCTGAGCTCAAGCAATCTTTTAACCTCAGCCTTCTGAGTAGCTGAGACTACAGGCATGCAACACCAATGCCTGGCTAATTTTTCAAATTTCTTCATGGAGACAGAGTCTCTCAATGTTGCCCAGGCTGGCCTTGAACTCCTGGGCTCAAGAAATCCTCCCATCTCAGCCTCCCAAAGCACTGGGATTACAGATATGAATTACCACATCCAGCCAGAACCTGAGTTTCTTTAACTTATTATTATATCCTACCCATTTTTCCACATTTTCATATAGTCACTTTAAGAGATTTTTAGTGTGCTGGACCAATAGCAGACTCTGATAGGGGAAAAGACAGCCAGTTCTTTTCTACCCCTTTGGGATGGGGTAGAAATAAAAAAATCCTCTTTTTTTTTTCTCTTTGAGTAGTGAAAATAAATACTTCCTAAGCAAAAATTAAAACAAGAGATTCAAAGACTGCCCCCAGGGAATTCCTTTTGGTTCTTCGATGAGAACAGTCACAATTCAAAATATATTGACTGGCTTTAGCTATGTCTCCTCTGATTCCTCTCGAACCTTAACTCTAAAACATAACATGTAATATTTGCAACCCATCTTAAAAGACAAGAATCCCAGTGCATAAACAACACGTATTTGCTGCACTTTTCACAGTGGATGACGGATATATTTATATCCATCTGCAACTCTTGATTACTCTGAGTTTACTCAGAGTTTTCCATAGATGTTCAGAAATTCTGTGAAACTGGATCAAATCCAAATAGGTTTTCACATGAAGAGCCCATCTTAACAATATTTGATTTTATCACCTTTCTTGTAATGAAAAACTAGGCTGACAGTATTGGGTGTTCAATTGGGAGGTATGAATTAGTAAAGACAGGTTTTGGAAACTTTGCCATGCCAAGCTTTTTAATCAGAGTAGTGAACGTGCCCCTACAGTGAAAGCAGCCTGTCCCCTAGAATTATCTCTCTTCACGTAGTTAGAAGGAGCCTGTACGTACTTGACTGCACCCATGAAAACCCACAGCTTCACCTTTCCTTTCCAAGATTTGTGACATTTCTTAGATAAATTTGAGGACTGATGAAATGTAAGTAGAGGTCCTGGATTCCGCCTTTCTTTAACTGTTCCCTACCTTTTTAATTTTTTTTTCTTAATTTGAAGACCATGTATGTCTAATGAGACTTTCTTAAGATGTTATGAACCAAAAATTTTTGACCAATTCTTTTTCTTCTTATTATTCTTCATCATCATTATCATCATCATCATCATAGACTCTTATTCTAATTTTAAAGCTGTTTATATAAATGTCTCAATAAGTCACATTTTTCTACTATCACTACTTTCTCAGGGTTCAGCAATTAAAACATGGTTACAGCACATACAGTATTCCTTCTAATTAACTTCTGTTTCCCTTCACACTCAGTTTAAAATGAAATATTTTTTTAACTGGAATATATTTTGATAGGCTTAAATTAAAACTTTTTTTAATGCCCAGAGTCCAGCCCTAAAAGATCTGAGACCTTACTCAGATCTCAGAGGTTAAAATAACGAACAACTTACTGAACAGCTACTAGAGAACTCATTAGTTTCACTTTTCAGGCTGGGTGCCAAAGGTGGGCTGCTTCCATCTGTGGGACACACACACACCTTATTGTAGACTGCAAAATGCACATATTTTAGCCAGTCACTTTCAGCATGTTCCAGGAAAGTAGATAGCTCCATTAGGTAATGTCAGAGAAGATAAATATGTTTCAATTACTTGCCAAAAATGCTTAGTGAGCATCAGAGAGATGCATTCTGCTTTCCAAATTACTAAGCAGACTATTCAGAAGTACTGAAACATTCATTTTTCATTGCAGATTCTTGACCAGAAGCCAAGGACAGCTGTCTTCCTCTAACACCCTATGGTGATGCCCACAGGAACTCTCTCCTTTCAGGGTTCAACCCACTAAAAGGTGTGAAAGGATGTGCATTTAGCAGCCCTGACATCTACGATTTGACTGAAGGATTTTAAGCACAGAAACCCATGGATCCCGGAAGGGCCATGATCTACCTTTAGATGCTTTGTCTCAGTAATAGCAATGTGTCTGGGTTTCTCTGCATAAATATACTGAAATAAACAATCACAGTCTGTATGTTATTTGTATGTATAAATATATAAATGTATGAATAGGTATTATGCATCTTTCTGGAAAGTAGGACCTGAATCTAAGTCATGATATAATTAAAACGTGGCATTTCGCTCGATGTATACAAGTGGTACAGTGAAAACATCAACCATTTCTGAAAAACTGTTTTTGAAAATCAACTTCTAGGACTATCTGCATCAGAATTATCTGACTTTCAAAAACTGCAGATTTCTGTGTTTCCCTGAAGGTAGTGTCTTGGAACTTGCTTTTTAACAAACACTCTAGGAAATGGCCTCTTTCTTAAACATCTTTTATCCAAGGAGGACTCCCTGAAAGTCCCCCTGAGAGGGACTAAGTTCTTTTTTCCCCCTTGGTAGAAGGAAAGAATTAAGCATTTACACTGCTGAATTGGTTTAGGCAAAACTACCCATTAAAATAAGGAGCAGTTAGTAGCATTATTATGATGTCTGTCGAGTAAGTCATCTTTTCTCATTCTGGCTTTTCCTCCATTTTTCTCCATTATGCTCCAGCTGTGGGCCCTCAGTTATTCTCACTGATCTTTATCTAGCTCACTAAATGGCAGAGACTAGCCACCATGGCCACTCCATTTAGGGCATGACTAAGTTATCAAATGACTATTGCTTATTAGTAACTCATACTGGGTGACTAGAATCCTAGCTAGATTTTTCCTTCTGACCACTAGGCTGCTTGGGTTGCTATAACAAAATACCACAGACTGGATGACTTAAACAACAGAAATTTATTTACTTACAGCTCTGGAGACTGGAAGTTCAAGATTAAGGTGCCAGTCGATTTGATTTATGGCGAGAGCTCTTTTCCTGGCTTGCAGAGAGCTGCCTTCTCATTGCGTGCTCCTGTAACCTCTCCTTACTTAGTCTGTGTGCTTGCAGAGAGACCTGATGTGTCTTCCTCTTCTTATAAGGGCTCCAACCTTATTGGGTTAGGGCCCCACCTTTATGACCTCATTTAACCTTTATTGCCTCCTAAAAGACCTATGCAAATCCTCACATTGGGAGTTAGGGTTTCAACATGTGAATCTGCGGGGGACGGAAATCATTCCATAGCAGTCCCTTAACTGGGGAATGAATAAATAAATTCTGGTGCATCCCTACAATGACATAATAATCAGCAGTAAAAAAAGGAAGAAACTGTTAAAACACAAAAGAACATGGATAGATTTCAAATATGTTATGCTACGTGAAAAAAACCAGATTAAAAGGGCTACATATTGTATGAGACTATTTATATGACATTGCCTGAAAAAGGTAACCCTAGGGGAACAGAAAACAGATCAGTTGTTGCTAGGGATTGGGGAAGGGTTTAACCAGAAGGGATATGGATAATATCTGATATTACCCTGATATAAGTAAAAATGTTTTGATGTGATGAAAACTGCTCCATATCTTGACTATGGTGGTGGTTACATGACTACACATGTTTGTCAACACTTGCAAGACTGTACACTAAAAGGGTAAAATTTACTACACCTAAATTATATTTCATATTTAAAATAGGAAAGAACCCACCTGTTCCGTGTCCTATATTCTACTGGCTAGTCATCACATTATGTCTGGTAATGATATAACCGTTCTTCCCTACCAAGGTTTTTTCTTTTCTTCTTTCTAAATTAAACAGAGCCTTCCAGGAAAAGTTAATGTCTTAATAAAGCAGTGAATCTCAATGAAAGTTTGGGGAAAGATTTTTTCCATTGGGTTGGGATGTCCTTTGTATAATCCCACAAACCAATGTCACTTACTAAGTCTCCAAGCCCATGAACTAATAATATTGCTAAAAAGGGTAAAATAGAAATCTTTAGAAACAGAGCCCTGAGCTTTCTTCCTTTGAGCCAGCTTTTTAAAAGAATGGACAAAGACATCAAAGGGATCCACAGAGCATGAACCCAACCTTCTCTGTCCTATAGCAACACTTGCTCAGGGCAGGAGAGCTAGGTTTCCTTTCCTCTGCTGATGTCCTCCTCCAGGTCTCCTCTACTCTCTTCATTTTCCTGCCATCTCCCTGGTGTCCACACAGCAGCCAAATATCATTTCTACCATGTTTTGTCATTGACTAAAAGAAAAATGAGCAAAGCCCTTTGTTATAACAACATCAGAAATTTTTTAAAATCCCACCAAGCAAATGAAAGCCACAATCCGTATTAGAACCTGTCTCAGAGGAAACAAGTAGCACAGCATTGATAGGCTGTCAGTTAGAGGATGTGGGAAATGGGCAGGCAAATTTTCTAACACATTATTCCCTAGGGAGTTTCTCCATTTATTTGATAAGCTGTAAACTTTGCTTAAAATAGTTTTGTGGAATCTTCAAAACAAGAAGTTTTGCAGAGGTCAACTTGTCCAGGATGACAACAAACACAACTTTGCTTCAAAATAAAATCATCCACCCTTTTTTCACCTATTAGATTTCTCTCACCACAGTATGCAAATAGTCAGCTTTGCACACTGTGGAATGATGGGTGGGAGTCTGTTACCCAAACAGTTTCCAAGCTGGGGAATTCATTTGAAAATTAGATGGGGCTGGAAGAGGGGATGTGCATATGGGCACAGTTGTTGGAGGAACTGTGGACCTCTGTTCTGCCCCAAGAACCCAAGCCTCAAGACTTTACTGTGAGTCTGAGGACTGTGTGTGTTGGGGCTGGCCTGCACAGGAAGAAAGCTAAGCTATTATTAAGAATAGCTCTGCAAGATAGTTAGGATTCAGACTTGTCTGTCCACGCTTGCTGCTCAATCTCTGCAGCTGCAGAAAGCAGCCCTGCATTGTCTTTGTCAGATCTGGGCGCCCAATGAAACCCAGGAAACCATCCATTCCTCCCCACCCCTCTCAGCTAGTCACTCATGCCCTATTTTTAGGATTCCTTAGCAACTGAGCGGCCTGTTATTCCATAACTAATATTCTGCATTCCTGATCCCATTACTACGCTTACCACCCCACCAAATACATGCTGTATCATCATCTGCAAATTCTTTCAGGGACAGGAAAAGCACAATCATCAGGAGCTGTTCTTTGCCTCATCACTCCTGGATGCAGGAAATTCTTCCTAGCTCACCCTAAACTCCTTCTGATGAAGTCGAATCCTATTACTATCTCTCCATCTTTACTAGAGATGAGAATAGCCAAGCAACATTCTTTTTATAAAAAGCTTTCACTTTATTTATTAAAAACAAGAAGGGTGAGCTGAGTGTGATAGCTCACACCTGTAATCCCAGCACTTTGGGAGGCTGAGGCAGGAGGATCGCTGGAGCCAAGGAGTTCAAGACCAGCCTGGGAAACATAGCCAGACTGCCCCTCTCAAAAATAAATAAATAAAAATTAAAATTAATTTTCTGTATTTGAAAAAGCCAGAGGACAAGAGAGCTGCATCTTTCCCACTATGGCCCCAGTATGGAAAGTAGGGGGAGAATTTATATTCTGAGTCCCTTGGCCTAAGGAATTCTGCCATTTTCATTGTAAACCACAGAAGCATTTGTGCTACTGTTGTAAGATGTTGTAACATAAGGAGGTGGGGGAAAATACTCTGCTTTTTTCAACTCTGGATCATTTTTAATTATTCAGTCTTGGCAGGTCTACTTCTCACCATTATTCCTCTTACTAACAACTTGTTTCTAGTCTTAGCTTGGTGGGAATGTTTGACTGTGTGATATATTTTGGGAAAATCAGCTAGAGTCATTGAATGTACAAATGAAGAAGCTCATTTTATAGATATATAAATTAATTTAACTTAGTGCTATCCTTTAAAAAACTAGTCTATTTTCCACAAGAAAATCCAAGTTTAAATGTATCATATTTATTACAAACGCTCTTTTCTGACAAAAAAGATACTATTTTTCTTTTACCATGAGAACTTGATCATAGCCAATGATGCTACAATGAGCTTTCAACAAACACCAACGTACTTTCAAGTCAGAGCAGTATGGGTTCTAGAATCACTGACATAACTTTGCTTCTGTTTTCCTATGGTAGCTGATATGCTCCACTGAAGAATTTGTCTTTGGTAGAGCCTGAAGCAGAGCATTCTTTTGGGACAGGCCCTTCATTTTCTTGCCAACTATTTGCAGCTTTGGCTGTTCAGTGCAGAGCTCATATCACTCTGGTATTAAATGGAATGATGTAAGTAATTTGCATTACTATGAGCTCTAAACTCTTCGGCCCATGGGTTCTAAACTCTTTTGATATATATTAGAATATATCTTGTCTTAACATTAACTTCAGCCAAATAAACCAAAAAAGAAAATAAAGAAAGTTATCATGGGATTCTGGGAAGGTTAGACACACTGGTTGGCTCAAAGAATCTCCTTCCTTTTACCTAGAATATTACATATGTCCTAACAACCCAGTGAAGTAGGTCACTATTATGACTAATGCCCCTGAAGTTAAGGTATGTGCAGATTTCACACTGCACTCTACAATTTTGCCATAAGAATCTGTCTTTTAGACATTGTCATCTGCTCTTCAGAAATACTATGGGTAAATGTATTCCAATAGTTTCATCTACATTAATATACTTTTTCAAAAAAATGTGTATTTTAATTCTCATCTAAACCTACCAAATGATGTAAATAATTTTCATTGTTGTCTAAGATAAGCCAAAAGGACCACTTTTGCCTCAGCCATCTATGTGTTTGAACAAAAGTACAATTTTGGTAGAATTATTTAGACGATTTGCCTCAATTTTCAGAATCATTTTGACCCTTCTGATGTTTTGGTAGTTTTAGCCATATGCTACACTGGATGACTTGCACTGTGGGGACCAAGTGGTTCTCTGGGGACCTTAAGGACCCAGAGGTCTTTGTTCCTCTAAAGGCAAAGAAAAAGCTTTCAGCTAAGGAGCTAGAGGCAGAACGGAAAGACTAAATCACTCCAATGCTGCTGTCCTTGCAGCTGCTCTCCCTTCTTCAAGCTTTTCAGCCCAGAACAAGAATCCATCCAAGGTCTGGTTAGATGTCTTTGTTTCAGGAAGCACAGAGAGGCTGATTAATGGAAACAAATATACAGTTTGATAGAGGAAATAGATCTAGTATTTGATAGATCAGTAGGGTGACTATAGTTAACAATAATCTATTGTACATTTCAAAATAGCTAGAGGAGAATAATTTGAATGTTTCTAGCATAAAGAAAAGACAAATATTTAAGGTGAGGACATTCCAGTTACACTGATTTGATCTTTTGAAATTACATAAATGTATTAAATTATCACATGTACCCCAAGGTATGTACATTTATTATATACCAATTTTTTAAAGTAAAAAGAAAAGGAAAAAAACACAGAGAAAGAGAAATTCCAGGCTCTCTATGGATGCTTCTCCTAAATTCCCAGCATCAGAATTTGATGTTTCTAAGTAATGTAGCCCTTGTCTCTTCTCCCCTCCCCTGGTCCTTTCTGCCTCTGGCCAGCAGGAGCAAATGATGGGCATCACATGTCTCCAACCACAGTCTTTTGTTTCCTTACAAAAGGCAGATCCAATGTCCTCTTTGTTTAGCACCTGAAACAAAGCACCTGAAAAGCAGGTCCATAATTGGGATTTGGGGCACTGGACCCAGAAACAATACATCAGGGTAGTTCTTTATGGTGGAATTTTGCTAAAAGGTTCTGTTTCATCTTTATATGAGTATGGTAGACTAATTTGTGAGATAATATTTTGGCCGTAAGCACATTTTCTGCAAGTAAATAAGAAATCAGGTATTACACAAGTGACTTTGAAGCTACTGCTCTGTGTTCTCTTTGCTATCAGTTTTAATAACTGTTTTTAAGACACCATGTTTTGAAAAGAGCTTTGTTTTTCTCAGCTCTTTCTCTCATCTGCTACATTTTGTAAGAAAGCCATAATCTCATGTTTATGATATTAATTATTGTGGATGTTATGTTATGTTATCAATGCTGTACTGAGACAGTACGGGTCAATAAAAGGATTTGAAATATGAGTATTAAACTACAGTAAGCATTTTTAAAAAGTAAAACGTCTCATAAATAGAATCAGTTTTAGAATTAATACATACTCACCTTTGTACTCACTTATTGTTTAGCTGTAGGTACATTTTAAAGAATTAGGCCAAAGCAAACTCTATTTGAAAACACCTATTATTTGGAAAATGAAATTATATACAAATGATAAGATTATTATATTTTAAAGTAACCTCCCTTGCATGTCTCAGCATAAAGTATTTTTTTATGAAAGTAATTGACCTCTCTTCCTCCTCAGAATACTAGATAAGTACCACAGGTTGTGGGGGTGTGTGTGTGTTTAATTAATATGAGAGGAAAGACAGAGCCCTTTAATAGAAGACTCTTCTGCCTTAAATAATAATTTTCTTAAAGCCTTTTATTCCTGCCACTTGAATGAAAGGAAAGAATGCCTTTCTTTCTTATCATCTCCTTGCTTTCCTGGTTCCTCAATTACCAGCTCCCAGCTCCTACTTCTTCTGCCATAGCAGACTATATTGACATGGCTCCATTACCAGCAGACCACTCCCTCCCACAATGCACCACAGTGCTTTCAACCCACTGGATTTCCCACAGGTCAAATTAGAAAGGACTTGGATCAGAGAAGGGCACTTCTCATGGGCCATAATGTGAATTTTGACTAATGGTAAATGAAGGATGAAACTAGTTTGAGAAGAAACATGTCAGACAAGTTTTCCTCAGATGGCAAGCTAATGTTTTTACAGCATTTTTTCCATCATTACAGTTCTCTCATTCCTGTTTTGATACCACCAACTTGACTTATTGCCTGATTCTTGTCCCTGGTTTTGCCTCTTTGTTGCTCTTTTTCACTCTGTCCTCTCAGTCATCAAAGGAGAGGGAAAAGCAGTCTATTTATTTGAGAGATTTCACCTAGATTATTCAGCAAATGCTTTCATTAGGCTGTATTTGTCAGTCCACTCTCTTATCTTATTTTCCTCAGTGAGCTCCTTGAAGTTCCCTCAGTGAGCTCCTTGAAGGAAACTCCTATTTTTCAACATATGACTGGCTGTAATTTTTCAACATTACAGGCTGGCACTTAGCATATCATCAGTGCTTAATAAATTTTTTTTTTTTGGTCATACAAACTTAATTAATAGGATGTGTAATGTGTCCTGGCCTCTGAAAAAACTGTGTCATCATTGGGCTATTGTCAGCTGGGAGAAGTTGAGAAGTCCTATGGACTCTGAGGCAAAGGCACCTCCCACTTGCTTGGGAATGATGGGTTGGAGGTGGTGAAATTATCAGTGATCAAAGACATGTCTATTGCTTCCCATTTGCCCATCAAAAATAAGCCAAGGCCAGCAAGAATGAAGAGTTGCATGAGTCATCAGACGCTGGTGAAAATGATAGAATTTGAAGCTTCAAAGTAATCCATAAGCTTAATCAACAAAATACTAAATTTTGCTAGTGATAATGCTAAAATTTAGCTTTTTGCTATTATTATTAAGAAAAATAATAGTATTTTGAAATGAGGCACTTGATTGCACCTAGGTCTTTGTTTTCTTTGTAAGATTGCCTAAAACCTATCTGCTGCCTGTATTTAAAGGAGTAGTTACAACGTCCCTCCAGCCTCTCTGTAGGAGACAGAGACAGGAAATCTGCCCCAGGTCTGTGTGTGGGCTCCACAGACACTGCCAATACAGGAGTGCTGAACTCACAGCTGAGTCACATTGCTGTCCACACTACATAAATTATTTAAGACTTCAAAGGGAGAATATGATAGTGTAATGAATTTAAAATTCACAATGTACAACTGAAGTGAGAAGAAATGTATTTTAGTTTACTTCTCCATAGTGGAATTCAATTTAACTTTAAAGTTTCCATTTTCAACGACAGAGGTAAACTCAGCCTTGTCACTCTCAAGGTAACTGTGTCATTGCAGTTTCAAGGTTAGTCTCTTGGAGTAAATATTCAGTCAAATTAAAGATTTAAGCTCAGTAAGTTGGAGCTCAAATTCAATACATGAGCTGCAATCCACTCTCAAGGATTCTCGTCTTCTCTTTCCCCTCAGGATATATCTGTGTACAGGGGTTCGTCTGGCTGTGCCCCAGATGCTTGTGTCCTTGCTGCAGCTGAAGGTTTTACAGCTGGTAACTTGTAGCCTGTTGTCTAAATGTGATAAAGGCCCACTATGGCCACCCCCATTCAGCCCCTTCTGGCTCAAATGAAGCTTGGAGACTCAACCTCACATTGATCTTTTCGGCTTCCCACCCTAGAGCCTGGGCTATAGGTCACCATGCTCCAAGGTGAGATGGCCCCTGTCATGCCTATTGCTGGACCTATTGGAAAGCTCAGTGTGCTTCCGCCATGTTCAGGCTGTGGGCACTGTGTCCAGCCTTCTCTCTACTTAACCTTCCATTTCTACTCAGTTTGGCAAGGAGCACGCTGTCGGGTGATTTCCTCCCAGGGTTCCAGAGAAGAGAGTCAAATGTTCCCCCTGCTCTAGGCTTTCCAAGTTCATCTAGGGGTATCTATCTCCTACAGCGAGGCTGCGGAAAGGTTGTAACTACTTCAAATACAGACAGCAGATAGGTTTTAGTGCAATCTTACACAGAAAGCAAAGATCTAGGTGCAATCAAGTCTTTTATTTTAAAATACTACTCTTTTTCTTAATAACAGCAAAAAATCTAAATTTTGGCATTATTCCTGGCAAAATTTAGTATTTTCTTGATTGAGATTATAGATTACTTTGGAGCTTCAAATTCTGTCATTTTCATCAGCATCTGATGACTCATGCAATGCTTCGCTCTTACTGGCCTCAGCTTATTTTCAATGAACAAAAAGGCAGCAATAGAATCTCTTTGATCACTGATAATTTTATCACCTCTAAGCCATCATTCCCAAGCAAGTGGGAGGTGCTCCTGAAAGAAAGTTGTGACTGGGAACTAGGCCAGGACGCTTTGGAAATGGGGTGGTTGTAGGGGGATGGTAGGGCACATTGAGGCCAGAAAGATACTTTTTCCTCAACAGTGAATGAATTGGCTACATTGTCTGGAAGACCCTCAAGTGTCACCAGGAGCTGTGTTTCTTGAGAGCAGTGTCCTGAGGCAGCCAGCCTGAGTCAACTTGAAATTCTATGGAGACCTGGAAGTATCTTTGGTTTCCATGGCCAGAGGCACAGAACACCTGGAGCTTCCCCCTTCTCCACTTCCTGCCTCCTAATCCCCACCCCCTGTGCTGACAGTCTGCTTTACACTGGTTCACTACCACTGTCATGTTTGTAGTGTTCGGCATCATGAGACATGCCTGAAAGAGATTATTATGGCAAAGATAAGGACAGGCAGCAGACTACTACATGTGTAGTTCCAAAGTGAAATCATCAACCTCCATCTGACTGACCAAGTTCGTTACATACAAGGAGAACTAGAGTGGTTGCCTACCTCTAACCAGACACAGAAGACTTTGGTCTGCAGATGGCAACAGAGTCCACACCAGAATCCAACTTCCACCCAAAGCCTGGGCAACATCTAGTGATGCTGCTGCTGCTCTCCTGGTTTTAGCAGGAGGATTTTCTTTGTTGTCCCCAGTCCCATGACACAGCTCCCCTGTGTCTTGGAGCAGGGGTCTCCTGCAGTGTGTACCCCACAATGGGGCTTGGAGCTTAAAAAGTCCCCATCTCCAGGCAGATTGACTTCAGATGAGAATGAGAAGGAAGCCTAAACATTTCAGGCATGAGATGCTGTGCCAATTATCAATTTATTACCTGTCCATTCTGAACTCACCCTTCACTGCCTGCTCTGCAATAATGGAGTTAGACTCAGTATTTCTCTTCTGCTAGTTAGCATGATGTTCGTCGGTAGAGGGTGCTAGAAGGTCACTGGAGGAAGAAGGGATTTCTTGTCCTTTTCTGGTGTGCACCTCTCAGCAAGCTCCTACAGTACCCACTGGCTTACACAGCATCAGCTCCTCCAGTGCACAGGGGATAGCAGTGTCCAGCAGCCAGCAGTAAGTGCTACCTCCCCAGGGGCATCGTTCCCTATCACCTTCTCAGGCTGCTTTGCAATGGAGTACCCTAAGCTCAGCACTTCCCCAGAAATGTCTCCCCAAAAATCCTCTCACAGAGCTTTGCAATGAGATCCAAGGCATGGCACCTCCCCATGGGGAGCTTCCCCTGGTAATCTAGAGGGTGGATTCCCAGGTAGTCCCACCAGCAGAGGACCTCAGCAAACCTCTTCTCCATCCAGTGAGCCATGGTTGCACCCTCTACCAATGAGGTCTGGATCTGGATCTCAGCCCAGGATGGAGGAGTCTCTTCCTTGGATGCTCTAGCTCAGCCCTGAGTTGTAGCTGCTCTCCATTAGGTTGCTTTCGGCCTTAAAGTTATTTTTACCTTTGACTAGCTAATCTCCTCTTACTCTAATCTTTTGTTAAAGTTAATAGTTCTCTATTTCAATTTCTGATGTTCAAATTACTATGTGGTGTCTGTCTTCTGATTGAACTCCGAACTAACACCAATGCCAAAATGCAAACATACACAGCTACACCTGCTCCTAAGCCCCCTGAAGATAAACACACACACACACACACACTTTGAAATAGGGCAGAAGAGACTTAGGAGACTCATGTGAGCTCAGCTTTACTAACAAAAGATATTTTCCAAAAGGAAGTGAAAAGCACCTAAGAAGGCAGAGTGAAACTTAGACCACACACACACACACACACACACACAAAAAAAAAAAGAAACTGCCCAGCCCTCTTCAGGAACATAGAGATAGGCACTAAGTTGCCATCCATGGAGACATAAATGAAGAGCTACTCACTCACTGCTTTGCACTTTATAAGGATGTTGGAAGGTCTTCAAGTCAGAGGGCAGAAATAAAGCCCAGGACTCACCAGTGAGCCCTCAAAATATGAGTTCTATTCTACTGATGGGGAATATTGGTTAGCCCCTTAATCCTGAATCCAGTTCTGCCTCATTAGACAAGGAGGAAACCCCGGGTCCCTGGTGTCTAGGACCCCAGACTACCATCACCCTGCTGCCAATAGTGCTTCACCCAACTCCCACTGCCCACTCTCTTGACCCACAAGGCATACCTGGGAGTTGACCCAACCCTTTTATCAATCCGGCCTTCCCATTTTTCTTTGGCACCATCCCTGTGCTTTGGGTTTTAGGGGTTTTAGTGCCTTCCTTTCCTCTTTTCTCTTATCTCATCCTCCTTGATGGGGGGACTGGAAGAGGCACAATACAATTTCTAAATATATTTGTTTTAAAAAAACACTATAAATAATTATGAGGTAGAAATCATAAAAGCATGGGTTCAAAATGAATAAAAATGCCAACTCCCATAATGTTATGTAAATAGGTACTTGTAGCTTATGATAAAATTGCTGAAGACAGCTTCTTGCTGGGATTCAAAAAGTGCTGTATTTCAAATAACAGATCGAATGAAACAAAGCTGATGTGCTTGGAAAAAACCGGGGTAAGATGACACCAGCGTGGTTCTAGTGTTGGCAAAGATTATAATGCTGAAGATACATGCAAGGAACTTAAGTAAAACTAGGTCATAATATGTGAGACAGAAAAACTCTAGAACATTCTTAAATGCACATGTCATTTTATATGATATGGGATTTTAATAAATAATAGTTAATTATAACAAAGTTTTTAGAAACAGACATTTGACTGTTTTGACTATATCCTTAGAAGTGTGTATTGTTTCCAAGTTGGCCTATCATTTTTTAGTCGCTTTTTTGGAAAAAAAAAAAAAAGGAAGGTCTCCTCATATTCAGGATTGCCTAGTGTTCAGGCACATGAGGACTACCATGAGCCTGGTAGCTAGTAGTCAGACAATAACCTGTCTCTTTCAGTTCAAGGTAAAGCAAGCCTATGCTTGAGCCTCCCTCAAAGCTTCCTGCTTTAGGAATTTACTCATCTCTCAGAACTGGTGAGAACAGTGTCTGGCTCTCTGAGATACTAGCTTTCCTCCCTAGAAAAGTAGTTGGTAGCCCCTAGCATTGAAGTCTCTTTTAAAAATTCGAACACAACCCATATACATACATACGGTTAATTGGCTTTCAACAAAGGTGCAAAATCAACTCAATGGAGAAAGAAGATTCTTAAATGATAATCACAAATGATTATGGAACAATTGGACATCTATATACTAAAAAAGAGAGAACCTTAGCCCTTATCTTGTACCACACACAAAAATTAAGGTAAAAATAGATCATTAACCTAAATGTACAACATGTAACATGTCTAGAAAAAGTCACAGGAGAAAAATTTTGTGACCTTGGGTTAGGCAAAGATTCATTAGATACAACACCTATAACATGATCCACAAAAGAAATAAAAGCTGATAACCTGGACTTCATTAAAACTTAAAACTTCTACTCTTGAAAAGACACTGTTAAAAATATAAGCTACAGACTGTGAGAAAATATTTATAAAATACATATTCATTAAAAGACATATTTCCAAAATACATAAAGAGCTCTCTCAACTCAGTAGGTTTTTAAAATCCCATTTAGAAATAGGCAAAAATTTGAACAGACACTTCAACAAATTAAATACATAGATGGCAAATAAGTACATGAAAAGATGCTCATCATTTAAGATATGTGATTGGCAGTTTCTTATAAAGTTAAATATACACTTACCGTATGACCCAAAAATCCCATTCCAAGGTATTTACTCAAGAGAAATGAAGACATATACCCACTCAAAAAACTGTACACAAATATTTATAATGGATTTATTAATAATCACCCCAAACTGAAAACACCCAAATATTTTTCAACCAGTGAATGGGTAACAAACAATCGTACATCCGTATAATGCAGTAAATAGACAGGAAATACTAAACATGCAACAACACGGGGGAATCTCCAATACATTATGCTAAGTGAAAGAAGCTGGACTCATAAGGTATAGGACAGTCTGCAAAAAAACAAAATAAGAGGGATAGAGAAGTAATCAGTGGTTGCCAGCAGCTGGAAATGGGGAGGGGTTGACCACGAATAGGCTCAAGTGAACATTTGGGTATGACAAAAAAGTTCTATATCTTGATTGTGGTGGTGGTTACATGACTGTCTGCATTTGTCAAAGCTTATTAAACTATACTTTTAAATGGTGAATTTTGCTGTGTATAAATTACAGCTCAATTTAAAAAAACAAAAACAAAAACAAAAAACTCTGACCCAGATCACTGTGGTCATTGTTGGTGGAGACTGCTGGCCTCTTAGCTCTCTTATGAGTGGGGTTACCAGCTAATCCCTGACATATTTGTGGTTCCAGGACTCCTAAAGGGTTGTGCAATGGTTTGTCTCCTTTCTCAAAGACAGCTGCTGGCTGATGGTAAAAGATAAAGAGAAAGAAAGATGTACACAGGCAAGTCAGGGAGAAATTTATCTTTCTTTTCCTTCCTGTCTTTCTTTTATATTCTTCCTCCCTCTTCTATTTCCTGCAGCCCTTATTTTTCTTTCACTTACTTTTCCTATTTATTCATCAGCTGAAACCTTGCTGAAAGGGATTAGCTGGGGGCTAAGTCGAGTAGGGCAAAAGGAAGCATTTGCTTCTAATCAGTAGTACACTGGTAAATGATTAGTAACCAGCTCTCTGAAACACCCACACACACACACAAACACACACACACACAAACACACACACACACAAACTAAAGTTTCTTTTAAATTTTACTGATATGAAGAGTATATAGCACAGGCTGGGTGCAGTGGCTCACGCCTATAATTCCCAGCAATTTGAGAGGCTGAGGCAGGTAGATCACTTGAAGTCAGGAGTTCAAGACCAGCCAAGGCAACATGGCAAAACCCCATCTCTAATAAAAAAAAAAAAATACAAAAATTAACTGGGCATGGTGGCACACGCCTGTAATCCCAGCTACTCAGGAGGCTGAGACAGGAGAATTGCTTGCACCCGCAGGCAGAGGTTGCAATGACCCGAGATCATGCCATTGCACTCCAGCCTGGGCAACAGAGCAAGATTCCATCTCAAAAAAAAAAAAACAAACAAAAAGAAAAAATAGAGAAAAAAGAGTATATAGCACATAGTGTATAAATATTAGCAAAACAGAAAATGTTCTTTAATGTGACTTTCATATAGCCAATAATTCTCCTGATTTTTGCCCATGATTGTTTCATTGATTTTTGCTGAACTTTTGTATCTGTAGCCAACCTATCATTATAAATAACAAACAAGTGTAGTTTTGACAAGAATCCTGGCTGATATTTTCTTAGTCATTAATGAGTAAGATGAAAATGAAACAACAAAGATATATGTTAGAACTTTATTTATTTGTCTATAATGTGAGCGACTTGGAAGAATTTGATAATGGTTTTTAAATACCGGAATAATATTTCCTCAATCTGTGTGCTATTCGCAAAGTAAGAGCAATAGACGTGACACGCTTTTAACTTTAATGTACAGCATTAACATTTTCTCCATCACTAGACTATCAACAAAACAATAAGTCAAGCCCAGATTTTGAGCATTTCTTGAGTTCCCTGGTGTAAATGCTCTCGCTCTGGCCAATTTCAAACTACCAATGTGACATCATTGAACTTAGTGTTTTGAGTAGATGTGCCCTAGAACATTATACAGTTTTTCCACCATTTAGATACAAGAGATGGAATGGCATCAGGAGCATAGGAAATGGTTAAATGTGAGAAAATGATTTGAAAGTGATGAGTTTTGAGTGCTTATTACCTTTGTTTTCAATATAATTTATTGAATTGCAATTTTATATTATTTAATTTTTAATAATAGCTGTGTGTAATTGCCAACTCATAAAATCTCTAAACTGACTTTCTCTCAGTTCTTTAAGCTGGTTCCAGTCTACTAAAGATCTTGGTGCAAGTCTCTGGATCCCTCCCCAACCCCAAATGACGGGGGAGCTGTAGCAGCATGAAGGGAGAGCGGATGCAAACATATGTTGTTTCTCTTGAGCCCCACCGCTCTCAACGTGCTGCTGGGGCTGCTTTGGTCTTGTGGGATGTTCCCCTGAGCTACTCAGACTGGTTGTTAGGGCGGATTATCAATGTCATCAGCCAAACCATAAACTGTGTCAAGATATTGATGTGAATTTCAGTGAAATAAATGATTTGGTTTTCTTTGTTAAATTTTATTCATTAAAATATGCTTTTATAAAATGAGGATTTATTGTAGAGGGCAATATTGTTATTCTGAAATGCCTTTCATTTTAAAGTAAACCTGGAAAGAGCACCACCAAAATGGTGACAATTCTTATCTTGAATGGTGAGATTTTTTTCTTTCTTCTTGAGATTTTCTGGAGTTTCCAAATTTTCTATGATAAACAGCTAAGATTTTGGTAGTATGAAAAACAATTGAGACAAATCTTTAGTAACTTGATATTCAAGTTACATTGGTGCTGTCCCTTTAAGTACTAGAAGAATACGTAGCACTTTCAGTAAAATAATGCCGAGGGAGGAGACATTGCTATGCTCAGTTTCATTTAAAAGCCAGATGTCCAGGAATTGGATATGGCTAATTATCAATTTCTACCCAGATGGAGAGTTTTCCTTTTTTTTTTTTTTTTGTCATTAGACAGAAAAGCACAGAGTCTCTGGCTGATTATTGCATTCAGCCACTTTAATTGGAAAGTTTTAAGAAATAGGTGGAGCTTAAAAGAAGGGAAGCTTAGTGTATCATGAGTGAAATGTTGATACAGGCACAAGAGAAACAAAAAAAGAAGAAACATGTATAATTGGTGTCATAAAGATTTTCAAACTTGCTCTATGACCAATTCAATTACTGCTGGAAATGGAATTCATACCTTCTCATGTCTGCCTTCCAAATTATACCAAGATTTAGCAGCTTATAACAAGAAGTATTTTTTTTTCACAGTTTCTATTGGTCAGGAATTTGAGCATGGTTTACCTAGGTACCCGTGCTTCAAGGTCTCTCATAAAGCTTTCAGCCAAGTCTGTGCTATCATCTGCAGCCTTGACTGGGAGAGTCACTTCCAAGCTCTCTCACATGATTGATGGCAGGGAGTTCCTCATGAACTGTTGGACTAAGAACCTCAGTTCTTCACTAGCTTTTGGGCAGAGGCCTCCCTCAATTCCACGTCAGGTGGGCCTCTCCATAAGGCAGTTTATGTTCTGGATTGGAGCATGTCTTCCACCTTGGTTCATCCATCATTTCTTGTCTTCTAGACACTTGCCAAATCTCTCATCAGCTGATGGAACATTCTTCATTCTCAATAGTCACAAATTTATTCCCTTTTATGCAGTTATTGGGCAGGGAACAGACCCAGGTTTTATCATGAAAGGGTGTTGCATTTTGTCAAATGCTTTTTCTGTATCAAATGATGTGATTACACATGAATTTTCTTCTGTAGCCTGTTGTATGTAGATAATGTAGATCACATTGATTTTCGAATATTGAACTAGCCATGCATACCTGGGAGAAATCCTACTTGCCATGTCATATTTTTTTTAAATATATTATTGGGTTTGATTTTCTAGTACACTCAAAATCCTCCATATCTGTGGGTTCTGCATCCATAAATTCAACCAACTGCAGATCACAAATATTTAGAAAAAGAACAATAAAAATAACAATATAACAATGAAAATAATAAAAATAAAAACCAATATAGTATAACAACAAGTTACATAGCATCTATCCTGTATTAGGTATTACAATCATGAAGTGCATAACAATATTTTAGTCAATAACAGACCACATATACAACGATGATTTCCTAAAATTATCATTCTATATTTTTGCTGTAACTTTTCTATGTTTAAATATACACACACCTACCATTGTGTTACCATTACCTACGGTATTCAGTGCAGTAACCTGTTGTATAAGTATGTAGCCTAGGAGCAATAAGCTAGATCATATATCCTATGTGTGTCCTAGGCTATACCATCTAGGCTTGTGTAAGTACATGCTATGATGTTTGCACAATAACAAAATCACCAAACGCATTTCTCAGAATGTATTCCTGTCGTTAAGCAGAGCATGTCTATAAAGTCATCTAGAGGTGATTTAACATATACAGAGGATATGCCTGGATTATATGCAAATACTGTGCCATTTTATATAAGAAACAAGTATCTGTGGAATTTGGTATTCTCAGGAGCTTGAAACCAATTCCCCATGGATTCCAAGAAAAAACAATGTTTCGTTGAGGATTTCTGTGTCTAAGTTTATGAGAAATATTGGTCTGTAATTTCCTTTTATTCTACTGTTTTTGTCTAGTTTGGGTATCAAAGTAATACTGGCCTCATAAAGTGAATAGAGAAGTAGTCCTTCTTCTTCTATTCTCTAGGATAGAATGTTTAAAATCAGAGCTTATTCTTCTCAGAATGTTTGGTAGAGTTCTCCAGTGAAACCATCTGGGTTTGGAGATTTCTTTTTCCAGAGCGTTTTAGTGGCAGTTCAATTTATTTCATGGTTATAGGACTATTCTGTTTCATCTTGTTTGAGCTTTGGTCATTTACGGTTTTCAAAAATTGGTCCATTTCTTCTAAAGTTGTTTAATTTATAAGTGTACATGTGTCCATGGTATTCCCTTTTATTCTTTTAATAGCTGCAAGAATTATAATTATATCCTGTTTCATGACTGATATTGGTAATTTGTGCCCCCTCTCTTTTTATTTTGTCAGGCTTGCTAGAGGTTTATCAACCAGCTTCATGTTCTATTGATTTCCCTATTGTTATTCTTTTCAATTTCATTGATTTCTGCTTTTATCTTTATTATTTCCTTCCTTTTGCTTTTTTTGAGTTTATTTTGCTCTTCATTTTTCTTGAGGTAGAAACTTAGGTGATTAATTTGGGATCTTTTCTAAGGTAATCATTTTATTTTTTTGAATGTAGTCATTTAGTGCTATGAATTTCCCTCTCAGCACCACCTTAGCTTCATTCCACCAATTTTGATATGTTGTATTTACATTTCCATTCAGTTCTGTATATTTTCTAAAACTTTCCTTTGAGACTTCCTCTTTGCTGAGGTATTATTTAGAATTGTGTCATTTAGCCCAGGCACAGTGGCTTACGCCTGTAATCCCAGCACTTTGGGAGGCCAAGGTGGGCAGATCACTTGAGGTCAGGAGTTCGAGACAAGCCTGGCCAACATGGTGAAACCTTGTCACTACTGAAAATACAAAAATCAGCCGGGTGTGGTGGTGGGCGCTTGTAATCCCAGCTACTCGAGAGGCTGAGGCAGGAGAATCGCTTGAACCCGAGAGGCGGAGGTTGCAGTGAGCCAAGATCGTGCCACTGCACTCCAGCCTGGGCGACAAGAGCAAAACTCCGTCTCAAAAAAAAAAAAAAAGAAGTGTGTCATTTAATTTTCAAGTGTATCGAGATTCTCCCATTGCCTTTCTCTCATTGATTACTAATTAAATTTCATTATGCTCAGAGGACATATTCTGCATAGTTTTGTTTTCTGGCCAAAGATGTGGTGTGTCATGGATGCTTTAAAAAAAAAAAGTGTATTCTACTGAGTGTTGTATTAATGTCAGTTAGATCCTATTGATTAATTCTGTTGTTCAAGTCTTCTATGTATTTGCTGATTTTCTGCCTAGTAGTTCTATCAATTACTGAGAGAGGGATGTTGATGTCTCTAACTGTAATTGCAGAGGCCCATGATAAGGCATTGAATTTGAAAAAAAAAATACAACGTTTGAATATAAATTTAGGTGAAAAAGTAAATATTTCTTTAGAATGAAAAAATAAATCTAGAATGCTGACACAAAATCCACAAGCATCACAAAACCTGGAAAAATAACACAAGTGCATTATTTTACTGCCTGACATACCTCTGTAGTTTTGTCCTAAATTTTTTTCTAGATGCTCTTTAAGTGGTGATTTTGTTTTATTATAATTTAATAGATTGAATAGAAATATAATTGTCTTTCTTCTAACATGGTTAATCACAAAATTTTTATTATTGATAGTTTAGATTTTTTTCAGCTTGACAACTTGTTATTAGTAATGGCTTGTGATTTCTTAAGATTGTTATCTCATTTGGGAAAATTTCCATCATGTCTTTTCTTTTTCCGTGTTACCTACACGTTCATTTTCCATATGTGCTATAAAGTTTGGAAGAATTTTCTATAGACTAACTTCTGGCTGTATACATACTTCGGGTTCAGGTGCCACAGAACATGTTCATGTTACAACACAAACTCTGGTCCTGCCCCATTGTGTTAGAATGCAGACAGAGTCAGGCACTGGACTGTAGAAGTACTCCTGGAAGTTATTACTCCACTAAGATAGTTATCAATAAGATACTAGACACAGACATAACTATGAATCACATAAATATCCTCTGACCAAATTTTTAAAAATGTCTCTTAAACTCAACTTCCCCTTAGCTGGAACCCAAAGTTATTACAGCTACTCTAATACCACCTGACAAAACAGACCTGTGACAGACAGTAAGTCAAAGTGGAAAGAGAAATGCCCTTAACCAATTGTGATTAAGAGATACTACTTTTGCAGATTTTACAAAAACTTATGAACATATTGCTAAGGCATTTTCCAGGACCTTGAAAAGGGCCCACGCAAGTGAAGAGCCTTGAAGCTTAACATTCATTAGTTTCATCAAAAATTAAGTCCTGCTACTGATATTTTAGTGGAATATACAGAGGAGAAGGAAGTAAACACTGGTACTTAGCCCCCCATCTAGCAGCAGAAGTTTCTTGGATGTCTTTTTAAAAGTACTTTTTATTATGAAAAATTCCAAGCATACACAAAAGTAGTAAGAATAATATAATGAATACTCATGGTACTCATCATCCAGCTTCTGTTTGTTTGGACACTTTCAATTCAAGAAATTGTAGGAGATAAATACAAATATGAATAAGATATGGCCTATGCCCTCATGTATGTATCTATTATAGTAAAGAAGACAAGACATGAGGCCAACACATGGCAATGTAATACTACCTAAAGGAGAACAATAAGCCATGGAAGCAGAGATGACCTCTGGCCAGGGATGACCAGTAAGGGCTTCAAGGAAGACATGGTCTAGGCAAAAAACAAGTACACATTTTAACTTGTCGACGCTGAGACAGAATTGAGATATCTAAAATACATATTTTCTGGGTTTTTACCCTGGAGCTCCTCTTGACATTTAGGAAATAATCCAACCTCCTTACTATCTATCTAGACCTCTAACTGGATACTCAGATTCATTCAGATTTAAGTATCATGTATTGAGTGCTTGCCAAGTGTGACGGCTAATTTTATGTGTCAACTTGACTGGGCTAAGGGACGCCCAAATAAGTGATAAAATATTATGTCTGGGTGTGTCTGTGAGGGTGTCTCAGAAAGAGAGTAGCATTTGAATTCATAGACTGAATAAAGAAGATCTCCCTCACCAATGTGGGTGAGCATCTTCTCCTGCCTTGGACGTTAACTCTCCTGTTTTTTCGAGCTTTCAGACTCAAACCGGCATTCATACTGTCAGCACCCTGATTATCAGGCCTTCAGACTCAGACTGAATTACACCACTAGCTTTTCTGGTTCTCCAGCTTATGGATGGCAGATTGTGGGATTTCTTGGCTTCTATAACCACATGAGCCAATTTTTATAATAAATCTCATATATATTCTAGTGGTTCTGTTTCTTTGGAGAACCCTAAATAATGCACCAGGTGCTGGTCATTTTCATATGTACCATTTCATTTAATCCTCACAACACAACAAGCCTGAGATAGATATTATAAGCACCATGTCTGAAGATGAGAAGAAAAATCCAGAGAGACAACTTGTATAAAGCTGCACAGATTAAAAAAAAAAAACATAACTAAGCCCAGAAATTCTAACTTCAAGTGTTTTTTATCACCTACCCCTTCATGGTACTTTTATTAAATTTTCAAAATACTTCCCCATTTCACAAACCTTCAGTGGCTCTCAGTCACTACATGATGAAATTAAATGTCCTTAGTTTACCATTTTCCATTCTCTACAATCCAGTTTGGTTTTCCTTCAACTTTATTTTCCATTTGTAAGACTATGTCTTAATTCTCTTACTGTGTTTAGGAGATTGCCCTCCTCATGAAGCAGAAATTCCCTCTCACTATCGAAATTAGAAGTTCATATGCTCATTTTCCTGGCCTTCCTATCAATTACCGCTGTGCTGTCAAACATGGTAGCCACTGGCCACACGTGGCTACTGAGCACTTGACGTATGTCTAGTGGCACATGTTGAAATATTTTGGATATATTGGGTTAAATAAAATATATTATTAAAATTGGTTTCACCTGGTTTTTGTTTTGCTTTAGAGTCAGGGTCTCCCCCCCGTCACCCAGGCTGGAGTGCAGTGTCACAATCATAGCTCACCGCAGCCTGGAACTCCTGGGCTCAAGTGATCCTCCGGCTTCAGGTTCCTGAGTAACTAGGACTACAGGCATGCACCACCATGCCCAGCTAATATTTTTTTGTAGAGACAATGTCTTACTATATTACCCAGGCTGGTCTCAAATTCCTGGTCTAAAGCAATCTTCCCATCTCAGCCTCCCAAACTGCTTGGATTAGAGGCTGGTTTTTTGTTTTTGTTTTTGTTTTTAAACTGTCTTATGTGGCTACTAGAAAATTTAAAATTATGTATGTGGCTTGCATTATATTTCTATCAGACAGCATGTAGGTAGAGTGTTAATGTGTTACTAGGTTATATCCATGATTTGCCCCCATTCTAGGCTTGAGGTTGAAAGCTAATGTTGTGAATATGAAGTGACCCTCCATTCTGTTGAGAGTAGTGGCAGTGATAGTAACTGCATCTATCTTCCAGAAGCAGCAGAGGCATCATCCACTCTGGGTCAAGTGGTACTGGCAGTCTCAGTTTTGGTATTTGCATCCAGCAGTGGCTACAGTGATGGCTTCTTGGGACCAGTTCCGGGCATAATGTTGCGTGTTGTTCCTGAAGATCCTGTAGATGTCAAATATCCTTCTAATAAATTCCTTTTCTGCTAAGGCCCTTCATGAAGTCTCCCTCTCCACCCCAGTCCACAGGATCCTTCCCTTTTTCAGCATCAATAGTGAATAAGATCCAAACCACGCACTTGGCACTTTGCCCATACTATTTATCTTATCATAGGAAAGTGTCTAGTTTTCTCAGCCAGACTGTAAAATTCCCTGTGGCAGGAACCCTGTCTTTACATAATTGTTTCTTAGTATCTGTCAGACCTTGGTCACAGCATCACTGGAGGAATACTTGTTAGTTACCACTGCAGATCTTTGAAGTAGGCAGGGTGGCTGTCATTATCTCTGTTTGTACAGATGAGGAAACTGTTGTTCAGCGACTGGCTTGAGGTTGTGCAGCTGGCTTGCTCATACTGGAGCGGTAGCTCAAGCCTTCTCACTGCCTGCCAACATCTCTTTCCTCTATTTCAGGCCCTGCCAGATAAAATGGTGTATTAATTTCATAGAGCTGTTATAACAAAGTACCACAGATTGGGTGGCTTAAAACAACAGACATTTATTGACTCAGAGTTCTGAAAGTTATAAATCCAAAGTCAAGGTGTCCACAGGGCCATGTTCCCTCTGAAACCTGTAGGAAAGTCCATGCATGCCTCTTCCTAGCTTCTGATGGTTTGTTGGCAGTCTTTGGCATTCCTTGGCTTGTAGCTGCATAACTCCAATCTGCCTTTGTCCTCATCTGGCATCCTCACGTTCTGTCTATGTCTTCACACGGTCATCTTCTTAAAGGGACAGTAGTCATGGTGGGTTATCCTACCCTATTGCAGTATGACCTCATTTTATCTTAATTATATCTGCAATAATTTTATTTCAAAATAAGGGTACATTGTTTGGTACTGAAAGTCAGAACTTCAACATACCTTTTTTCGGAGTAGTACAATTCAGTCTCTAACAGATGGTAACCATAAGAGAAGTAAATACCATAGAAACTGAAGACTTTGTCTTGTTTCTAGGATTTATTCCAAGGATTACATTGTAGTGAGGTAGAAGGCGGGGAAGTGTTTTCAAGTATATATTCCTACCTACTACTTGATTTGCATATGGACTGATAGGGCTTGGTTGAAGAGCATATGTTATGGGTTCAGTGAATCTCTTCTCTCATATAAGGACTAAATGGCCCCCACAGATAAGATGCCAGCCCCATCCTTTCTGGCAGGTCTCCCCAGCCATCCTGAGGCAGCTATCCCATTTAGAGGGGAAATGATGGTGTGTAATTCTGATAAGTCAATGGAAGAAGAGGTTGTTGCAGTGAGCCTATAACTCTTTTCCAGAAGGGTCTTTGGGGGTCTAAGGTATCAGCTGGGTCCTAGATGGGCCAGCAAGTCCCATCTAGGCACATTGAGAAGCCTAACCAATAGATGCAGCTAGCCTTTAGACTATGTATCCATTTTGCTGGTATTTCTTCTTTTCCTTTAATGAAAATATATATGTTATTAATAAAAATAAATACAGAATTTAAAAAACATTAAAAGGAAAATGCTAAAATGAGTTCTGCTCTAGTTCAAAAGAAAAGAACGACAGTAGTTTCCAGGCAGGCCCTTTGAGGTCCTACACAGGGATAGTAATACGACTGGGACCCTTAAGTGGGGGTAACTGAATGAAATCTCTAATGAAAGCCTGCTAATGACACAGAATCAAATCTCTGAGTAAGCCTGTCTCCAAATCCAATTTCTCTAGATGGGAAGGGCATGGGCTTTATGGTCAGCACTATCCCTTAATGTGAGACCTTGGGCAAGGGACTTAATCTCTCTGAATTTGCCCATGTATAAAAGTGAGGATAATTATCTAGCAGGGCTGTGGTGAGGATTTCATATCTAACATAGTTCACAGCACATATAATAGGGATTGCATTAACTTGAAGCCTTCCTTCTCTCCATACTACAACATATGTAATATAAACCCTGCCCACTGTCCCACAATCACCCACCCTTCTCCATCCCATCTGCTCTCTCTCCAACCTTCCTACTTATATTCTAGCTGAGGAGACATATAAATAAGAAGTGACTTGCATTTCATTTTAAAAACCAAGTGAAACCAATATAGTACACCACCAACTACTTAGATGCTGACAAACTTCCACACTTATTAAATCAACAAACACTGAGTGACAGAGCACTCATGCCAGGTATGGTGCTATGCACTGTGTATTCATTGGTAAACAAAACGTATTCCCTGTCTTATGGAGTCGACTGTTTAGTGTGGAGGCAGTGAAGAAACAAAACATAGATCATTTAAAAACATATTGAGTACCATGGAAGAAATGATAAGGTGCAATGATTGAGAATAATAAGGAAGACAGGGGAAAATTTATTATTCTTAGGAAGGACGGTCTTTCTGAGGTGATATTTAAACTGAAACTTGAAAGATAAGAAGTTAGACATTTAAAGAACAAGAAGAAGTGTCTTCTAGGTAGTCAAGGGGGCATATACAAACCAGAAAGGCAGTCGGGAGCTAGAAGTGTTTGAAGAGGAGTAGTGGGGGCTAGGGGAGACAGCGTCAACAACATACAAGGGCCATTTTGAATAAAATCCAACTTCTTACCATGACCTGGAGGCCCTACCTGATTTGGCCTCTGCCTACCCCGACCACATCTCCTTCCCACTGTCCATGTCACCTATTCTTTCTGTCCCTCTTTCATGTCAGACTTGCTACCACCTCAGGATCTGTTCTGTTGTTCCCTCTGTCTGAAAGCTTTTGCCCCAGATCTTCCAGTGGCTCCTGGGCCCCCATGGTCAGTCAGGCTTCAGATTAAATGTCAACTCTGGAGAAAGATCACTAATCACCACCTCTCACTGTCCATCATCTTTCTGTGTGGTTTGCTCTCTTCCTATCCCTTATCACCATCAAACATTCTTTTGTTGACTGTCTTTTATTGTCTATTCTTTCACACTAGAATGTAAGTTCCGTGAGTTTATTGTATTTCCTATTGCTGTAAATCTAGAGCCTGAAACAGTATCTAGTATATATCGGAAACCCAAATGATATTGTTCAATTAATGTTGAATGAAATGAAACTGAAGAGGTAATCCAAGGTAAAGAACTTATCAAACTGTGTGAGACAAACAAGGATTTCCCGGAAGAGGTGTTTTTAAATTAAAACTACAGGGTGGTAGTGAGAGGTGGTAGGGAAGCAGAGGTCGCAGCTACAAAATAATAACTTGCTCATCTCCGTTTCTCCGCTATCTTATGAGCCCTTGTGGGGCTGGGACAGAATTTTATTCATCTTTCTATCATCAGCGTCTAGTACGGGGAGTAGCAAATAGTGAGCACTCGATAGATGTTTGCGGAATAATGGACTAGTGTGTGCAGAAGGATCTATTAACTGGGCTGCAGCACAATTCAGAGAAGGCCAGTAAGTGCTGCAACTGAGACTCGGCTGCCTAGGCAGCAATGGCTCACGGGACAGAACAGCGAAGCAGTGCCCGGCAAGCGGAGCGCAGCACCCATTGCGCCTGCGCATAACAGGCTCTAGTCTCCGGGCTGTGGGAAGCCAGCAACACCTCTCACGCATGCGCATTGTAGTCTTCCCACCTCCCACAAGATGGCGGAGGGCAAGTAGCAAGGGGGCGGGGTGTGGCCGCCGGAAGCCTAGCCGCTGCTCGGGGGGGACCTGCGGGCTCAGGCCCGGGAGCTGCGGACCGAGGTTGGCTCGATGCTGTTCCCAGGTACTGTTGTTGGCTGTTGGTGAGGAAGGTGAAGCACTCAGTTGCCTTCTCGGGCCTCGGCGCCCCCTATGTACGCCTCCCTGGGCTCGGGTCCGGTCGCCCCTTTGCCCGCTTCTGTACCACCCTCAGTTCTCGGGTCCTGGAGCACCGGCGGCAGCAGGAGCTGCGTCCGGCAGGAGACGAAGAGCCCGGGCGGCGCTCGTACTTCTGGCCACTGGGCGAGCGTCTGGCAGGTGAGTGAGGCTGCAGGCATTGACGTCTCCTCCCGGCAAAGCTTCCTCGGCTTTGCCCCGCCGCTGCTCGGGACCCTACGGTGCTCGGCCCGACTCTGTGGCTCTCTTCTCTCCATGTCTCACCCTCTCCCCTCCCCGCACTCCCCATTCAGGCCTCCAGTTGGCCCCTGGCTTTGCAGGTCCTCCATTCTCACGCAGTGGATGGGGGTCGCGACGCCCGCCGTCCTCCACCTTTCCTGGCTGCTGCTGGAGCTTCGCCCCTGCAAGTGGTGCCCCATTCGCGTTAGGTGGGTGGGTCGTCCGCCCTTCCCATTTTAGTCGCTTCCCCATCTTCCTCGTTTGGACCCTCTTGCTTCCTCTAAAAGTTTTAAACTCTCTGCCTGGGAAAATACCTGATAGCCCGGCATGTGGAGTTACAAAGAAAGGGCTGTTATCCAAAGGCCGGTGAATTTTGTTCACTTTGATGGGAGAATCAAGTCCCCAGGAGCCTTGGATGGTTAGGTCAGAGTCTGACTCCTTGACCCACCAAGTAGAGGAATGGTGCCTCTGTTGGCAAATGATTGTTCATCTAAATCATTCATTTTTTTCGGCTGTAGGAAATCTTTGGTCTCTGAACTGTTGAGGTGGGGGCGTGAGCTTTCTAGATCTAGTGAAAGAATTGGAAACTGTTATATTCGTTTTAAAAAAGAAGACCTTATGCAGTACATGTAAGACATCACTTAATGGTACAAGCAAGGATAAGTGATTTATTCTTTTATTCAGTGTTAGCTTAAATTGCCTACTGACGTCTTAGAATTCCATGTTGTACAAGCCCTTTGTTTCTATTTAGAAAGGACTAAAATGGAGAAAAGCTTTTTAAGTTCAAAACTTCTTAAATTGCTTGTATTCTCGATTGTTGTTACTGTTCAACCCTCCTTAGGAGTACTTGATATTTTCTATATGATTTAGTCTTGTGCCAGTCTCAGTACTCCCTCCTTTATTAGTGGAGCAAGGGTAGTCAGAATTACTGGTGTAAAAAACTGTCCTAAATAACGTAGTACCTTGCCAGAGTCTAAGTGCAAAATGTGGGATCAAAGCGGTAGTGGAGGAAGTTGCCATGGCTAATTTTTCCATCTTTCCCTGGATGGAAGGGTTGGATAACGTGTCAAGAGCCCCAAAATTGTAGAAGTGAGATTAAAAATATAAATGATAGCTTGCCCTTTGAAATTGCAAATGGGTGGACCTTTTTTATTAACATTAAATTGAGCAATATCGTTTTCTTGAAGTTATGCTAGATGTTCTCCAAAGTTGTTAAGCACAAACTATGCCTGCTGTATTAGAATTGTATGTTAAAAATTTTTAACGTGTGGGTTATAAATAGCCTGGCAGATTTGTTTACTTTTCATTCTGTCTCATAACACATAATCTATTTTTCCCTTTACTGTGGACTTTTGACCTTTTAATGCATTTTTAAAATTTAGAGATAGAATTGTTCAGCTTAAAAGAAGGAGGAATATTTTTATGTTTGCTTCTTGTATGGGCTAGTTCATTCGTTGCTAGCCTTCACTTTTCTGGAACCAGAGCCTGTGTGTTTTTAGAGCTGGTTGTCTCTGAATTCTCTGCATACAGTTTGAAGGGGCAGTAGCAAAGCAGGGGTTGCTGAGCCCCAATCAGTGGCTCACTGCTTCTGGCAAAATGATTTGTAGCTCTGTATCAAAAAACATCTGACCACAAACTCTTTAAAACCTCTCACTTTGGCAGGGTGTGGTGGCTCATGCCTGTAATTCCAGCACTTTGGGAGAGGCCAAAGCGCATGGATCGCATGAGTCCAGGAGTTCGAGACCAGCCTAGGCAACATGGCAAAGCCTCATCTGTACAAAAAAAAATACAAAAATAAGCCAGGCATGGTGGTGCATGCCTGTGATTCCAGCTACTTGGGAGGCTGAGGCAGGAGGATTGTTGGAGCCCGGGATGTGGAGGTTGCAGTGAGCCAAGATTGTGCCATTGCACTCCAGTCTGGGTGACAGTAAGACCCTGTCTCCTAACAAACAAACAAACCCTCTCACTCTTCCACTCTTATGGAATTTGGTATTTTTTCCTTTCTCTCTCTCTTTCTCTTTGTGAACCTTCTTTGTCTCCCTGTTCTTCCAACCCATTACCCTAATGCTGATTTCATTTGCCTCCCTGTGTAACCAGGATCCCATGATCATCAGCTTTTACTAAGCTCCTATTGATGGCCTAGAATGCTTCACTTTCTGTAGACTTACCTTTCTAGTCCCCAATCCTAAATAAGCCTCGCTAGCTTTACCAGTTTGACCCCTGAAATTCTGAGGGACATCAGAGACAGCTATGTGAGGATATTGGTCAGTTTTTATGCCAGTTGGTGCTCTCTGCTGGGTCTCTAGTGTTGTGTTCCTTTTCTTCTCATTTCCTCAGGTTTTTATAGCAAATAACTTAATCTCTTCCTTTGCTGAGAAAAATCTCAACCATCTGAGGTATATTTCCACTTCACTTTTTTCATCTCAGTGTCATCTCTTTATATATATATATCTCAGAGGAAGAAATGACCTTCTTTCTTTTCAAGAGCAACCCCCTCCCTCCAGATGTGTCCATGTACCCTTTCCCATCTTTCTTTCTCTAGAAACTGTCCATTTTCACTTCCTGTCCACCTTCTTCAGCCTCTCCCTCTCTAGCCTACATAGATGCTTGTATCTTCTGCCATATAAGTGTGTGTGCTGTTCAACTCTAGGAGGACGTTCTAAAGCTTGAGTCTGCTATGCCACTGTATTTCTATTCTTTTCTTTAAAGACTTATTCTTTCATCCCAGGAAGCTGTTATAGTAGGAAGAACATTGACTTTTGAGCAAGATAGAACTTTTGATCTGGGTTTTTGAAGTCTTTTAAAACCACTTTAGTAGCTGTGTAACTGTGGGTATGTTACTATTCAGATTTCATTCTGTATCTATAAAATATGTTATACTTAGCTCACAGGGTGGTGGTTAAAGAAATTAATACATGTTAAATGTCCATCCAAGTGTTTGGTACATTGTAGAGTTCTTACTAAATGCTTCTGTGCTTTGCACTCGTACTGCCTTTACCATTTCACCACTGAAACTACTGTTTTAAAAGTTATCTGTGACCTCCGAATCACCAAATCCAATGACGTTTCCTCTGTCATCCTTGGTTTCCTTAGACCCAGGGGTCCCCAAACCCCAGGCTGCAGACAGGTATCAGTCCTTGGCTTGTTTGGTGTTAGGAACTGGGCAGCATAGCAGGAGGTGAGCAGCAGGGGAGCAAGCATTACCACCTGAGCTCCACCTCCTGGCAGATCAGTGGCGGCATTAGATTCTCATAGTAGTGCCAACCTTGTTTTGAACTGCACATGCAAGGGATCAGGGTTGCATGTTCTTTATGAGAATCTAACTAATGCCTGATGATCTGAGGTGGAACATTTTCATCCTGAAACCATCCCCCACCCAACTCCTGTCCCATGGAAAAATTGTCTTCCACAAAACCATTCCCTGGTGCCAAAAAGGTTGGGGACTGCTGCCTTAGATCAGTTGTGAAATATACTGTCTTCTGTAGTCATAAAACGATCTAGATTTCTTGGCTTTTCTGCATTATACTTCCTGATTCTGTATTTCTCAGGAAGTTTCTTCACATTTTCCTTTTATCAGTTAGGCTGCAAATGGGATTTAAAAATGAAAGATAAGCTGGGCCATGGTGTCTCACACCTGTAATCCCAGCAGTTTTGGAAGGCCCAAGTGGGAGGATTGCTTGAGGGGCGGAGTTCAAGGCTGCAGTGAGCTATGATTGGGCCACTGCACTTCAGTCTGGGTGACAGAACGAGACCCCATCTCAAAAAAACAAAAAAACCCAAAGAGATGTTTTGGCTCTTGCAATTGGCAAGTACATAGATAGAAGTGGCTTGAAGAGTGCTTTGTCATGTCATCAGGGCTAAGCTCCCATTTATCTGCTGTTCTCTCAACATTGTCCTTGTGTTTGGGCTTTAGACTTCCCTTCTAATAAAAAAAAAATTGCCACCAATGATGTTCATATTATAGCCCCTTCATTTATTTCCAAAGAAAGAGAGAAGGCCACTTCTCCTAGCCTTTTCCCAAGAATCCTAAGCTCTAGTTTGATTAAACAAACATAGATCATGCTGCCAAACCTGTAACAATATCTTTGTCTAGAGGGATGGAATTATCCTAAGTGGCTTAGCCAGTGGAGTGAATCTTACCTGAAAATAGAGACTGCAACACAATACGGGGAAGGGGTGGATCCTGGGGAAGTAACCAGTGTCCTCAAGGTTCCATATGCTTTTCACTGTGTTCTCTTGGTGATCATATCCTTTATGATATAAACCATCATTTCTGTGGGGCTGTTTCTTGGTTCTGTAACTCCCTACTTCCATTTCCTCCTGTATATGTCTATCTTATATATACTACCCTAAGTTTAACTCATACTAAACTGAGTCAGTTTGATCTCTTCACCAACCCTCACCTAGTGTGTGTGTGCACATATATGTTTTGTTGTTTGTGAGACCGACGGGGTTTCACTCTGCCACCCAGACTGGCATGTAGTGGCATAATCACAACTCACTGTAACCTAGACCTCTCAGGCTCAAGCAGTCCTCCCATCTCAGCCCTTAGCCTCCTGAGTAACTAGGACTACAGGTGTGCATCACCACACCCAGCCCTTTTTTTTTTTTTTTTAAGCGACCGGGGCTTGCTGTATTCCCCAGGCTGGTGTCAAACTCCTGGGCTCAAGTGATCCACCTGGGATTCTCAAAGTGCTGGGACTGCAGGCATGAGCCACTGCACCCAGCAGCATGTGCGCGTTTGTATTCCTCTTCCCCCGATTTCTCTTTTCTAACTACCTCTCTCTCAACAACCCAGTCTTGAAATCTTTCAGAAATCTTGGTTCTTCTCCCACTGTCAATCACGTGTCAGATCTTGAATATATCTTGTTTAGTTAGGCCCCCAAGTTGTATAATACCCAGTTAACATTGATTTAAACAGTATCTCGGGCTAGGCGCTGTGGCTCACGCCTGTAATCCCAGCACTTGGGGAGGCTGAGGCGGGCGGATCACTTGAGGTTAGGAGTTTGAGACCAGCCTGGCTAACATAGTGAAACCCCATCTCTACTAAAAATAAAAAAATTAGCCGGGTATGGTGGCAGGCGCCTGTAATCCCCACTACTCAGGAGGCTGAGGCAGGAGAATCACTTGAACCCAGGAAGTGGAGGTTGCAGTGAGCCAGGATTGCATCACTGCACTCCAGCCTGGGTGACAGAGCGAGACTCCATAGCAAAAAAAAAAAAAAAACCAGTATCTCACATAAAAAGTCCAGAAATGGAGTATTCCATGGTTAGTTTAGCTGTGCTATGATTTCATCAAGGATTCAGGTGCTTTCCATCTTTATGCTTGGCTATCCTTAGCATGCTTAACTTTGGGCTCAGACTTTGCCATCATGGTTGCAGATGGCTCTGCTCCAGGCATCACATTCTCCAAAGACAGGTGGAAGTTTGTCCTTTCATCTCTTAATTAGGCAACTAAACCGTTCACAGAAGCCCTCTTTCCGATGTCCATCCTGGCGTGCCGCTGCTTTAATTACGAGGAGGCTGGGAAAATGAATATGTGGCATTTCAGTCTAGGAAGAGGGTAAGCAAATGGCTGATTAGAAGAAAACAGATGGTGTCAATGACAGTATTGTATGGAGAAATTTAAATAAATAAGAATTTTCAGATAATAGTGGCAAATTTAAAACACTGTTTACACCAAGAGTTAATATAAGCTGTACATAGGATTTCAGTGTTTATTTTCTGAGAGAGAGTCTCGTTCAGTCACTCAGGCTGGAGTGCAGTGGCTTGATCTCAGCTCAGTGCAACCTCTACCTCTTGGGTTCAGCGATTCTCCTGCCTCAGCCTCCCAAGTAGCTGGCGCCTGCCACCACACCCAGCTAATTTTTGTATTTTTAGTAGAGACAGGGTTTCGCAATGTTGGCTAGGCTGGTCTTGAACTCCTGACCTCAAGTGATCCGCCCACCTTGGCATCCCAAAGTGCTGGGATTATAGGCGTTAGCCACCGTGCCGAGCCTATACGTAAGATTTTGACTGAACATTTAAATAGTCATAGGTGACTGGTTAAAAATGAATTATTATGTAAAATTAGAATATTTCAGTGGTATATCCCAGTTTGTTTAAGACTGTGTTAAGTACATTTAAGCATATCTGTTGGAGCTACTGCAAGAAACAGGTATGTTATATGTAACAACTATTGAAATAGAGTTGTGGTTCCCCTTGGGGATGGGAGATGTTTGGAAATACTATATGGGGACATTTTTGGTTGTCACAGTGACTGCGAGGTACTACTCATAATTATTAAGTAGAGGCCAGATACACTAATGTCCTGTGATGTTTGGAATGGTCCCACAAAACAGAATTGTCCTTTCAAAAATACCAGTAGTGCCCCTGCACATGTATACACTGAAGTTAGCAAATGCTTTGCCTTTTGAAAGAATTCAGAGATTGATCTATATTCTTACATTGCAAGTGACAGAAAACACAAAACTGGCTTAAACAAAAAAAGGGACTGAGTACATCTTCTAGTAAACTTTAGCTAAGACTTCATCCAGTGGCTCACATGAAAACATCAAGGACTTAATTTCTCTTATTCATTCTGCTCCATTATTCCCCATGATTTGGTTTTATTCTTGGGCTAGCTTATCTTAATGGTGGTAAATTACTGTAGTACTTTCAGACTTCATATCCTCATTTCACGTATAGTAAAATGAAAAATATTTTGTATTTGATTTTACAAGTATTTATTTAGTATCACCACTACTGAAACTTTCCCTAAACATCTATCCCTAAAAAGTTTATTATCTCTTCTATCATGCTTCAGCTTTACAATCTATATATCACACTCTATGGGTATTATTTTTCTGTCCCATGCATTACTCTACCTTGTCTTAATTATTGTATTCTTAATGTCTAAATGTCTGGAATACTGTCTGGCATAGTAGTGTATGATAACTGTTTATGGAATTAGTGAATGATTTTGTGCTTACTACAGAAAGGAAGAAGCAAGTATATATAACATCTATTGAAATAGAGTTGAGGTACCCCTTGGGGATGGGAGATGTTTAGAAATTTAAGAACGCCTCATTCCTTCATCAGTTATTTTTGAATCCTGAATTATGTACATTGTACTCCTACCACTAAAGCATGTATATGATGCTCTTGCAGTTGTTATAATAGAGTATGAATTCGTTTGAAAGCGTTACTGAATTCTACTTGTGTTTTTGTCATTTTCTCAACAAAACCAAAACCAATTATTAATTGAACAAATATTTTTGAAGCCTGCTGTAGGCAGATAGTGTGGCAACATTGAGTGGGAACAAAACAGAGCCTGTGTTGTCTGAGCTTAAATTTTAGTGGGGGACATAGTCAATAAATATTATATATGTACACATACACACACACAAATAACATCAGGTAGTATATAGATCTTGAAATAGAATAAAATAGGTTCAGGGGACAGGGGATACTACTTTAGTTTGGTAAGAGAAGGGCTTTTTGAGAAGCCGTTTGTGCTAAGAGACCTGAGTGTTCATGAGTGAGGTGGCCTGTACCATTCTTGTCGAGATGTGAAATAGAATAAAATGAGGTGCCCATCATTTTTGGTTTTGGAAGAGTTTGTGTATAGTTGGAATGAATTCTTCCTTAAATATTTGTTATAACATGTCAGAGAAACCACCTGGGCTGGGAGTTTTCCTGTGGAAATGTTTTTTAAAATTTGGTATTTATTTGTACATATTTATGGGGTACATGTTATATTTTGATACGTGTATAAAATGTGTAATGATCAAGTCGGGGTATTTAGAGTACCTGTCATCTTGAGCGTTTATCATTTCTTTGTGTTGGGAGGAAAGGTTTTTAATTATTAATTCAATGTATTGTTTTTAAGCCTATTCAAGTATTCTATCTTGTGATTATTTTTTATAATTTTTCCACTAAGAATTCTTTTATCTAAAATTTTAAATTTACTGGCATGAAATTGTTTATAATAAATATTCTGTGGTCCTTTTAATGGCTGCAGGAAAAGATTCCCTTTTCATATCTGACGTAGGTTATTTGTACCTTTTCCTTTTCCTTATTAGTTTCACCAGAGATCAGTAGTCTTTCCAGAGAACCGTATTTTGAATTTTGCTAGTCTGTTGTATGTTTATTTTCTGTTGCGTTAATTTCTGCTTCTTATTTCCTTCCCTGCTGCTTTTTGGGGTTCTTCGGTGAAGTTCTTGAATTTTCAGCATTTCTTGTTTTTAAATATGTTCATAAAGTTAAACATTCCCCTCTAAGCGCCATTTTAGCTAGTTCTATTACTAGTTTTGATACATAGTATTTTTTGGTACATAGTATTTTTATAATTCACTTAAGATGTTTTCAGATTTCTGTTATGATTTATACTTTGACTTTTGGATTATTTGGAAGTATTATATTTTTATTTCTAAACATATGGAGATTTTCCAGTTATTTTGTTTTTAATTTGTAAAATTACAATGTAATCCAAGAACATACTCTGTTTCAAAGGCCTGTTATTTCAGACTTAAAATTTGAGATCTGTATATGGCCCAGTATATTGTCTTTTTTTTCCTCTCCATTTATTGAGTGCAGGTCTCTGTATTTTTTTTATTAGGTCATATTTGTTAATCCTGCATTTCAAATCTTAAGTATCGTAGGTGATCTTTTGTTTGCTCATCAGTTACTAAAAGTGTATGTTAAGATGCTCCATTATGATTGTGGATTTGAGTATTTCCCTTGTAGTTCTCTAATCTTTTATAAATTTGAGGCTATGCTATTAGATGCATAGAAATGTGTAATAGCTATATCTTCTCAGTGACTCAACATTATCAAGTTTCCTCTTTTATTCTGGTAGTACTTGCACATTAAAGTCTAGTTTGAGATGAATATAACAACGCTAGCTTTCTCTTTATTATAGTTTGATCTTCTTTTACTAGTTATTCTAGAAATTGCTATCTATCTTATAAAATCTAATGTTAATCAATACCTTTATCCTATTCTCAGATGATGCACTTTAATTCTACTTACTTGCAGCCCTTCTCATATAGTTATTTTTGTTTGTTTGTTTGTTGTTGTTGTTGTTTTGAGACAGGGTCTCGCTGTGTTGCCCAGGCTGGAGTGCAGTAGCGTGATCTTGGCTCACTGCAACCTCTGCCTTCCAGGTTAAAGCAATTCTCGTGCCTCAGCCTCCTGAGTAGCTGGGATTACAGGCATGTGCCACTACGCCTGCCTAATTTTTTTGTACTTTGAGTAGATACGGGGTTTCACCATGTTTGCTAGGCTGGTCTTGAAGTCCCGGCCTCCCAGAATGCTGGGATTACAGGTATGAGCCACCGTGCCCAGCCCCTACTCATACAGTTTTGTTGTGCATTTTAATTCATTCTTATTTTTTCTCTTTCTTCCTCATTATTGTTGTTGTTACTGTTTCATACTGCCAATATTTTATTTAAGTTAATGCATGTCTTTACCATCTTTTTACTTTTCGTATGATCTTGCACTTAAGATTGCTTTCTTTGATTTTGAAGGATCTGAAACACACCCTTTAGAATGTCCTTTAGTCTGCTTGAAAATGTCTTTATTTTATCTCAGTCTTAAAGGATATTTTTGCTAGGTACAGAATTCTAGGTTAGCAGTGGTTACTTTATTTCAGCACATTTCATTGTTATTGAGACCTCAACTCTTTGTGTCTCAACTTTTAAGATAATGTGATTTTGTTTGGCTGCTTTTGAGATTTTTATCTTTGGCTTTGGCTTTCTGTTTTACTAAGCTGTGATTAGGCATCGGATTCTTTGGGCTGTGTGAATATATGGATTGGTGTCTTATCAGTCCTGGAAGTTTCTTAGCCATTATTTTTTCAAATATTGTCTTTGCTTCATATTCTGTCTCCTGTCATTTTGGGACTAGTTTAGTATGTTAGGCCTTCTTATCCTGTCTCTTACCTCTTTTCTTTTTCTTTTTCTTTTTCTTTTTTTTTTTTTTTTTTTTTTTTTTTTTGCTTCTTTTTGACCTCAAGGCATTGTTCTGGATATTGCTTCAGACTTATCTTCAAAGTTCACATTTTTTTTTTCACCTATGCCTAATCTGTTATTAACTCATTCAGTAAATACCTAATTTAGGTTATTTTTTAGTATAGAATTCTTATTTGGTTCTTTTCAAAACTGTATCACTTTTTACAGTTTTCAATTTTAAGCAAAAATATTTAAGTGTGGCCTTTATCCCCTTGAATGTAGTAAGCATAGTTATTTTTCAGTTTGTGTCTGATAATTCCAATGTTGGGAAGTCTCTAGGAAGCTGATTCAGTTGTGTTGTAGAAATAAATTGATGTATATAATGTAAGATGAAGTTAATCTTTCTCTAAAGAAGGTTTTCATTTGCTGTCACCAAGTGCCTGGGGGTGTGAGAACATCTTAATGAAATTTCAAATCTTTAACTTTCCTGGGCCACCCAGATGAGTTGAAACTGACTTCAGTCCATGGTTTCCTTCTGGTTCCTTCTTTATTTCTAGGTTGCAGCCCTTTAGGGTCTCAGCCGGAAGCCAATGCTGTTTTCACTGCAGTCCTCACCCTTGGTGGGTCTCAGACTCTGGCTTTGGTCCCCTGTGCCTGCAATGCAGGCAACAAACAACCAAGCTCAGCCTCTTAAATGCTTCTTTGTTGGCAAACTCACAAAAGGCAAAAGCTGGGGTCACCTTTCTGGGTTCCTGACTTCTAGTGGATTTGAGCTTCTTATTCATTCCTCGTTATTTTGCTGGTTATTTGGTGCTGTTAAGATCATTTTACTATCTTATCTAGCTTTTTAAATTGTCTTTGTAAGGATACTTGGTCTGAATAACCTGGTCTGCTGTTTCTACGAGTGTAAGTCCAAATATTTCTTTGACTAACTTGTTCAGAAAGACTGGAAATTTCTACATTAGCCATTCCTTTGTGTTAGGGCTCCTTTGATGGTGCAAATTAGATACCTGGAAAAGGTAGACTTTAAGCTATGGTTGCCTTTTAATTCCTTTAAAGTTAGGTTAGTTCCTAGGACTTTGCAAAGCCCTAAGGGAAGGAGACAGAGGATATTTTGTATGACCGGAGAAGCAAAAAATACTTGTATGTGAGTAGTGCCTTAGGGTAGGAATTATGTAAGCAAATAGAATGTAATGTGAACATTTTTGAAGTGGGACTGTATGGAGGAGGGAGAATGTACTAAACTGAGGAGGGACTGCAGACAAATTTGTCTTTTAGTATTTTTGTTGGAAGTAGGTTCATTTTCATTCTTTCCTTCTTTACTTCTTCTTTCTTTTCTTTCTTTGGACAGAGTCTTGCTCTGTTGCCCAGGCTGGAGTACAGTGGCACAATCTTGGCTCACTGCAACCTCTGCTTTCTAGGTTCAAGCAATTCTCCTGCCTCAGCCCTCCGAGTAGCTGGGATTACAGGTGTGCACCACCACGCCCGGCTAATTTTTTTTTTTAATTTTTAGTAGAGGTGGGGTTTTACCATGTTGGCCAGGCTTGTCTGGAACTCCTGACCTCAAATGATCCACCCACCTTGGCCTCCCAGAGTGCTGGGATTACAGGTGTGAGCCACTGCACCCAGCCTCATTTTCAATAATAATTCTTTTTTTTTTTTTTTGGAGACAGAGTCTTACTGTGTCGCCCAGGCTGGAGTGGCGTGATCTCCACTCACTGCAACCTCCGCCTCCCAGGTTCAGGCAATTCTCCTGTCTCAGCCTAGTGAGTAGCTGGAATGACAGGTGCGCACCATCACACCCGGCTAATTTTTGTATTTTTAGTAGAGATGGAGTTTCAGTATGTTGGCCAGGCTGGTCTTGAACTCCTGAATTCCTGACCTCAGGTGATCCTCCCACCTCAGCCTCCCAAAGTTCTGGGATTACAGTTGTGCGCCACTGCGCCCAGCCAATTTTCAATAAAAATTCTGGCAAATCTCTCTATGCCATGTAGGTGTCATGATTTTTATTTTTTATTTAATTTAAATTTTTTTTACATCTCAAGGACAAAATACGATTTCAAAAATCTTACCCACATCTATTTAAAATATAGGTACAATTTGCGTTTGAATTCTGAGATTAAATCTGTTGAATATGGAAGCCAAACAGATACATTAGAAATTCTTCTAGGCAAACTAAGCTATGGTAGTCTACATAAATTGGTGTTCTTCTGTGATGGAGGAGTGTTAAAAATTTAGTATAACATACCAATATATTTTTCCTGTATAGATACTTGATTTGATATTAGTCACAGCCATTAATATGAAATGCCATCCATTTCTTTGTGATTAAATTGATGTGTCTATAAAGAACAAAACCAGCTCTGTTGTATGAAAACCTAGAATTCTTATGTGTTTACTGTTTACTTATTTTTTTCTCTTTGCTAGAAGAAAATACTAAGTCAAAGATTCCTATTATAGTTCCTTCTCTTTCCTGCTATGTTAGATTCAAATAGCTTTTTGTTTTAGATTTGCTCACTTGCCTTTAAAAAACTGAAGGATAAAATGAGGTGGACAGAGAATTTTAGAACTGGAAGAGACCCTAAATATCATTAAGTCTCTCATGAACCCTCCCGTCCTACCCATCTCCTATTTTAAACATGTGAAAACAGAGGCCCAAGGAAGATGGGTGACTTGACTTGCCTAAAAATATGAGGGAATTTCTCTCCAATAGCTTTTATATTCTCCATGAAGTAGGTCGTCAGCAAAGAGTGGCATAGGTAGAAAAATAGGTCTGTTACAGATTTGAGGAGACAAAAAAGACACTTAGAGTGTGGGAAGGCAAACTTTCCAGGAGACATAGTAGCCCTGCTAGGCAGTATTGGATATCCTTTGATGTTTATAGTTGTGAATTTAAAGTGAAACCAGCTAGCTTTGTTAGCTGGTTTTCCCCCTTTCCTCTATAATAAGCTGCTCTGGTACAGGCACGTAAAAGTGGAATGGAATTGTTCAGCTAGAGTTGAGATTTTACCAGGTAACAGAGGGAGAGAAGAGTAAGGGGTTTGAGAGTTTGAAAGAGACTGGTTATTGTTGCATCTAAAGAGAACAGTGTAAAGATGAAAGTAACGGATGGTGAAAAATGATGAGAGCATTTTTGATTGGATTGGAGAACACAGTAAGTAAGGTGAGGGAATGTTGAATTTGGAGATAGTATAATGAACTAGAGGGGCAGGAGATACATTTTAAAGACTGGAAATTTGGGGCTGGGTGCAGTGGTTCACACCTGTAATCTCAGCACTTTGGGAAGCCGAGGTGGGTGGATCACTTGAGGTCAGGAGTTCGAGACCAGCCTGGCCAACATAGTGAAACTCCATCTCTAGTAAAAATACAAAAATTAGCCAGGCATGGTGGCGTGTGCCTGTAATCCCAGCTACTCGAGAGGCTGAGGCATGAGAATCACTTGAACCCGGAAGACGGAGATTGTAGTGAGCAGAGATTGCGCCACTACACTCTAGCCTTGGCAACAGTGAGATTCCATCTCAAAAAATAAAAATAAAATAAAAAAATAAAGACTGAAAATTTGATTTTTGAGATTTTTGGTTAAGAATTTGGAGATGACGCAGTTATTGATGATGACAAGGTCCTGCGTGGATCATGGAAGTTGGTATTTGGAGGTGAAGAAGTTAAGGAGCTAAGAAGCCAGAGTGTTAGGTGGGTAATCCACGTAGACTTTGAAGTCACTGAGAGTGATGGTGGGGGTAAGAGTGGAGAAGAGTGCTAGAGGCAATAGAGGGTACACAGTTGGGTATCATGTCAGAAGATCTTGGGTGTTTAAGAAAGGAGGAGAAATGGTTTGGAAGTGATAATTGGATGCAAGGAGCATATCTTTTGCCTCCCTCTACACCAGGCTTGTCCAGTCTTTTGGCTTCCTTGGGCCTCGTTGGCAAATTTTATGTCTTGGGCCACACATAAAATACACTAACACTAACAATAGCTGATGAGCTTGAAAAAAAATTGCAGGAAAAAAAAATCTCCTAATGTTTTAAGAAAGTTTACGAATTTGTGTTGGGCTGCATTCAAAGCCATCCTGGGCCATGCAGCCCTGGGGACAAATTTGCTCTAGACCCTTCAGTATCCTATTCCTATCTCCTGGCCTAAAGTACATAGGATGTGAGAGGAAAAAAAGACCCCCCCATTGAGAAAGCGGCACAGAAAGTGGTGTCATCTGATTTCAACTAAGATAAATCGGTGAAGATGACATTTATTGAAGAGTTTGAAGTTACAGGGGAGTTCGTTGATTAATTTATTGTACATTCATCTATTGTATTTTAGTACAGTAGTACTAAAGTAATACACTGTTCGGTTTTGTGAGTTACATAAATTTCCATACTATTATGGCATTTTAAACACTGTGTGTTTCAGAAAAACTCTAAACCCTTGTTTTTCCTCTGCTCTTGCACCACCACAACAATCGTTAACATAGTAAAAGACATCTGTGTCTCATCTTGGGAAATTTACCAATTAAATGAATTAAAAAACAGACACCTGTGACCAAAGACGTGGGGCTTTTTCCCCACACACCAATAGTGGATGCTAGTTGGGTGTCCTCCAATTCATTTCCCACACTGTCTATCCAGAAATACCATCAGATCCCACAGGTTGAGGGCTCAGGCCCCAAGACCACCCCCTCCTTCCCCCCAGTCCCAAGTCCTAGCCTCTGGAACTTCTGATTGGCTTCAAGTTGGGTTTCCCACTACCCCCTCTTTGGAGTCGATTAATTTGCTGGAGCACCTCACAGAACTCAGGGAAACACTTGCTTATATTTACTGGTTTACTATAAAGCATATTACAAGGGATGCAGAAGAAGAGATGCACAGAGTGAGATATAGGGGCAGGGGCGCGGAGCTTCCATGCCTTCTCTGGGTGTACCAACCTCGAGGAACCTCCACGTGTTCAGCTATATGGAAGCTGTCTGAACCCTGTCCTCTTGGCTTTTTATGGAGGCCTCATTGCATAGGTATGATTGACAACCATGTAGAAATGTGTTTGGACAAAAAGTGCGTGATCTAAGCCCAGCAAGGCCTGTCTGTTCTGACTCTTCTTGGCCTCTCTGTGTAGCATTTCTTCTTTGATATGGGGACAGGACCCTCTCTGGAATGAGGGTTTTTGACCCAAAACCAGATTAGAGTCATGCCTTGGGTAGGTAAAAGGAGGACAGGAGAAGGCTAGAGAGAGAGATTCTGTTCCTGAGGCCTGAAGTGCCTCAACATTATTAAAAAAAAAGAGGACTATAATAAGCATTATAGTAGTGAAGAGCCAGGAACTGGCTGGGCGTGGTGGCTCACGCCTGTAATCCCAGCACTTGGGGATCGCTTGAGCTCAGGAGTTTGAGACCAGCCTGGGCAACATGGAGAGGCCCTGCCTCTACAAAAAATAAAAAAATTAGTTGGGCATGGTGGTGCAGCCTTGTGGTGCCAGCTACTCAGAAAGCTGAGATGGGAGAATTGCTTGAGCCTGTGAGGCGGAGGTTGCAGTGAGCCAAGATTATGCCACTGCACTCCAGCCTGGGGTGACAGAGTCAGACCCCATCTCAAAAAAAAAAGAAAAAGATCCAGGAGCTGTGGATGAAAACATATATATATGTATTTCACACTGTGCTAAACCTGTTGTGGTATTCAGGTTTTCTTTTGTGGGAGGGGAAAACATGAAGAGAATAGTAGTTCAAAAATTTAAACATCTGTCATGGTCCCATAGGAATAATGTGTTGACCGGAATGATGATGTCCCAGCCCTGCCCACAAAAAACCATTTAATTTATATGCTGTATTAACTGCCATTACTACCATGTGTAACATTGAATAATGCTATTTCTAGAGGAAAATGAATTCAAAGTTTGAAATTGGGATGTCAGGAACATTTCATCTCCTTTTATTGCTCTAGTATAAGAGTTTTCTTCCTTACCTTACCATTACTGCCCCCACTGCTACTCTTTGCCAAGCAATTAAAGTGGAAATTCCCTGCTTCTAAACTACTGGGAGGGCTCTAATTTTGGGGGGGTCCAGGGTTTAATGATTAGAAATGAGAACAAAATTCAGATGAAAAAAAGAGCAGAGTTTCAGGAAGTCAGAGGATGAGGAGCTATCTGGGGAATAGTCTGATCTTTTAACGGCTCCCTTTCCCTAATCCTAAAGCAAGCACAAAATATTTTTAGAGCTTTATGATCTCTTATTGTTAGTAAAGATGAAAAAATAAATCAGAAGTGAGCAGGCTATCCTATGCTTGTTATTTTTTCACATGTATTTTTAACAGTATACATACTCTTCATCCACTCAACAAATAATTAATTGCTACTAGATACCTGGGACAGTGCTTGTATAGTTATGAAGAAGAAAAAGCTTGTTGTTCAGAAGCTCATAGTCTAATGGAGAGAAATAGATATTAGTTGAGTTGGTACTTTGGGAGCATGGAGAAAAAAGCACCTGGCTGCTTAGGATAGGTATAGACAGCTTCACAGAATTGGGCCTTGAAGTATGAGAGGTAGTTCATTCATATTCTGCAGCTATTTGGGTACCTACTTTGGACCAGGCGCAATACTAGAATACATTTGAGAATACAATTATGACATACAAGAGTCTTGTCCTCAAACAGCTTTTAGTGAGAAAGAGCAATATATACGTAATCCCAAGTGTGTGGTAAATGAGATAGTTGGTAAGCACAGGGATCTATGGAAGCATTGGGGTGGGGGTGGGGGCAGATCTTACTCTGGAAGGAGGACTTAGGGAAGGCTTTTGGGAGAGGTCATCTAAATTGGGTCCTGTAAAATGGGTCCACATTATCTAGGTGAAAAAGCAGATGTAAGAACCTTCCAGTAAATGAAATGGTATAGTGATTTGGTGGTGAGTGCACAGAATTCCAAATGGTTGGAGTGTAGCTAGAGTAGGTGAGTGGCGGTGGGTAAGGATGGAGGAGTGTGAAGAGCCAAGGCCATAAAGGACCTTACATATAGTGCTAATGAGCTTAGACTTTTACTTTGTCACTGTTTGGGTGCTTTGAAAGGTAGAAAATACTAATCTTGAAGGGTCTTTCTAACAGCTGGCAATTAACAGATTTTTATTTTATTTTTTTTTATTTTGAGACAGAGCTTGCTCTGTCACCCCAGGCTGAAGTGCAGTGGCACAGTCTTGGCTCACCGCAACCTCTGCCTCCTGGATTCAAGCCATTCTCGTGGCCTAGCCTCCCCAGTTACAGACACGTGCCACCACACCCAGCTAATTTGTATTTTTAGTAGAGACAGAGTTTCACTATGTTGGCCAGGCTGTTCTCAAACTACTGACCTCAGGTGGTCCACCTGCCTTGGTCCCCAAAAGTGCTAGGATTACAGGCGTGAGCCACTGCACCCAACCAGATTATTTCCTGTAAGTATAACTTACAGCAATTTTTTTAAAGGTATTCCAGGCAGTTGTTAAAGATTTAAACAGTAAGAGAGTGCCACTCGGTTCTGTTCCCCAGAGGAAGTCACTGTTGTTTCTTGAGTGTTCAAGCAGCATATTCTTAATATCAGAATAGTGTTAGAAACAAAACAGTTTCAAAAGGAGAAGGAGGGGCCGGGCACAGTGGCTCACGCCTGTAATCCCAGCACTTTGGGAGGCTGAGGTGGATGGATCCCTTGAGTCCAGGAGTTTGAGACCAGCCGGGGCAACATGGTGAAACCCCATCTCTACAAAAACATACAAAAAAAAAAAATAGCTGGGCTCAGTAGTGCAGGCCTGTAGTCCCAGGTACTTGGGAGGCTGAGTTGGGAGGATCACCTGAGCCCAGGAGGTTGAGTCTGCAGCAAGGTGTGATCATGCCACTGCATTCCAGCCTGGGCAACAGTGAGACCCTATCTCAAAAAAACCCAAAGCACCACATATCAAAAAAATTCCTTTACTATGGAATTCCCAAGTATTTTGTTGAGAAAATCTAAGTATTTGAATTAAATAGCAGACCTTCTTCAGAAAAAGATTAGGAAAAAGCCCTTACCGTAGTATATGAGGTACAGACTGGTTCAGGATCAAGATCCTTATTAATAGCCTGTGTCTATTTGAAATGGGAGAGTTCCCTGACCCCTGTTGCAGGATGTGCAACAGGGGAGTGGCTCATCTGTTCAGGCCACCGTCCATGCTCAAACCCCTTATGGGAGGGGGAGCACACAGACGGGCAGGTGCAGAAGCCGGGGCAAGTGCCCCTGGGCTCCGGCCCCCTGGCAGCATCCAGGGGTGGGAGCCTGCAGCTCCTGAAGCCCAAGTGGGCATGTGTTACAGTGAGCCCCTTTAGCCTTGCAGACGACTTAAGTGTTAACCAGCTAAGTACCCTCCTGGTACCCAGGTCCTTGTCTGGCATCCAGGAAGATTCAGGTTGTACACGGACTTGAAGGATGAATGCATGGGTTTTATCGAGTTGTGGAGGTGGCTCTCAGTGAGATGGATGGGGAGCTGGAAGGGGGATGGAGTGGGAAGATGATCTTCCCCTGGAGTTTGGCTATCCAGTAGGCAATTTCCTCTCTGACCATCCCCAGCCAAACTCCTCTCGGCGTTCAAACATTCCTTTTCTTTTCTCTGCTGTGCTGTTTTGCTGTTCTTCTGCTTCTCCATTTGTCTCCTTGTGGAGCAGGGGGTTTGGGGTTTTTAATGGGCACAGGATAAGGGGACATGGCAGACCAGAAGGCATCTTTTGGGTGCAAAAAAAGGAATGCCTCTTCCTATTTAGGGCTGCAGGTTTCCAGGCTTGGAGGTGGGGCCTTTGCTGGAGAGCTACCCTCCTCTACCCAGTATTTCCCTGTTTCCTGTCCGTATCATGTTGAGAGGGTATTTGAATGTGGAATGAAATTTATTCCAATTCTTAAACCTTTCTGCTTGTATAAAAGGTGTATGACACTTAAGATAATTCACCTGACCTTGGAGTACTTGGGAGGGAAAGTTTAAAAAGACTTATAAAGTAAATATGAAGTTTCAGTTTTAAAACATTGATCTATTTTGAAAAAGGGAATTACATTTATTAGATTGTCCTGATTTTCTTTTCTCTCTTCTCTCTGAGAACATAATATTAAATAGGCATTATGAACGCCTATATTAGGTGACTCATTCTCCTAATGCTTAAAATGAGTCTATAATATATATTAGATACTATTAGGTTGGTGCAAAAATAATTGCGGTTTTTGCCATTGAAAGTAATGGTAAAAACGCAATTACTTTTGCACCAACCTACTCTTAGGGGTAGTCAGGTGATCAAGAGGTTTCCAATTTGATTGACATAGTCCAGTAATGCTAGATAGATTTTTTTTTTTTCATTTTACTTAATAGTAAGTTGGGACCCTTGCAAACACTTATCTTCGGACATTCAGAGTGAAATAATTTTATAGTCTATACTTTTAAAAAATTCAGCATGTAGCAAGACCAAGGAAAGACTTTCAAAAAGGAAGAAAATGGTATAGCATTAGGCAATGCCATCTGCAGTTATTAAATATGATATTTTAAAAGCTTATATTTTCTCTTTCAAGGTAAGAATTTGGTAATATTGGTATAAGAACAAAAGTCTTTTGACCCAAGGCTTTGGTTTCAAGTTCTAAATGCCATTACTATGCCCTATATTTATTCTTTCATAAACACCCAATTTTGTTTTTAACATCAGTATTGAGATTTTTCTTATCAATTATGATATATTTTCAGGGCTGATTTGTGTGTTATAAACTGATTTATCAGGTAATCTGGGCATTTTAGGACATCTTAAATATTAAATAAATGATCATTTTGATCTTGTTTTCTTGGGAAAAAGACTTTAAAAAAATCATCCTATGTGCTACTCTTTCTTGAATCCACATGCATAAGCATTTGGTGCTGTTTTGGTAACCTTCAGTCACTAAGCTTCTCAGTGGTAAAATGATATCTTTATGAATACAGTTTGTATTGTAAAATTGTACTTTTGGGGGCGGTCTTATAGCTGTTTTAGGTTTTAAGTAGAGGTCAAAGTATTAAAAAAAATTGAAGAAGACATACTTAAATATACAGGCAAGCATAAAACCTTGTTTTAAACATTTAACTTAAAAAAAAAAATCAGAATTTTATCCCTCCATAGGAAAGGATAGTTTAAAATGAGCATGTCCAACCCACAGCTTTGAATGCGGCCCAACACAAATTCATAAACTGTCTTAAAACATTATGAGATTTTTTTGCAATTTTTTTTTTTTAAGCTCATCAGCTGTCGATAGTGTTACTGTGTTTTTTGTTGTTGTTGTTTTGAGACAGAGTCTCTCTCTGTTGCTCAGGCTGGAGTGCAGTGTTGTGATCTCAGCTCACTGCAGCCTCCACCTCCTGGGTTCAAGCGATTCCCCTGCCTCAACCTCCTGAGTAGCTGGGATTACAGGCGCCCACCACCATGCCTGCCTATTGTTTTTTTGTATTTTTAGTAGAGACGGGGTTTCACCATGTTGGCCAGGCTGCTCTTGAACTCCTGACCTCAAATGATCCGCCCACCTCAGCCTCCCAAAGTGCTGGGAATACAGGCGTGAGCCACCGTGCCCGACCAGTGTATTTTATATGTGGCTCAAGACAATTCTTCCAGTGTTGCTCAGGGAAGCCAAAATATTGGACATCCCTGGAAAACACTGCATACCTTGAAATTGAAGTTTTAACCGATTAGGACATGTTAAGAATTTAGAAAAATAAAGTTCTTACGCACAGTTTTTTCTAAATCTTTTGTTAATTGGGTAAAATGGTTGCCAGAGGTGATTGTGTTTTTTTTTTGTTTTGTCAACATCATAGAATTTATAAACTTTTTTATAAAGAGTATGACTTAGTTTTTTTTTTCCTGCAATCATATTTTCCAGTTGAAAAAGCTTTTGGCCATTACATTCAGCTATAAATTAGTAACAGTGTGCATATGATTTCTGATTATTTTTCCTCTTGAGCCAGAACTAGAAACTGGTCCTGTAATATCTGTGGATCTTGTTCTAATTATATATCCCTTTTTATTTGAAATACTTAGTATTTTCATTGCCTATATGGTGAATTCTGAGTTTTTTAACCTAACACACAATATTGAAATCTCTGCCCTGAAAAATTCCTAAACATCCTTGAAGTCTAGTTCTGTTACTACTTTCTCTCTGAAATCTTTTTTGATTACCTAGCTGGAAACGATCTAATCTCCCATTCTTTAACAGTACATTCCCTTGTATTAAAACTTCTTCTGTAAATGTCTTAGTCCTCTTCTAGATTATAAATTGTCTTACTCATTATTGTATCATCTACATTCATACATTGAACAAAAAGCACCAAGCACTGTTATAGATGCGAGGGAAAGAGCAGTGCAGGAGAATCTTGGTTCTTGTCTTCATGGGATTTATATTCCACTTTGGAAAACAATGATGAGAGAGACAGAAAATTAAATAAATACATAGATAGAGCTTTTCAGATCTCAAATGCTTAGAATGTGAAACTCCATCATGTGGTAGAAAGTGTGAGGATAGCACCAGTGCGTTGATAAGGTGATCATGGAAGGTGTGATCTTTGAAAATTTGACATTTTTGCCAAAACCTGAATGACATGAAGGACTAGTCATTTGAAGATTTGGAAGCAGAATTTTTGAGGCTGAACGAAAGGTAGTTCTAAGGCATAAGAAAGAGGTAGGTGAGGAAGGACAGGAGAAGTGATAAGAATCAGATCTAGATTATGCAGAGTTGTAAACCAAGGTAAAGAATTTAAAATTTATTCTGATTACACTGGGAAGCCAATGAACAGTTTGAAGTTTTTAAGGGCTCATGTCATTACATTGGGTCTACCCAGGATAATCTCATGATTTTAAGGTCAGCTAACTAATAAACTTAATTTTATCTGCCAAGTTCCTTTTACCATATAATGTAGTATATTCACTAGAGTAACACCAGAGGGCAAGTCTTCAGGGCCTAAATGCTGCCACATTTTGCATGCATAAGTTTTATTTAATCTAATATATATTTAGTATCTTACAAGGGCAGTGAAACAGAACTAACTTAGGGTAGCTGAGTTGTTGAGTCATCACAGTTTTTCTGATTTATTTTGCCTTTACTAATATGCCCACTCCTTGGCATTACCTCTTATTTGCTAATGCCCATACGATAACCCCAAACTCTGTTTCTCTTTAGTTATTTAACTAAATTAACATAAAGATGTCTCCTGCATTTAAAGAAATTTTGTTCCAGATATTTTCCAGAGAGATCTGTATTTTCTCATGGATAAAAATTTATGGGTGGATTCATTGTAGATTCTAAAAGGACATTTTCAAATCTGTTTGAGTTTTCTTATTTTTACCTATTCTGATTATAATAAATCCATTCATTCAATAAATATTTATCAAGTACCTACTGCTGCAGAGCCAGCTACTATATAGTAAGCATCAGAATGATAACAGTTGAACAAGTAACTTTTTATGAGGGATGAGGCTTGAAAAAGTACAAGCTGCTCTGAAAGGTACCTTAGTGAAGGAAATTGCTGCTGAGACATGGAGGATGAGGCAATATAGTCAGCATTGGCTTTGAAGGCGGACTGCCATTTCACTGTTGGGTGAATTTGGATACTTTTTAAAATTTCTTTGAGCCTCAATTTTCCATGCATGTGAATAGTGATACCTTTATCTCTATAGAAGTTTTGTTAGATTGAATATATGAAAATGCCTAACGTAATGTTTGCCACTGGTTTAGAAGCATATTTATCATGAAACTGATGAAGTTTAGTGAACCTAATTGCATGGCCCTTTCTAAGGCCCTTGCAGGAGCAGCCCTAGCAATCTTGAATTAATTTGTGTTTTTCTTAAGGACCCTCCCACCCAGCTGCCCCTTTATTATAGGCTGCTGGTCACCACAAAATCTGAATCTGCCTTTGGCCACAGGTTAAGTGAGAAATGTTAATTTCTCTCTCCTCTAATGTTGTGACTTCAGTTAGTGTCGAACCTAGAAGTACTTAACTTAAAAAAAATGGAAAGAAATTATATATATTAGGTTGTAGGAATTTTATAAAATTCAGAAAAACCGAAATTCTTGTAATTCCTAGGGAGGAAACATGATGTTTTATCTCTCTCTGCTTTTCTCTGTGTACATACGCAATTTATTTTTTAAAAGCTAGTTTATATCATATTAAACAGACAATATTCTGCATTTTCACATAATATATGGATTATATAATTATATATCATATAATTATATTTTACAACGTAATTTTAATCATCTTATAAATGTGCCAAAAGTATAATTAACCAAGCTGTTGTTAGTAATTGTTGAGGTTTTTTCTAACATTTCAGTAGTACAAGTAATGCCAAATTACAAATCTTTGTAGGGGTATCTGTACATAGGATAATTTCTTTTAATTGGGCTTGCTTGAGTATAAGAATTGCCTTTGTCCATTTTCTGCTACTATAACAAAATACCTGAGACTGGGTAATTTATAATGAACAGAAATTTATTGGTTCATAGTTATAGGAGCTGAGACGTCCAAGAGCATGGCACCAGCATCTGGTGAGGGCCTTCTTATTGTGTCATCCCAAGGTGGAAGGAGGAAGGACAGGAGACGGCCAGAGCAAGCAAGGGATCAAATTTGTAGCCTCAGGCTTTTTAATAAAACACATTAATCCATTACTGAGGGTGGAACGTGAATACCTCCCATTAGGCTGCAGCTCCCAACACTGTTGCATTGGGGATTAAATTTCCGACACAGGCTTTTGGGGGACATACTCAAATCGTGGTAAACATTTTAAAGACTTATATGTCCTCACTGACCCTACAATATTATTTTAAAATATCATTGCCTATTTTTATAGTACTCTTGTGTTTATTTCTATTTCTTTGATCATTTGATATACTAAAACATTCTTCTGGGTTTTTTTGGTTTTGTTTTGTTTTGTTTTAGACAGAGTCTTGCTCTGTTGCCCAGGCTGCAGTGCAGTGGCGTGATCTCTGTTCACTGCAGCCTCTGCCTCCCGGGCTCAAGTGATTCTTGTGCCTCAGCATCCCGAGTATCTGGGACTACAGGCATGTGCCACCTCGCCTGGCTAAGTTTTGTATTTTTAGTAGAGACAGGGTTTCGCCATGTTGGCCAGGCTGGTCTCAAACTCCTGGCCTCAAGTGATCTGCCCACCTTGGCCTCCCAAAGTGCTGGGGTTACAGGCATGAGCCATTGCACATGACCAGAACATTTTTCTATGTATTTATTAGTCCTTCATATTTTTTCTCATGTTAATTGCCAGTACTTATGCAAGATACCGGGAAAGCTTTTTGACAGGAAGAAGTAAGTTTCTTTCTCCTGTAAGCAAGTCCTGAGGCTGTATAACACTCCAAATTAAAAGGCTATTTCAAAATGGTTTCCCTACTGTAGTGCAGTGGGAACTTCGAGAGCAGAATCTAAAGGAGTGCTTGGTGTTTCTCATCCCTGGCAGCACATACCAAAGCTTGGGCACTACCCACAGATTCTTTCTTGGTGTTTTAAAAGCTCCTCGGAGTACTAAAGGGATTCTGCAGTGTAACAACTAAGCTCAGAAACTTAGTCCCGTGGCTGCATCACAACATTTGTTTTTCCATATACAGGGGCCAGAGTTTTAACTTAGAATATTCCGTTTCCTCAGTAGAAGGTTATATTTTACAATAATATTATTTAACAATTGCTCTACTATTATTCCGTGAGGGCATCTTAATTGAATGCCCTTTGCGGGTTAATTTAAAATCACTTTTTAAAATAATGTTTAATGAACACCTATGTAGAAAACATTGTGATATACACCATGAGATATGAGACAAAATCAGGTGAGGGCTCTTCCCTTGGGATTTTAATAGTCAGGAATGGGATAAGAGGTGTATACACACAGGTACAAAATGTGTTTGTGCCATAAAAGATGTAGGAACAATGAAGGGAAAAGGAGATGAATTGATTCTAGGTGGGTTGCTGGATTACTTCATGGGAATTTATGTTTAAGCCAAACCATGATTTGGGCCAGTAGAGCAATTAATCATCCTTTACTTTAAAAAATTGTTTCAGTTTATAAAGCTTGTTCATAATACATAATGATCCTTATTACAGCTCTGCAAGATAAGTCAGTTATTCCCATTTTATAGATGAAGGAGTAGTCAAGCCTTAGAAAAGTTAAATGACTTTTCCAGCGTTATCAAGCTACAAAGTGAAAGATTCAGAACTTGAACCTAAGTCTTCAATCTCCATATGCTGGAGCCTTCTAAAGTATCTCAGTAGAGTAGCGAAGAGCTATATGAGTAAGAAACTATAAGTTTTAGAAAGGGCTGATAGTTAATTTTATTATTAGGATGGAAGTTCTGAAATAGTTGGAGATAAAGCTATAGTATGGTCAGCAGAATAATGGCTCCCTACAAATGTCTGCTTCCTAGTCCCCAGAATCTATGAATATGTTAGGTTATGTGACAAAAGGGAATTAAAATGGCTAATGAGGTAACTTTAAAATAGGAAGATCATCCTGGATTATTGACGTGGGCCAAATGTAAGGGTCTTTAAAGAGGTTACTTAAGAGTGGAAGAGGGAGGCAGAAAAATGAGAGTCAGAGAAGGAGATTTGAGAAGGGGCAAGGTCAGTCCTGCAGAATGAGAAAGACTCAGTCCACCATTGCTTGCTCTGAAGATGGAAGTGAAGTGCTATGAACCATAAAATACAGTGGATCTGTAGAAGCCAGAAAGGATAAGGAAACAGATTCCCCCTTAGAGCCTCTAGAAAGAAGTGCAGCCCTGCAGACACCTTGGTTTTAGCCTAGTGAGACCCATTTTAGACTTCTGACCTACAAAACTGTAAGTTATCAAATGTGTGTTTTAAGACACTAAATTTGTGGTAATTTGTTTTGGCAGCCATAGGACATTTAATACGCCTAGGAACTATTTTATTGTAGGAAGACTAATTAACATGACCTCAGGGCACTCCATGACTAAACTCCAAACTGTCTCTGTTCCACTGTCAGCAGTAGAAAGACATGGAATGTTCTTGAGCAAAAGTGTGAAGAACTATTTTGGTGTTTGCTGATTAGAGAGGATATTGGTGAGAGGAAAATTAATTAAGATTCTATTAGATGCTAGGAACACTTCTTTTGAGACTCACTCCTTGAGGTAACATAGAACATACTGGTAAGTCTTGCCCGTAGAAGACTATGAATATATCTCCCAGTCCTGTGTGGCTGCTCACGTCTGTAATCACAGCACCTTGCGAGGCCAAGGCAGGAGGATCACCTGAGGTTAGGAGTTCGAGGTTACAGGGAGCTGTGCTTATGCCACTGCACTCCAGCCTGGGTGACAGAGCAAGACCTCGTCCCTGAAAAAATGGGAGATGGTTAGGTGGATGGATAGACAGACAGACATATAGATAAAGATAGACACGTGGGTCAAGATCTCCCACTTAGTTTATACATCACTGAAAATCTCATTGCCATTGTAACATTTCACCTCGTTCTCGTATCCCATGAAAAATACAGAACCAGTTAGGCACACATCTAACTTATCTCTTCTTAGGCTTTTCCATCGTACCATAACTAACTATAAGATCCGAACACTGAAAGGTTTCTAAATCTGAGCTTTATTTGATGCCTTAGTACCTGTAGAAGTTAAATTTATACTAGTAACTGTTTTTTCAATGCATAATTATTATTTTGAAAGAAAAAAAAAGCTTGTTGATATCTGTAGGCATAACTCTATTCTATGTCTAAGGTCTTCGGTAAAGAGAGACGATTAAGTTTATCAGTAAAGCACCAGAGTCAATTAAGGCGACTGAAAGGAGCACTAATTTTAATTCATTTTACACTAGTTAATATTGTCAATATTCTTCTTGTCAGTTTTTTAAACCAAAAGTCTTAAATTAGGCCAAAAGTGCCTAGGTAAAAATGGAATGGAAAGGGTTTTCTTGTGTGTGTGTGTGTGTTTTTTTTTTTTTTTGAGATAGAGTCTTGCTTTGTCACTGAGGCTGGAGTACAGTGGTGTGATCTCGGCTCACTGCAGCCCCCACCTCCCAGGTCCAAGAGATTCTCATGCCTCAGCCTCCCAAGTAGCTGGGGAATGTAATATTTAAGACATTAAGAATCCTATTAATCCTATTTAGTCATTTTTTTTTGTAGCTGCAGAAGGTTCAGAAGGGTTTTTTAAGTTGAATTATATGTTCATATTTACAACATTTACATATGAAACCATTTACTAAAAGCAATGAAGCTGGTTATAACAAACACTGATACTGAAAATAAGAGATATGTTTGTCAGTGCGGTCTTTAAACAGTGTTACACAATTTATTTCTGTTTCATTTTGATCAGAAAAAATATATATATCTTTTGAGACATGGTCTCTGTTGCACAGGCTGGAGTACAATGGCGAGATCTCGGCTCACTGCAACCTCTGCCTCCTGGGTTCAAGTGATCCTCCCACCTCAGCCTCTAGAGTAGCTAGGACCACAGGCGCGTGTCACCACAGCTGGCTAATTTTTTTGTATTCTTGGTAGAAATGAGGTTTCGCCATGTTGCCCATGCTGGTCTCCAACTCCTGAGCTCAAGTGAACTGGCCACCTCGGCCTCCCAAATTCCTGGGATTATAGGCATGAGCCACTGCACCCTGCCCAGAAAATATTTTTAATGCATACATATATATATATATATATGTATATGTAGTGTAAATAACATCTTCAATCAAATAGAGATGGCAGGAGCTTTATTCTGAGCTATGTGCAAACTTGATAAGACAAGGTAATGCTTCAGTAATTTTCCATGCTGAAATTTGGCCCAGTATACTTTGATTATATATCTATATTTAATTATAGTTTTAAAATAGCTAAGCAGTTTTAAAAATTCAAATTAAACTTTTGTGGAATCTCTAAAAATAAGAAAAATATTACTGAGTAATTGGCAACATAAAATACAAAATGTTTAACTTGGCTTTCTTTTAGATTTGAAGCATAGTGACTAATGAACATATAATGGTCGTAGCTTTCTTTACAACTATGTCATTTAAGTCACTGATGAATATCTATGATACATGCAGTAAAAATTTAGACAAACATTTTGGCTACAAACTGGTTTACTAAATAATAGCTTGTATCATAGTCTGAGTCAAGAGTAATAGGCTTACAATTGTGTCTTAGGGTACTAAGAAGTTCTTTTGAGGACCTTTTAAAAGGTATTCTTTGTTTTGAAAGACTGTTTTCCTTCTGGAAGTTCTAGGCCTTATGAGAAATTACCTATTCTGAATTTGTCACAAAAAATGACTTGTAAATAAGTCCTGTGCAGTGAATCATGTGCTTTCAGTAAGAGGATTTTGAAAGCCTTTTGTAAAATGAAGTCATTCTCAAAAGAGAGTTATTTAGAATATAATCAAATTGATTTACATGCTTTTATTTATTTCAAATATGAAGGGAAATTGTTTCTAAATATATTTAAACTTTTAATAGAACAGTAGTATGCCATCAGTGTGGAAATAACTCACTTGTTAAATAAATATTTGGGGTGTATTTGCTGTATATCAGGCATTGTAACACAGGGACTAATGAAAGAGAAAAAAAACAAAGCACGAAAGGACAGCAGAAATAGCTCCATAATCTCACTTTCCAGGAATAACCTCTATGGACATTTTGTTGTGTGTCTATTGCTTTTCTAATATATACATTTTTTAATCAAATGGAATTGCCTCAAATATGCTATTTAATAGCTTGCTTCTTTTCATACTATTTGAAAATTAAGAAACGATTATAATATGCTTCATTTAAAAACTTTAAGTTTAGGCCGGGCACAGTGGCTCACGCATGTAATCCCAGTACTTGGAGGGACCGAGGTGGGCGGATCACAAGGTCAGGAGATTGAGACCATCCTGGCCAGCATGGTGAAACCCCGTCTCTACTAAAAATACAAAACTTAGCTGGGCATGATGGCACGTGCCTGTAGTCCCAGCTACTTGGGAGGCTGAGGCAGGAGAATCGCTTGAACCCGGGAGGTGGAGGTTGCAGTGAGCGGAGATTGCACCACTGCACTCGCCTGGTGACAGAGCAAGACTCTATCTCAAAAAACAAACAAAGAAAACTTGAAGTATAGTATCCTTTTAAATTTTAAATAGATAATAGAAACTGGTTTCCCCCCATTTAAACCAGAATTTAAGTTTAACTTTATATATTCTTGACAGTTTGGATTTTGTCCTTCAACCTCATAAAATTGGGAATTTAAGCATCACCTGGTTCGATTTAAATGCAATGTAGAATTTGCATTAAAATACTACATTAAAGCCTCAGATTTGTAGTAGCTAACAGCACTTCTATGTATGTGTCAGGGACTGCTCTAAATACTTCATATATATTAACTCCTCTATTCTGTACTTCTGTTCCCGTTTTATACAGCAGGAAATTGAAACACTGAGAGGTTAAGTAACTAAAGTTACAGAGCTAGAGTGACAGGAGTAAAGCTTCAACTCAGGCAACCCAGACTTCCAGAGTTCTGATCTCCACTACTAAGCTGCTAGCATAGCTTTTCTGGTAACTATTTTTAATTCAAATATAATTCGAGTGATCTATCTAACAAGTCATCACTCTGACAACTCAGTGACTTGTAATGTAAAATTATTCATTGTAATTCATTTAATATTATTGTTTCTCTGTGCTGCAAAAATCATAGCAATCGAGATGTAATTTATTACTCTCCCTCCCACCTCCGGCATCTTGTGCTAATCCTTCTGCCCTGCGGACCTCCCCCGACTCTTTACTATGCGTGTCAACTGCCATCAACTTCCTTGCTTGCTGGGGACTGGGGCCGCGAGGGCATACCCCCGAGGGGTACGGGGCTAGGGCTAGGCAGGCTGTGCGGTTGGGCGGGGCCCTGTGCCCCACTGCGGAGTGCGGGTCGGGAAGCGGAGAGAGAAGCAGCTGTGTAATCCGCTGGATGCGGACCAGGGCGCTCCCCATTCCCGTCGGGAGCCCGCCGATTGGCTGGGTGTGGGCGCACGTGACCGACATGTGGCTGTATTGGTGCAGCCCGCCAGGGTGTCACTGGAGACAGAATGGAGGTGCTGCCGGACTCGGAAATGGGGTAGGTGCTGGAGCCACCATGGCCAGGCTTGCTGCGGGGGGAGGGGGGAAGGTGGTTTTCCCTCGCACTGTCTTAAACCGATGGCCTTTCCTTGGCACAGGGTCCACTGCAGCATGCCAAACGAGGAGGCAGGGGCGTCGTCCCCCCGCCCCCCACTGCAGCACTGGAGATGGATTTCCTGTACTTCGGATCCAGGGTTTTTGACAGAAGAGGAAGAAGGGGGAGGGGTAGAAGTGTTAAGGGGAGTCTGCTGAGAAAAGCTGTTTTTGAAGCCAGAAGGGGTTTTTGTTTTTATAATGCCATTTGACAGAGTGGAATAACAGTATCTAAGGAAACGGGTAGAGGACAACAAAGAATGGAGCATATTCATGGCGAGGAGCAAAAGCTCTACCCCATTGAAAGGCTTCTTTTCCTCCCTGGCGACAAGGACACATGCATTGGTGGCCAAAAGAGAGAGGAGACAAAACCGCTGCAGATGGCTGATGTGAATCTAGTGGAAAGAGCTACTGGGGATGAGAGAAAGAGGAGGAGGCAGGTACTGCAGAGCGTGAGTGGTGGTGTTGGTTGGTGAAATACTGGTCACCAGTAGTGTGCCTGCTTTTGTAAAACATCTAAGTAAACTCCCTGTGAACAGGGTGGCAAACAGATACCAGTGTCTTTGTTAGTTACAAAATGCAGTGGTAGTGGCTTTTTGCGGACGACTGCAGCAGTGCTTTTTCTCCCTCTGTTAGGCCGAAAAGACAACTGCAGAGGAATAAGAAACCTTGCAGCAAATGCTGGGGTAGAAGCCCATTTACAAGAAGCCATAGTTTATAAATGCAGCCTGAACAGCAGAAAAAAAATTACTGTTTTTTAAAGTAGGAATAATGTCAGGCTATGAATGTTTTGTCATTGGAATGTATTGGACACTTTGATTCTACATCACGAAAGTGATGCTCAAATTCTTTGATTTAACATAAATCCTATACGAAATCTTAATAAATTATGTATGAAACAGTGGATCTTTTCTTTTGTTAGTGAAGCTTTTATGCCATTAATTAGGTCATTCAAGAGCAAACCACTTTACAACGTAAATTACTTTGTCAAAAATTATGGTGAACAAATTTTTGTAGGCCTAATATTTAAGACCTATAGTTAAGTAATTTTATATTTCTCTTTGGTTGCTTTTAGATAACACTGAATAAATATTTAAGATATTAATTCAGTGTGCAAATATTTTAAATTAAAGCAACATGGCTTTTCTTCTAGATGTATTTCTGTTTAGTGAGTACTCATGAGATATACTCTTGATATAAAGTGTTTTTCATTGAGCTTTTTTTTCCTTTACCTAAATGTAAAAGCCTATCTTTATGCATACTTATAGTAGCCAGCCTGCCACACCTCCCCACTCCCTGAACAAGGATGGCAGTGGCTTTGTAAAGCCCTCCAGGGTCAGTGACAGTGTCTCTTAAATAATGTTTATGTAATAGAAAGTCTTAAGATGACCTATTATATTGTTTCAGTAATATTTTCAAGATAATGCGGAATTGGGCTGGCTTAGATAAATAAGACTACATAAGTTTTTCACTGATAAATTTAAATAGTTCTTTAAAAAATTATTTCTGCTTTAAGAATTACTTGATCATGGATATCAGGGTTAATAGTACTTAGGAGCCGGGCGTGGTGGCCCATGCCTGTAATACAAGCTAAACAGGAGGCTGAGGGAAGCTGAGGCAGGAGGATCACTTGAGCCTTGGCGTTCAAGACCAGCCTGGGCAACCAAGCAAGACCCTATCTCAAAAAAAAGTACTTAGAGTCTCTTTTTTAAAATCTGATGGAAACTATGGCTAGAACTAAAGATGTCACATTAAAATTCCAAATGACATTTAACAGCTAATATTACTCAGTTCTTTGAATTCCATTAGCATAGTGTTTGAGAGTCTATAAAACTATTATTTTTACATAAATTACCTTTTACCATTTTAACAGCTCATTGTAGCATTATTTTTATTTTAAATGTTAGAGACTCCTATTCAAGTATGTTGTGACTTTATCCAAGGTCAAATATTGTATAACAATGTAAAGAACTTAAGTCTTCTATTTTATTCTAATTCTATAAAACTATAATGCCTTTTATTACATACATACAAAATAATATATAACAGAGGTAATTTGAAAAACAGTGTAAGTCACTGACAAATTATTCAAAAAATGAAAAGGCAATCCTACTTGGTTGTGGATTTTTATCTACAATATAAGAATGCTTTAAAAAATACCTGGTGACTAAGCAAATGGAGAAGCAGCAGTTTTCATAATGACATTCATAAACGACTTTTTAAAGATCGTCTTATTAATCATATGAACACATTTAAGTAGAACAGTGTTAGATTGAGATGTTTTTCTGAATTAAATAAGAAATAAAGAACTAAAGTTTATTTCATTCCTCTTGTAGTATATCTAATCTATGACTGACCTATTGGCTTTAGTGGTCTTTGAAATTATTCACTGCTCTGATATGGCCTGAATTGTGCTGTTTAAGGAATTTAAAATTAAATATTCATAAATGTTTTATGAACTGAATTTAAGCTATTGAAGTTTTTGTTTTTTGTGTTTTTTTTTCTTTTTTTTTTTTTTTTTTTGAGACAGGGTCTCACTTTGTCAACCCAGGCTGGCGTGCAGTAGCAAACATGGCTCACTTGCAGCTTCAACCTCGCAGGCTCAAGTGATGCTCCCACTTCAGCCCTCCAGGTAGCAGGGACTACAGGCACATACCACCGTGCACAGCTAATTTTTATATTTTTTGTAGAGATGGGGTTTCACCATGTTGCCCAGGGTGGTCTCGAACTCGTGAGCTCAAATGATCCTCCCACCTCAGCCTCCCAAAGTGCTGGGATTTACAGGTGTGAGCCACCATGAAGTTTTTCCATTTGCATTAATTGCTCTGTAGATTTTACCATTTTTGTCTGTTTTATAAACTGTTACTCATTTTATGAAATTTAACCAATCTTTTATACTTGTATATGTTTAAATGATCTTTTATACTTGTATATGTTTAAATGTTCTCTTCAATTTTGATCTCCCTTCTCCCCCTTTTCTTGTATTAGAATCTGAAACCTACCTATGCAGCACATAAAATGGGATAGAGTATTATGGTTCAGAAAAGATGGGTAATAGTTTAGGAAATATATTCACTACATATTTATTAGGATACCTTCTAAATATCATCTTTGAAAAATGCTGGAGTCAAATAAGACACGTAAACTAATCTCTAAGAAAACTCATGGTAGAATTATGTGAAATTTCATTACAAGTTAAACACTGCTTTGGCTACTCCTAGGATATTTAAAGATTTATATAATCTAAGATATCCTCTAATTTAGAAGAATATGGTGGATTGCTGTTTGAAACACTGCTTTTTCATAAAATCTGCTTAGAGTCACAGAGAATTTTTGAAAACTAAATTACTTTTGAAGTACTAAGTATCTTGAATGTACAATGAGAACATTAGGTGAATAGGTATGTTCTCAAAAGTTGACTTTGTAAATCAAATCATACATCATCAGTTGATACAAGGTAAGCCTTCTCCCCTTTATTCTCACACCCTGCACCCACTCTTCTTGTGTGTTTAATATGCATAAATTCTTGAGAAATAGCATCATTTTGTGAGTCTGTTTTTTACAGTTAATGAGATTTTTAAAAAAATTTTATTGTGATAAATATACATAAAATTTACCATCTTAAGCACTTTTAATTGTACAGTTCTGTGGCATTAAGTTCATTCACATTGTTGTGCAACCATCACCACCACCCATCTCTAGAAATTTTTAATCTTCCCTAATTAAAACTCTGTGCACATTAAACACTAACATGCCATTTTCCCCTCCCCCCAACCCTTGGCAACCACCACTCCACTTTTTGTCTCAAAGAATTTGACTATTCTGGGAACCTCTAATAAGAAAAACCATTTAATATTTATTCTTTTGCACCTGGCTTATTTCACTTAGCATAATGTCTCGAAGGTTCATCCATACTGTAGCCATGTGTCAGAATTTCTTTCCTTTTTAGGTCTAAATGATGTTCCATTGCATGTATATGCCACATTTTGTTCATTCATCTGTCAGTGGACACTTCAGGTTGTTTCCACCTTTTGTCTATCATGAATAATGCTACTATGAACGTGGGTGTGCAAGTGTCTGCTTGGGTTTTACTTTTTTTGTGTGTACTCAAACCTGTGTTTTTAATTTACATAATTTTTGAACATTATTAACTCAATACTGTTTTTAAGATCTATCCATTTTACTTTATGTCCATCTAGTTTGTGATGCTAACTCTGCTCTATAGTATTCTATAGTACCTATCACTGTTCCTCCAGTGAAGGCCGTAAGTTTTCTCCAAATCCCGTTAACCACAAACACCTTTATGATATACATTCTTATACATATCTCCTTGGACTATGTTATTTATGTATTTCTGTATAACAAATTGTACCAAAACTTAGTGGCTTAAACAGTTTCTGTGGGGCAAGAATTCAGGAATGTCTTAGTTGGATGGTCTGACTGAGGCAGGATCTCTTATGAAGTAGCAGTCACGATGTCAGTCACAGATACAGTCATCTGAAGGGCTTGACTAGACTGACGGATCTTCTTCCAAGATGGCTAACTCACATAGTCTCAGTTTTTCATTGGCTATTGGCAAGAGACCTCAGTTCCTTGTCACGTGGGCCTCTCCATGGGGCTGCTTGAATGTCTTCATGACATAGCAGCTGGCTTCCCTCAATGATTCTAACAGAAAGGCCATTTATGACCTAGACTCAGAAGCCACACACCATTGCTTCTGCTGTATTCTCTTTATTAGATATGAGTCACTAAGTCCAGCCCACCAAAGAGAGGAATTAGGATCCACCTCTTAAAGGAGTAGGGTCAAAGAATTTATGATATATTTTAAGATCATTACATCGACCAGTGAAACAGTTTCACTGGATTTATCCCTAGGAGAGGGATCACTGGATAATAAGGGCATTGTTTCCTATTGCTGTTGTAACAAATTAACACAAACTTAGTGGTTTAAGAGAACACAAATGTATTATCTTGCAGTCCTGGAGATCAGACACGGTTTTCACTGGACCAAAATCAAGATATCAGTGGCTCTGCGTCTCCTCTAGAGATTCTATTGAAGAATCCATTTTCTTGCTTTTCTTCAGCTTCTTGCATTCCTTGTCTCATGGCCTCTTTCTCCATCTTCAGTGCCAGCAGCATTCTAAATCTCTCTCTGAATCTGACCCTCTGCTGCTCTTGTCACATATTCTTCTCTGACCCTTCTGCCTCCTTCTTAAAAGAACCTTTGTGATTACATTGGGTCCACCCAGATAATCCAGGAAAATCAGCTTCAAGATCTTTAACTTAATCACATCTGCAAAGTTCCTTTAGCCACATAAGGTAACACATTCATAAGTTTTGGGGACTAGGATTTGGCCATCTTTGTGGGGCCATACACAGGCATACTCATCTGGTTCTCCATTTTTTTTAAGCTGAAGGATTTTTTTAGTTATTTTTACTTTTGCGAATGTGTGTTACTTTCTTTTGGTAATTTCAGATTTTCATTTACCAAGTTTATTTAAAGCATAGTATAATATATAATGATCACCAAGATGGTAAGCAGATATTCATTGTTCAATTAGATTCTTGATTTTATCATCACTTAATTTATATCAGTGTATCAGCTACTTCTGACATAGTCTGTAATAGAAACTGAGAAACGTTAAAGCAACACAGCCTTATTAAATTTCTCTTTGTATCTTTTAGACTCGTTATAACACCAGTTCTGTGGGCGCTTTGTTGAAACTTGATCTGTCATTGTCTTACCAGTCATTGAACTTAGGGCCACTCTAATCCAGTATGACCTCATCTCAAACTTGATCCATTTATGAAGACTCTGTCCTCAAATAAGGTCACATTTGACATGACATTTTTTGGTGTTTTTTTGTTTGTTGGTTTTTTTCCCTCTGTTGCGCAGGCTAGAGTAGCTTCTGGGCTCAAGCAGTCCTCCCAACTGAGCCTCCCAAGTAGCTAGGATTACAAACATGTGCCACCACAGCTGACTAATTTTTAATTTTTTTTTCATAAGGAGAGAGTCTCACTATATTGCACAGGCTGGTCTCGAACTCCTGTCTACAAGTGATCCTCCCACCTCAGCCTCCCAGAGTGCTGGGATTACAGGTGTGAGCCACTGTGCTCACACCTGTAACATATCTTTTTATGAAACACAGTTCAACCCATAACACTCCCTTAATACTTGGTACCTTGTGAATAATAAGATACCTAAATATGGTACCTTGTGGATAACAAGGCATATTGTCTTACTTTTTTTATGGAAAAGTCATCTTGGACATTCTCTGAACTTGTGCCCTCTCTTTCTGTTGTCTGCCCTCTGTGGCTGATAATGCACCCTTTCTGTTCATTCTTACGTGTATATTTGTCTTTTATATGGCTGTCGCTGAGTAAAGCATTTTGGGAATTACAAAAGCTAAGTATTAGATATAGACCTTGTCTTCAAGATATTTATGCTCCAGCTGGGAAGACAAAACACCCCAAGGTAAAATGGAATAATTTGAGAAGTTAGGCCAAATTGTATAGTATTTACTGTTCAGCCAGCAGGAAGATTCATTATTGGCTAGAGACATCAGGAAGGTTTTGTGTAAGAAACTGAGCTGGGCCTTAAAGGATGAGGATATATTATAACAGCAGAGGAAAAAAGGATGTGGTATTCAGAAAGGGGAGGAGGTATAAACAAAAATATAAAGGTAAGAAATAGTTTGTAGAGGAAAGTGAGGAGAGACTTACTTGAGGAAGGTTATCTTGGAACTTAATAGGAAATAAGTTTTGAAGGTAGACTATTATCAGATATAATAGATTGTGAACACCAGACAGAAGTTATACAGTCTTTGAGAGCATGAGCATTAAAAACAAGTACAGATTTGAATTCTGGCATAGGCTCTTGATATGTGTTCTTAGGGAAGTTATCTACTGTTTTGGAGTTCCATTTTTCTTAACTCAAAAATGAGTAACACCTACCTCATAGGTGGTTGTGAGGATTAAATGAGTTAATATATAGAAAGCATTTACATTACGTGAGATATTGTAAGTACTAAATAGATATCAGGCTTTCTGAATTTCACATATCAAATACATAAAAAATAAGGGCATATATAGGATTTAAATAATATGCTGGTCAGTTATAGAACTTTATATACTTTTCCTTTTAAAACATTTTTAGTAAAATTTTTATGAAAATTAGTCAAGGCAAACCTTTAAAAATTTTCAGATGGTAACAATTTTATAAGCAATAGTCTTCCATTAATCTAATAAGCAATGTATCAATGACAATAAAAAGATGACTCAAAAAGCCTTATATACCTAACAATTGAGACAGATCTTTGAAGTATCCCCTAGATCAAAGAGGAAATCAAGATGGAAGTCATGAGTTATCTGGAAATAAAGAGGGGAACACTTCATACTAAAACTTGTGGAATGTAGATAAGGCTGTACTAAGAGAAAAATTGATGTCCTTAAAATTTATATTATTAAGGATGAAACGAATAAGTGAATGTTTAAGTAAAGTAAGGAAATAAATGAATTAATATTCACTTTATTATTATTATTATTATTATTATTATTTTTTGAGACGGAGTCTCACTCTGTCGCCGAGGCTGGAGTGCAGTGTTGCAATCTCGGCTCACAGCAACCTCCACCTCAAGCGATTCTCCTGTCTTAGCGACCCCCCCACCCCACACCATAGCTGGGACTACAGGCGGGTGCCACCACGCCCAGCTAATTTTTGTATTGTTAGTAGAGACAGGATTTCACCATGTTGGCCAGGCTGGTCTCAAACTCCTGACCTTGACCTGCCTCGCAAAGTATGGGGATTACACGCGTGAGCCACCACGCCAGCCTTTCACTTTAAATAACTATTAAAAATAACAAAGTAAACCAAAGGAAAATAAGAGGATATAATTAGTAAAGATAAAGAAATTGATAAAATAGAAAATAAAGTAGTGGAAAGTATGTGTTGATGTTTTTGTTTGTTTTGGTAAACACCAATAAAATAAATGAAACCCTAAAAAGTTTAAAGGAATAAAAGGCAAACAGAACATCAGTGAGAAAAGATACCTTCAGATAAAGAATTTTTAAATGACAGAATATATACAACTCTGACAATACATTTGAAAAACTAGAGGAAAGAAATAGTTTACTAGTGAACTATTAATGAATAAAATTAATACAAGATGGAGAAAGCATTAAAAGAGTAAATCACAGAAGAAACTTTAAAATACTTTAAAAAAATCTTAGCTCTAAAATGGCACCTCTTTTGAGTATCCGTCACTTTGATAAGAAAAAAGAAAAAAGGCACCTTCTGATTTGAATTCTAGCTGACTTTCAAAGAATAGACACTATTCAAACTATTCCAGACCATATAAAAAGATGAGATAGCATAAGCTTAATTGAAAACCTTATTTCAAAATACTATAAAAATTTAAAACTATACATTTTCTCTTTAAAAATTCTAAGTGAAATATGGAAAAATCAACAGGCTCGTAAAAGCATAAAACATGAACAACTGGGGTTTATTTCAGGAATGGAGGATAGGTCAACATTCAAAAATCTTATAACTGACTGCATCAAGAAATTAAAAGAGAAACGATATGATTATACAAAAAAGTGCTATTTACGTTCAGCAACCACTACTAACAAAAACTTTAAACTCAAAGGAAAATGCCTAAACATGTTTAAAAAATTTACTGAAATCTGAGTAAGAATATTAAATAGTGAAATAATATGCCATTCTTATTAAAATCGAGAATAAGATAGTTTATTCGACATTTTAAAGTTTCAAGCTAACAATAAAACGTGAAAAAGAAGTGAGGTACAAATGCAGGAAAGAAGAGTCACAAGTATCATCACTTACAGATTATATGATTGCATACCCAGAAAATCCACTGGAAACCCTATTGGAATTCATAGAATCATTTGATAAGGTGGCCACACAAGGGTTATGAGTTAAATAGAATTAGTAGCTTTTATATATACTAGCAATATTTGTTTTTCTTTCTTTCTTTTATTAAGAGAAGGGGTCACACTGCATTACCCAAGCTGGTCTCACTCAAGTGATCCTCCAGCCCCAGCCTTCCAAAGTGCTTGGATTACAGGCATGAGCCACCACACCTGGCCATTAGCAGTATTCGATGTGGGGTGGTGGTGGTCATTCACAGCAACTCAAATAGCCAAAAGCCTAGGGATAAATTTGATGTGAAAGATACAGAGGCATAGGACCTTTTTCTTGAGGGGGGAAAACCCTGGAAAATTTGATTGCAGAGGCTAAATTATTCATGAGATATAGTAAGACTTAGTATGGAAATGTGAGCCTCTCTCAAATTAATATAAATATAGTTACAGTTCTAAGTATGAGAATTGAGCTATAAGAAATACGTTTCCATTCAGTGGAAAAGAAATGGTTTGTTTAATAGTGCTGATGTAATTGCACTGTTTATTACTACTTTCAGTTATCCATATGAAACACAATAAAGTTAGACCACTACACTCATGCCATACACAGCAATAAAAATGCCTTATGAATTAAAGATCTAAATGTAAAGTAAAATTTCTTATTCAAGCTAGTGAATTAATCTCCCAAATTTATCACCTCTTTCGCCTAAGACCCCATTAAAGTGATAGTAAAAACAAAATAAAGATGGGAGCTTACAATGCCATAAAGAGTAAGAGACATTCAAATTGACATTGTAACAAGTTTCTGGAAGATGAAGAAATCGTGGGAATTAAAATGGATCACTGAAAAGAAATCAAGGATTCTAAGACTTCCTAGTTCTCTGTTCTTTCCAACATGGCAGGTTGGAAATTTAGTATTTAAAAGTAAAATACTAATTTTAGTATTAGGAATTTCTCAATGGCCTTTGAAATTATTTGGGTTACCTTGGGGTGTTTGAAAACCCAAATTAGGAAATTATGCTTTAGACCACCTGTTTTTGTAAATTAAGTTTTATTAGAGCATGGGCATGCCCATCTATTTATGTGTTTGGGGCTGCTTTTGTGCTACAGCTACAAAGTCAAGTAGTTGCAACAGAAATCATACGACCCACAAAGCCTTATAATATTTATTATCTGGCCCTTACAGAAAATGCTTGCCAACCCCCGCTCCTGGTCGTTGGGATGGGCATCTTGAGACCTGCCCACACGTGGTATGGGCTTGGATAGGTCTAGCCAGTGTTATGTAGCTATTTACAGAATGTAAGCAAAGGAAAGTGTGGGGAAAGAATATGGCAAACAGAAAACTGAATATCACCACCTAATGGGGCCTTAGTAGGGAAGAGAAAGAGAAATAGAAAAGGGTTGTTAAAGAGAAAATTAAAATGGATGAGGTGAATTCTGCTTGGAATTTAAAACTTTTTGGTATATTATTGATTTTGTATCTGGCAAGCCTAAAATTTTTATATTTCTAAGATGTTTCTATTTTGTTTCTTTCCAATGATAACACTTTCTCTTTTTTAAATTTTACTGTGTGAATTAGGACTTCCAGGATTATGTTGACTGGAAGTGTGGATAGTAGACATCTTATTCCTGATTTTAAAGAGAATGTCTGTAACATTTCACTATGAAGAATGAAGTTTATAGCTGGGTGTGGAGCGCCTGTAATCCCAGCAGTTTGGGAGGTGGAGGCGGGCGGATCACTTGAGGTCAGGAGTTTGAGACCAGCCTGGCCAACAGGTAAAACCCCATCTCTGTAATCCCAGCTACTCGGGAGGCTGAGGGATGAGAATTGCTTGAACCTGGGAGGTTACAGTGAGCCCAGATCATGCCACTGCACTCCAGCCTGGGCAACAGAGCAAGACTCCATCTATTTAAAAAACAAAAAAAAGAATGAGGTTTACAAAATTAGCTGGGCATGTTGGCTTGTGTCTGTAGTCCCAGTTACTCTAGAGGCTGAAGCAGGAGGGTTACTTGAGACTTGAGCCAGGGAGGTCAAGGCTGCGGTAAGCCTAGGTGACAGAGTAAAACCCTGTCTCAGAAAAAAAGAATGAAGTTTGCTTTAGCTCTGACAGTTTCCCTCCTATTTCCAGGTTTTTATGGAAAGTTTTTTCTTTGTCTAAGATGGTTTTTCTTTAGTATTTTAATGTAGCGAGTGACACATATAAATGATCTTATATTGCACTCTACTCGCATTCCTGGAATAAACTCAGCTTTGTTCTGCTGTAGTTTCTTTACTGTATGTTATTGTATTCTGCTTCCTGATAATCTCGTTTAGATTTTTCAAATCAACATTTGTAAATATTAGCTTATGATTATTCTTTTTCACACAATCTTTGACCTGTATGTCATGGTTAGATTGGCTTCATGGAATGCATTGGAAAATATTTGCTATTTTTCCATCCTTAGAAGCATTTGTATAAGATTGGAATGATTTGTTCCTTAAAAGTTTGGTAGAAGGTGTTTGTAAAACCATTCAGATACGGTATTTTGAAGGATTTGGAGGAGGAGGGGAAAGATATTAATACTTACTGCTCCAATTTTTTTTTTTTTTTTTTTTTTTGATATGGAGTCTTGCTCTGTCACCCAGGCTGGAGTGCAGTGGCATGATCTTGGCTTACTGCAACAACCTCCACCTCCCGTGTTCAAGCGATTCACCTGCCTCAGCCTCCGGAGGCGCTGGGACTACAGGCACATGCCACCATGCCCGGCTAATTTTTGTATTTTTAGTAGAGGCGGGGTTTCACCATGTTGGCCAGATGGTCTCGATCTCCTGACCTCGTGATCCACCCGCCTTGGCCTCCCAAAGTGCTGGGATTACAGGCATGAGCCACCACGCCTGGTCCAATTTTTTAATAGTTGTAGAACTATTAAGGTTTTTCTGTTGCTTCTTGAATCAATTCCCCCTCCCTAGAATCTTTAATATGTTTGGAGGTTGTTTTCTTTTTCCTGTCTCTAATCATACTTAGTTGTTTTTTTTTTTTTAAATCCAACTTTTGGATGGTTTTCTTTTTCTCTTTTTTTTTTTGTTTTTTTTTTTTGAGATGGAGTCTTGCTCTGTCTCCCTGGCTGGAGTGCAGTGGCGCGATCTCGGCTCACTGCATCCTCCACCTCCCAGGTTCAAGCTAGTCTCTCACCTCAGCCTCCCAAGTAGCTGAGATTACAGGCATATGCCACCACGCCTGGCTAATTTTTGTATTTTTAGTAGAGATCGGGTTTCACCATGTTGGCCAGACTGGTCTTGAACTCCTGACCTCAAGTGATCCGCCCGCTTCAGCCTCCCAAAGTGCTGGGATTACAAGCATGAGCCACCGCCACCTGGCCAATGCTTTGCTTTTCAAACTCTTCAAAGGGTATGTAATAAAAAGGAAGGCTTACCACCAGACACCATACCTTGATTCTATAAGCAGTGACTGTATTTTTGTATGTTCTTTAAGTGATATTTTTTATCCTTATGCACTCCTTTATTTTTACTGGAAGAGGAGGGACCACATGAGGCATTAGTGATGAGCATTCTTTTTTTTTTTCTTGGCTTTTGCCTGTTTTTTATGTTTGTTTGTTTTGTTTTTCATCAACCTCATTTTTACATCAGCCTCATTCTTCTTAATACCAATGTAGTATTTCACTGTACAGATGTGCATTATTTATTTTAACGTAGTTGTGCTTTTATAGCAAATAGAAACTTTCCCATTTGTTTGAAGTACCCTAAGAATCTCCTTTATTACTCCTAGTCTAGTAACGGACATCATTACTTTAGAGAACTCTACTTGGCCCTCTGTGTGTCTTACACCCATTAAACAAATTAAAATTAAAATGTTCCATACCATCCTTTGAAGAGGGTGTACACCATTTAAATATCTTTACTTAAAAAAATAAAAGTCTGCTCTCATAAGCAATGAAATGTTTTTCAAACATTTAAATCTCTGTTCCTTTTTGCAAGTTATCCTAGTGTGTTGTATGAGGAATAGATGCAGTTTTTTCTTTTTCCTCATGGCTGTCCTATTTCCCAGCACCACTTTAAATTCCATCTTTTTACAAGTATTGAGATGCTACTTTAATCATATACTGAATTTATATATATTTACTTCTGGATTTTAAACATTGTGTTCTCGTGGTTGATCTATTCATGTACTGGTATTGTAGCTTTTTAAAAAACTTTTAATTTTAAATAACTTTGGACTTACAGAAGAGTTGGAAAAATAGTACAGAGAGTTTCTATATACCTTTTACAGATTCCCCAGATGATTAACATCTTATATATCTGTACTACAATTATCAAAACAAAAAAACTAATCTATTGGTACAATATAGTTAACTACATTTATATGGTTTTAATTATAAAGGCTTTGTACAATATTTTAATATGTTGTTGGTTTACTCCCTGCTCTTCTTTCATATTTTCAATTTTTTAAATGTCTAGCTGCAGAAAATAAACAAAAGCTTTATATAGTATTTTTACTGGGACTGTAAAATTTATAAGTTAGCTTAGGGAGAAATGGCATTTTTATGTTGCTGAATCTTGGTATACCAGAATAAGAAACGTCTTTCCATTTGTTGAAGTCTACTTTTCTATCTTTCTCATATATGTTTTGGACTCTTTTTGTAGTTTATGCCCAGATATTTGCATTTTTTATTGTAAATGGGATCTTTTCTTTCATTTATCTTCTGTCTGGTTTCTCTCCCCTATAAATGAATGATTTCTGTATATTTTGTACTATACTGTATTGCCAAATTATATTATTATAATAATATTTCATCGATGCTTTTGTATATTCCAGGTATATAATTGTGTTATCTGTGAATAATGTTCCCTTTCTAATTTTTTTCTAATTTTATTCATTAATTTGTGTTGACTAATATTATGACTAATAGAATGGTACCCTGACTGTAGGACTATATCCAGTGTTTCCACATTAAGTATGCTGTTGGCCTTGGGGTTGATAGATCATGTTAAAGAAATGTTCTTTTTTATTCAGTATTTTCAACAAGAATGGGTATTAAATTTGTAAAGTGTCTTTTCCTCATCTTTGGCATGAACATATGATTTTTTCCCATATCTATTATGTTAAATGATATAATTAATTTTCTAATAGTGACTTTTTCATTGTAAATTATATTTTTCATCTCTTTTGGGATCAGTTCTGATAGATTATATCTTCTAGTAAATTATTTTGGGTTTTCAAATTTGTTTGCATAGAGTTGAGCAGAGTCATCTTTTATGATTCTTTTGCTTTCCTGCCTTCTTATTCATATTTTCCTCATTTCATCTAAAAATGCTGGAAAATATATCTTTGTTTTTCCATGAAAACAAAACAATAAAAGCAGCTCCATTAATGTAAAAAAGAAGTGATCTCAAACTTCTGAAAATAATAATCCTCCACATTTAATTCTGATTATCTTTTGCCAGCCTGAAATTTTTTGCTTCCTTGCTTTAATTTCTTACATTACTTGTAAATTTATTTTCTAATGAACATTTGAATAAAAGTCTAGATAATAGTCCTTGTGCTTTCTTCTCCCCTACCCCACACTTACAAGGTGCAGCAGTGTCTTTAGTGGTCATCTTAACTGCAGAAAAACAAATTGAGAGGTTTGCATGCTCTCAGTAAAGTGAAAGATTGGGAGGTTTTCCCCATTTCATGGTGTGTGGCAGCTGTAATGTGATCACACAAGTTTCAAATTTGAAAAATGTTTTAAAGATATATTTGGTATGCAATTCGTGTAATTGCAAAAAAGGCATTCCAAAGTAAATTTATGACTTCACAAATTTTGTATGACTTCACAAGTTTTGGATTAGGGAGGTATGGCTGCAGCATCCTAAAACAATATAAGGTTGGGTATTCTTCCATGAAACTTGTTATTTTTTCCATAAAGTTAGATTCTTTCTAGAGCAGAAAGAACTTTAATGATTGGGAATCTGGAGTTAAGGGAAAAAAAGATGATTAAAAGTTTAATTGTTCATCTGAAGAGTTGATTTTTTTATTCCTGTAATAAAGGGTACTTTTAGCAGTCTCTGCTCATCTTGCCCATCCGGCTCTTTTTGTGGTTGTGTAAGGTTATAACTTCTGTGTCTCAGTAAACTTGTGCATGCCCATTTTTTTCTCTGTTACTACCTTTTCTCTTATTTTGTTTTATTATTTTGATGTAAAATTACCTGTTAATTTTATTTGAAATGAGAAATTTTAAGGTTCACATTATTCAAATTCTGTCAGATCCCTACCTCTGTCATATGGTTTATAATGTGCTGGGTATTTTCAGACCTGCTTATTAAAAAGATGTAAAACAAAATAATGATCACTCCTGTGGATTTTTCCTTTATTTTTGAGATGTCTCCTTTGGCTGCATTACTTCTTCACCCCTTGCCCATTGATCAGAGGAGGGGTCTTAACTATGGGTGAACCCTATATCTTACTGAAGAGGTTATGTTACATGTATATTTTCATAATATAACTTACATTTACATAGTACTTTTATTTTTAGCATACCTTTTTTTATTAATCCTAATAATATCACTGTAAGTTATGTTGAAGCAGATTGTAAGTGTTCATTTACAAATTGTGAAATGAATTAAAATGAAAGGGCAAAGATTAAATCATGACCAGGCCTGAAATTAACACACAAGACTCAATTTTTTTCAACCAAAGACTTTTGTAGGTGATCCCTGCCTGCAGGACTCCCCTTCCTCCTCAGATGTCATTGGATTGTACCAGGTTTACTGTAGATTCTAGCCGTTGTAGAACTAACTAGATCTAAGATGAGTCCCCTGATTTCCTTTGGTAGAGTCTTCCAATTGCTGAACTCCAATATTGTCGTGACTAGCCAGTGTTACAACCTGTCTGCCTTATTTTGTGTAATGGATTTCATATTACAGAGGCATTTTTTTAATGTCAAGATGTTTAAGTATTGCTTAAGTGCAAACTACTTAATACTTTTTAGCTATTAAGTAATTAAGATAGGCAGGATTTTATTTGTTCCAAAATGATTTGACCTAAACTAAAAAGAGAATGTGGATCTCCTGAATCTTACTTGGTTAATCTTAATATAACTCCTAGCATTCTATAATTCTTCCTAAAGTCCTCTTACCTGGCTATCTTTTGTATCTTCTTTGTCTCTCCTCTTCTTTCCCAGTCATAATAACTGCCAGACTCTGCTTCATTTCTCTTTGACAGTCTCTACTCCTAAGGTCATCCATTCTCTTTAGGTATCTTTTGGCCTCAGTTTGAGCACAGCAGATCCCAAGACCACATATGCCATAGCATAGGCTATTATAGTCAACCTTTTGAATAAATGTGATTGAACTTTATGTTAGTAATTCTTATTTACCATCTTCCTATCAAAAAGGCTTAAAGTCTTCATTTAATGCTCTCCTTCATGTCCATTTTGTTAAATGATTGCCTTTTAATGACATCTTAGAACTTCAGAACTATTTCACCATGGAGGATGTGTAAGATTAGCCTTTTATCAAATAAAAAGTGTGAAATGGAATATGTAATCTCATTAATCCATTCTGGCTCTAAAATTCTGTGACTATCAGATAAAATTCAGAAATAAAATAGTATTACTAATATAAATAAATTTTTATCATAATTATATTTCCTAAGTTTTGCCTGTAAGAATGGGTAAAATATCTTTAAAACCTTGAAGAAATTATTACTTGATAGAAAGTTTAATCCATCTGTGAGAAGGCAAATGTATTCAGACACAACTAAAGTTCTCTCTTCTATTTTAATTTCATTTATCTTGAACTAAGACTCCACTGTTTCATCCTCTTAGATGCTGCTACTTGAACAATATTGTTTTGAGACCAAAAACTAGCATATTAACACAATTCTTCTTAAACGTCTTAAGAGTTTTGTTTCCTTTACCCCTTTCTTTAAAAACAAGCAGCCACTAAATTTTTTAGTAGTGAATTTCAAAATCCTTTTTAACCTTATAGGTCCAAGGGTAGCCAAGGATGGCTGCAGCTTCATATGATCAGTTGTTAAAGCAAGTTGAGGCACTGAAGATGGAGAACTCAAATCTTCGACAAGAGCTAGAAGATAATTCCAATCATCTTACAAAACTGGAAACTGAGGCATCTAATATGAAGGTATCAAGACTGTGACTTTTAATTGTAGTTTATCCATTTTTATTCAGTATTCCCTCTTGTAAACTTGAGGTAAGACACTTTACTTAAAAGTGTATTTTAAATTAAGCAATAATATGTAAACTCTTTCTTGCAAAAGTTAGCATTTATATTTTTAAATAAGATATATTGAATTCATTCAGTGAATCATATAAAGAAAATAAGTGTAAAACTCCAATGGCTAGTTAGTTCTTAGTTCTTTTTAAGATTAAAGAGAAGAGACCAAATATAGCATCACTGTACTGAGGCAAGGTTTTCTGTGTAGTTCATAGAAACTAGCCTCATGATTTTAGAATATGCCTTGAATATTAAGTGTAGCCTTCCTCCCCAACTCCCTCAGATCTTGCCACCCCTTAAGTGCTGCAGTGATAGGTGATCAAGAAAATCAGGATACCCTACTGGGAAGAGCCATGAACTGAAAGTCAGTACCTGGTTCTATCCCTGGCTTTCCCACAAACTGAGCTATATGACCTCTGTATATTCTTCAGAACTTAAGTTGTCTTATTTGGCAAGTACAGGCATCACACTAGTCTAGATGATTTCCATGGCACCTTCAAGCCCTAAAATTGGCTTGCCAAATAGTACTGAAAAGTTCTGATCACCTCCAAGACAGGTTAGAAAATCGTCTATAGTGGGGAAAATGTTCTGGTTTCAAAATAATTGAGGTTAAAACTTTAGCCATTTTAATTCCCACTTAGGCAGATTCTCTTCTGACTGAATTTAATAACTTCATAGAATTGGACATTATCAACAAAAATATTACTTCCACCGGGTGTGATGGCTCAGGCCTGTAATCCCAGCTCTTAGTGAGGCAGAGGCAGGAGGATAGCTTGAGCCAAGGAGCTCGAGACCTGCCTGGGCAATATAGCAAGACCCCATTCTCAAAAAAAAAAAAAAATTACTTCCTTTATAAAAAAAAAAATCTTCCTGCTTTGTGTTGTTTCTCCCTCTTGGCTATTTTAACATTTGAGTTCCTGGTCCAGTTCTTCCTGTCTGTTCACTACTCTTATTCCTTACTAATTTCCTATTCTATCCTAGTTTTTTTCCTATGCATTTCAAGGTTTCCCTTATTCTCCAGACTTTTGTGTGTCACTGAGGTAACTGTTTCTGCTTCTCTTTTACCCTTTATATTCAGTATCATCACAGCTCAACCTTTGCTCATGTGTCCTATTCTCTTTTTCCATCCCTCTATCAATCTTTTCTACTCTAATTAGCCTCTTCTGTGGTAAAACTGTCCCCAGCAATGACAGACATCCAATATACCTACTTCAAATCCCTTGGGAAATAAGGTAGACTATAAACAAACATTTTATTCTTTCCACAAACTATGGGTGACCTAAAAAGACTTGCATTAGTTGCCTAACAGGTTAAAAAAGAGTAGTTTGGTATTTTAACATTGATCAACACATTACATTTCAAATCATTATACTTGGCATGTGTTTTTAAAAGTTTTAAAATACAGAATTAAAATATTCTTTCATCTACTTTAGTATGGTATATTTCGCAGAGAACTCCTCCTGGCAGGCCTGTTTAGATAGTACATGTCTGTTTTGTAGTGTAGAACTCTGAGATCTCTTTTTTAAAGTTTGTTTAATTCCTTAAGCAATTCAAAACTCATATTTGAGAGACAATGTAACTTACCCTTAGATCCATCTCCACACTGAAGTGGAATGTCTCTCAGAGTGACAATAGAAGTCACACCCTCAAATTTCTACAGTGGAATATCTAGTTGATCATTTATATGTGTGGTATAATACAAGTTGAGTATCCCTTACCCAAAATTGCTTCAGGCCAGAAGTGTTTTGGATTTTATATTTTTTCAGATTTTTAAATACTTGTATTATACTTCTTGAGCATTCCTAATTCGAAAATCCAAAATCTGAAATGCTCCATTGAGCATTTCGTTTGAGTGTCATGTTGGTGCTCAGAAAGCTCAAGACTTTGGAGCATTTCAGACTTCAAATTTTCGGATTTAGAATGCTCAACCTATATACATCAGGAATAGTGGCACTTCAGATATACCTGAAACCAACCATAAATTTTATTTTACTCAGCATGTGCTTCAACAGACATCTTGTGAATCCATTAACATATTTCCTTAGAATTGGACATGTGGTACCATAACAATTACAGCCCTGTAATGAAATTATATCTCTTTTTAAGGTTTTATGCTGTGAAAGAGCATAAACCATGAGCTATTTATTTTGTCTTAGAATATTGTTTTGTGTAGACACTTTTGAAACCATTGGCACTTCCTACTGTGGATTAAAATTAATCCACACAATGGTTATTTCTCCCAAAATCACTTGCTAGACTTTGTAATACCTTATATAAACTCGAATCACGTTTCCTGTTCATTAATCTCTTTACCCCCAAAAAAGGCAAAAGGAGGCTGGGCACCGTGGCTCATACCTATAATCCTAGCACTTTCGGAGGCCAAGCAGAAAGATTGTTTGAGCTCAGGAATTTGAGACCAGCCTGGGCAACATGGCAAGACTCTGTTTCTGCAAAAAAATACAAAAATTAGCCAGGTGTGGCGTATATCTGTGGTCCCAGCTACTTGGAAGGCTGAGGTGGGAAGATTGTACTCCAGCCTGGGCAAAAGAGCCAGACCTGGTCTGTCTGAAAAACAAAAACAAAAACAAAACAAAAAACAGCAAAAAGTAGGTCTCCTCCAACCGGATTACTTAAAGTCTAAAATTTATGTAGTAGTACCATCTAGTGGCAAAAGAGGACACTGCTTTGCTATTTGATTATATGTGTCTTTGTAGCAGCCAGGGAAATAAGTGTTTATGGGTTAGGGAAATGTGAACACTGTATATTAAGGAAATATTTATTTTTAAGTATAATGATATTATTGTGTTTGTGTTTAGAAAGAATCCTTGTTTAAATATACATATTGAAATATTTACAAAGAAGTTGTATGATGCCTGAGCTTTATTTTAAAAATAAGTCTGAGGCAGAGGGGTGGAAATAGAGGAAGTGGATATGGGTGTAGATGAGATAAAACTGACCATGAATTGATAATTATTGATGTGGGATATGAAGGTACATGGGGCTTTGTTATAATTTTCTGCATACTTAGGTATATGTTTGAAATTTTTTGTAATGAAAATAAAATAGAGATTACATGGAATTTAGATGATATGAAATCAGATAAATGCAGAATTATAGCTAATCTTAAAAAAAGTTGTGTAGTGTATTTTTTACTCCATGGCTAGAGCCCTCCCCCCAACTTGTTTTTTTTGTTTGTTTGTTTTTTGTTTTTTGTTTTTTGTTTTGAGACGAAGTCTCACACTGTCGCCTGGGCTCTGGTGTGCAGTGGGGCAATCTCGGCTTGCTGCAGCCTCCGCCTCCCGGGTTCAAGCGGTTCTCCTGCCTCAGCTTCCCAAGTAGCTGGGACTACGGGTGTGCACCACCACGCCCGGCTAATTTTTATATTTTTAGTACAGACGGGGTTTCACTATGTTGGCTAGGCTGGTCTCGAACTCCTGACCTCGTGATCCACCGCCTCGGCCTCCCAAAGTGCTGGGATTACAGGCATGAGCCACCACGCCTGGCCCCCTCCCCACAACTTTTTTTTAGATGGAGTTTCGTTCTTGTCGCCCAGGCTGGAGTGCAGTGGCACAATTTTGGCTCACTGCAGCCTCCACCTCCTGGGCTCCCAGAGTAGCTGGGATTACAGGTCCCTACCGCCACGCCCGGCTAATTTTTGTATTTTAGTAGAGACGGAGTTTTGCCATGTTTGCCAGGCTGGTCTCAAACTCCTGACCTCAGGTGATCCACCCGCCTCGGCCTCTCAAAGTACTGGAATTACAGGCATGAGTCACCGCACCCAGCCTACCTAGAGCTCTTTAATTGACTTTAAAATACTGAGTATAGCAACAAGGTAAATATGGCATTTTAGAGATAAAAAGCTGAAAGATGGCATGGTGTAGGAAGAATTATCTATAGGCAAGTTATTGAAGCATTTACATCTTTGTTGTAGTTTGACAAAATTTAATATTTATAAATTGGTCTATAAACTGTAAAACAATATACATGTAAAGTATATCTTTTCAGAAAGTAAGGAAAAACCGAGATCAACATTTCAGAATGTATTTTGAAGATGTAATTATCAAGTGTACTTATATCTGGTAATGAAAAGCATCTTTAATTATGATATACTGAAATAAATAAAAGTGGGTCAAGTAGCAGCCTCCCTGAAATGACAAAGTTGCTCATAGATAAATATCACTGGTATAACCACAGCAGATTTCATTTCTAATGAATAATTTTCTTTCTTTCTTTCTTTCTTTTTTTTTTTTTTTTTTTTGAGACCGAGTCTTGCTCTGTCACCAGGCTGGAGTGCAGTGACATGATCTTGGCTGTCTGCAACCTCCGCCTCCCGGGTTCAAGCTAATCTCCTGCCTCAGCCTCCCGAGTAGCTGGGACTACAGGCGTGCACCACCACGCCCAGCTAATTTTTGTATTTTTAGTAGAGATGGGGTTTCGCCATGTTAGCCAGGATGTTCTCAATTTCTTGACCTTGTGATCCTCCTGCCTCGGCCTCCAAAGTGCTGGGATTACAGGCGTGAGCCACCGTGCCCAGCCTAATGAATAATTTTCTAATGTTTCTAAAATGTTAAAATACTTCTAAGACAATGTGTGATTATATAGTGTAATTAATCTTTTAAAACTGAGCTTCCAGAATTTTAAAATACAAATGAATATTCTCTCCTTCAAAATTACATATGTATTTAAAAGCTGCCACTTCTCAAAGAACTTTTTGAAACATTTTTTTTTGGAACTGCTTTGCAATTGTATTCCATTTTCTTTTAAAAACTCTTCAAAATCAAGGGCCTCTTCTAGGTTGTATGCAGTATGCAGCCCCCAAGAAATCTGTCCCACTCAAAAACTAGAAAACACTGGATAAAATACAAAAATCATACTTTTAAGGACACTGGAGGACTGTGGAATCATCAAGCTCTTTATTAACTATAATTCTTAGGAAGAAAGAACCCTTTCTAGATAAGCTGAGATTACTGGTAATTTTCTTCCTGGGGTATATTGATTCTGGGTACAGATTGAGATTCATCATTGGCACAAGCAGGAGGACTTCACTGGGAGAAAGAAACTCTTGAGGACTTTCTGCAGGACTAGGTATGAAAGAAAATGAAATCGTTGGCAGCCTTGACAAACATGAGGGCAGATGTAGAGATACTAGCATTTAGAGGAGCTCTAAATGCATGGCTCATTTTTACCATGAGATATTGGCCGAGTCTTGTAGTGCAGGAGACTTGGGATAGACTAGAAACGCAGAATGTTAGCAGGCGAAGTCCTGCTAGAGGGAGAGACATGTTACTTTCATACCACAGGTCTCCTCAAGTCATTTGCCAGATTTTAAATTTTGTAGAGCAGGAGATTAAAGACCTGAGTTTACAACCTCCAAGAGAAACAACATTTAAGGCTAGAGAGTTAAGTGCTACCAGAGAATAAGGCTGAACTGGAAAGGCAAAGTGAAATATCCCATATTCCTGCAATGTTTAGGAAAGACCTATTAGAGGGAGACCTACCTAGTATATCAAACATGACTGGTTTTCCATTCAAGATAAATGTCAGATTTTGATACTGTATAGGGTAAGAAGTTAACTGCTGAGGAGATGGAGAACTTTCATATTTTCTATCTGAATATAGAGAGACACACTCAAGGAACTGGGAAAACCAAACCAGTTAGTTGTGAACTTAAAATTGCAACTAGGTCTCAATCCATTTTTTTTTTTTTTCAAGACAGAGTCTCGCTCTGTCGCCCAGTCTGGAGTGCAGTGGCACAGTCTTGGCTCACTACAAGCTCCACCTCCCAGGTTCACACCATTCTTCTGCCTCAGCCTCCCAAGTAGCTGGGACTACAGGCACCTGCCACCATGCCTGGCTAATTTTTTGTATTTTTAGTAGAGACGGGGTTTCACTGTGTTAGCCAGGATGGTCTTGATCTCCTGACCTCGTGATCCACCTGACTCGGCCTCCCAAAGTGCTGAGATTACAGGTGTGAGCCACCACCCCCAGCGGGTCCCAATCCATTTTTAGTTGCTAATTGGATTGAGGAGATCAGACCCCAACAATGGAAAAGGCAGACTCTCTAGAGGAAAATACTATCAATCATCTTAAGTCTCTTTTGTTCTTGTATACACAGTTGGCATACAGTCAAACGTTATATGAAATGCAGAGAAACTGGAAGATTACTGATAATCAAGGGAACAAATAGGTAATAGGAGCAAACTCAGATGATCCACATGTTGCAGTTAGTAGTCAAGGATTTTAACATAAGTATTATAAATGTCTTGAAAAAAAGAAAAATGAACAGATAGAAAATTTTGACAGAGAATTGGAGTCTATAATTAAAAGGAATCAAATAGATATTCTAGAACTGAAAAATATATTTGAAATTAACATTGGATGGGCTTAACAGCAGGCTGAACACTGAATTAGTGAACTAGTGAGAAGACAGAATTAGTGAACTTGAAAAAAGATCAGTAGAAAATATTCAAACTGAAGCACAGAGAAAAAAATGGAAAAAACAAAAAAGACAAAACAATGGCTTCTAGAAGAAAACATAGGTAATAGCTTCTTGTCCTGGGAGTAGGCAAAGATGTCTTAAACAGAATGCCAAAGCACCATATATAGAAAGAAATTTGATAGACCTCATTAAAACTAAGAACTCTTGTTCATCAAAAGACTCGAGTGTGCTTCTAGAAGAAAACATAGGATAATCTTATCTATGTGGCCTTGGGTGGGCAAAATTTCTTAGGACACACAAAAGACTAAACATAAAAATGTATAAGATAAACTTCATCAAAATTAAAAACCTGTGCTTTTCAGAAGACTTCATTAAGAAAATGAAAAAGTAAGCCATAGAGGAGAAAATATTTGCAATACATATATCTGACCAAAGGCTCAGTTCAGAATATATTAAGTAATTCCTTCAGAATATATAAATCCCACAAACCAGTAACAAAAAGACAATCCAGTTTTTAAAATGTGACCCAGGGACTTGAAAAGACAATTCAAAAAGAAAGATAAATGGCAGATAAGTCCATGAAAAGGGATTCAGCATCATTTGGCATCAGGGAAATGCAAAGACTATTTCACTCCTACTCAAATGACTGATGTTTAAAAGACTGATCACACCAAATGTGGAGCATTGGAATGCTCAGGCATTGCTGAGAGAAGTATTAAAAACCATTTTGGCAGTTTCCTTTAAAATTAAACCCTATGACTCAGTGTTTGCACTCCTAGAAATGTACTCAAGAGAAGTGAGGGCAAGTGTCCACTAAACGGTACAAGAATGTTCATAGTGACATTCTAAATAATAGCCTGCAGACTGGTAACAGCCCAGATGCCCCTTTAAGAGGAGAAAGGATAGATAAATTGGGCTGTATTTATACAGTGGACTGCTACATACTATACAACATTTAAAAACAATGAACTGATAAGGCAACAGCATGGACAGATTTCACAGATACTATGTTGAACAAAAAAAGTGAGACACAAAATACTTATGTACTGTGTGATTCCATTTATATGAAGGTCAAGAGCATGCCAAACTCTTCTGATAAAGAAGCCAGAATAGTGGTTACCTCTAGGAAATGAAGATTGGTAAAAGGAGCTTGAGGGAACCCTCTGGGGTGCTAGAAATGTATTTTCACCTAGATAGTGATTACATGGGTGTGAAAATTCACTGGATATTTAGGATTAGTGTATTTTACATATGTGTGTTGTGCCTCAATAAAACAGGAAAAAAATTACTTGAGGTCAGTTTTTATTGTGGAATAGCCATAAACTGTTCACAGCAAACTAGTAAATAATGTAGGTCATATTGGATGGTATCATCTTAAGGCAAAGTAACTGGATGTGACTGTAAATTTACACAGATTTTGTTGATGAGGTTCATAACTCAAAGCACTTACAAAAGTAATTTAACACATCATTGGAGTAAGTTAGTAGCTTTCCAAGGTGACTACTTTGGGAATCTTTTTAAAAATTGTTTGACCTTAAATCTTATTTACCTTTATGCTTATAGCTATCAATAGATTTCTAACAATGTGTACAGAAATTTTTAAAAATAGAACTTTATTACAAGTTGAGTATATTCACTATTTTATTAAATTAGGAAGTGTGGACAAAAAAAATCAAAATCAACTATTTTTTTTTAAATTTAAATCCCATCACCAGAGGTAAAAGTAACCTTTGATAGTATATATATATATTCTTTTCTCTATACATTTATGCAAACTTGCATTTGATGACATCATATTTTGCAGGTTTTTTTTTTCTGTGTAATTTATTGTCATCTTACGTCAGATTATGTATTTTACAGTTGCATAGTATTCCATTGTAGGTACAGCTAAAAAATGCTATGGTTTATTTAATACTTATTGTTGGACATCTGAATTTATATGGCTTTTTAATTTCTTTTTTTAGTATTTTAAGTTTTTATTATTTCTTTTTAAAAAGACCATTAATGTACCATTAGTTTTGAAAAAATTAGATGTATGTCCAATGATGTACGAAGGATTTTTTATTTTTAAACTTTTAAATCTTTGTAACTTTTCTAAAAACAAGTAGGATTTTTTCTAATACATATTGTTTAAAAAGTATGACACAACAAGTAAAAAAGAAATTGCTTGTAATTTCAGTCTCCATAGAATAACACTGTTAACATTTTAATGATTCTGCTTTCAGCATCAGCTTCACCTGAGAACTTGTTCAAAATGCAGATTTTCAGCCTCTACCCCAGGCTTACTGAATCGACAGTCTATGTTTTAACAAGGTCTTCAGGTGATTCTGATCCATGCTGACGCTTGAGAACACTACTGTAGGCTTTGGAGAAGAATCTTACAAAGAGAGACCTGATCGGCCGGGCGCGGTGGCTCACGCCTGTAATCCCAGCACTTTGGGAGGCTGACGCGGGCGGATGGTGATGTCAGGAGATCGAGACCATCCTGGCTAACACGGTGAAACCCCGTCTCTACTATACTAAAAAAAAAAAAAAAAAATTAGCCGGGCGTGGTGGCGGGAGCCTGTAGTCCCAGCTACTGGGGAGGCTGAGGCAGGAGAATGGCGTGAACTTGGGAGGCGGAGCTTTCAGTGAGCCGAGATTGCGCCACTGCTCTCCAGCCTGGGCGACAGAGCGAGACTCCGTCTCAAAAAAAAAAAAAAAAAAGAGACCTGATCACAGCTGTGCCTTAAAAAGGCTGCTCTGACAGCTCTGTGCAAGGTTGAGCCACTTGGGAAATTATTTTCATAGTTTAGGTAGGGTTAATAACAAGATAGTGGCAGTAAGAATATGAAAGAGATAGCTGTAAGAGAGCTAATAGAGGTAGAATCACCAGAAATCCATAACTGGGAATGTGAAGGAAGAGGTGCTAAGGATTTGAGCTGGAGGAGAAAGAGAAGGCTAATGCCATTTAACTGAGAGAATACAAGGCAAAGAATAGGCTTTATTGGTACAAAATGTTAGTTCAGTTCTGGACATTTAGATGTATGGTACCTGTCATACAGATGTAAAGCATCCATCAGTTGGTTGGAAAAGTGAGTCTGAAGTTTGCAAGTGAAGTTAGGATTCGAGACATGTCATTGGAAATTAACTGCTCAAGGGTAGTTGTTGAATTGTGAGACCGGAAGCCTGAGAAATAAGGATAAGATTAAAAAAGGATTATTGAAGGACTAAAACAGTAGCAATGGATGGAAAGAGAATTGGAATCCTGGAAAAATCACAGGTAGTCTCCAATGAGAGTTCTTAAATGGAAGAGATGGTGCCCTGAAGTTTATAGTAGACATTTTGATGGGCATATTCAAATTCAGTAAAGGAAGTTATCACTGAGCAAATTTGTTTTCTATTCCACAAATGTAAAACACTCTGGAATATTTTGAAAATAATACAGTCACCTTCATGCCCCCACATCTACTTACCAAAGCCTTTCAAACTCCAACATAGTCTATTATTTTGAAGGTCAGATACTAAGGCTATTTATTAAAAGGAATTCTGGGGTTTGGGGGCGATTTCTTTGTTTCTGTTTTTTTAGCTGAGGTCTCACTCTGTCCCCCAGGCTGGAGTGCAGTGGTGAGACTGTGGCTCACTGCAGCCTCAAACTTCTGGGCTCAAGTGATTCTCCTGCCTCAGCCTCCCAAGTAGCTGGGACTACAGGCACATGCCACCACTCATGGTTTTTGTTTGTTTGTTTTTTTAATTTTGTAGGGACAGAGTCTCGCTATGTTGTTCAGGCTGGTCTCAAACTCCTGGACTCAAGTGACCTTCCTGCCTTAGCCTCCCAAAGCGTTGAGGTTACAGGCATGAGCCACCATGAATGCTTACAATGTCACTGTCAAGATAAATCAGTGAAACCGTCTTTGCTCCAGTCACTCACTTTTTGACAGGTTTTCCTTTTAATGTATTTACAGATTACTTTTCTTATAGGGGAACGTTCCATTTAGTTACAAAGTTGCAAATGTTCAAATATTTTGTCTTGCATTCAGGAAACCTGATTGGCCAAAGAACTATGCTAGGAGCTAGAATGGAATGCCTCAGTAAATGGAAAATAATATAAATTATTATTAAGTAGCATGCAATAAGAGCCAAAGTTCACAAATGTAATGGCAGAAAAACTGGTAGAAAATGAAAATTTCCAACATTCTTTGAGAAAAAATGATCAAGAAAGGGATTACATGGGAAAGAAGAAAAGCATCAAAAGTCAAGAAGTAGTGAACATACAGTCATTTGAATGTATGCTAATTGTAAATTAGTATACTAGCAGAATATACTTAAATGTGGTATATAAAAGCTTGAATGTTGAAGTTGTTAAATAGATTATGTGTTAATTTGGTGTTTTTTATGGTCATGTTGGTGCACGCTTAAGAGACATGGATTCTAAACACATAAGTAGCTTTTGTAACTTGAGCAAGTCTCTGGGTCTCACTTGTTTTATCTGAAAAATGAGAATAATTTGCATTGTTGGTTTTTAGGTTTGAAATAATGAATGTATCTTAAATGTGTTTCTAATACCTTGCACAGAGACTCCCCATAATCACCATTATCTCAAAATATCACTATTATTATTTGGCCATGATTTATTTATTAATAATGAATAATAGGTAATATATATAAGGTGCGTGCTTTGAGAGTGATCTGAATTTTTTTCTCAGCATACTTAAATGTCAAGAAATACAGAATCATGTCTTGAAGTTATTTAGAATTTCATGTTAATATATTGTGTTCTTTTTAACAGGAAGTACTTAAACAACTACAAGGAAGTATTGAAGATGAAGCTATGGCTTCTTCTGGACAGATTGATTTATTAGAGCGTCTTAAAGGTAGATTTTAAAAAGGTGTTTTAAAATAATTTTTTAAGCTCAAATTGTCATCTTTAGGTGTGTAGATCCAAGTACAGCTTCTCTCGATTTGGGTGTTGGTATCAGTTTTCTTGGTATGTTAGCCTTACCCTCAGGATGTAATTGTTAAAGTACAAATAAATAAAAAATGTATTTGTGTGTCATTTCTTCAGTTAAACATTTAACTGGCTTTGAATGAACTATTTTAAATCCCTCCCTTAAATAATTTTCGGCTCTTTGTAAAGCTTGTTGCTATTCTGCCAGTCACTAAATAGGGCTTTAGTATTCTATATGCCATAGACTTGAGCCTACTGTTTCATTGGAAGAAGTATTGTCTTCTTCATTCAGGATAGAAATACTTTAACCTTTTCACATATATAAGTTGATTATAATTCATTTTTAGCAGTTTTAAAAGGATATCTTTCTCATTCTGTTGCTTGAAAATTCCAGTGTCAGAACAGAGAAAGTGCTTGATAATAATTGAAGCCAGACAGAGAAATTACTTTTGGATTCTAAAATATTATTTAGAGGAAGTCTAAGGAAGTACATTTTATCTAATTTTCCTTTAACACACTCCTTATTTTTACCCTGACCCAAGTGGACTTTTCAGGGAAAGTCCTAAATAATTTTTGTTTTCAGTCATGTATATTTGTGGTTAAAATGTAAACCTAATATTTCACTTTAAAATAATATAACATTAAGAATATTTTAGACTGCTTAAAGCAATTGTTGTATAAAAACTTGTTTCTATTTTATTTAGAGCTTAACTTAGATAGCAGTAATTTCCCTGGAGTAAAACTGCGGTCAAAAATGTCCCTCCGTTCTTATGGAAGCCGGGAAGGATCTGTATCAAGCCGTTCTGGAGAGTGCAGTCCTGTTCCTATGGGTTCATTTCCAAGAAGAGGGTTTGTAAATGGAAGCAGAGAAAGTACTGGATATTTAGAAGAACTTGAGAAAGAGAGGTAACTTTTCTTCATATAGTAAACATTGCCTTGTGTACTCCAGTTTATTGTTATTTTGTAATATAATATTTAAATTGTGAATTTATAGTAGGTGATAGCTAACACTTAGAGCATTTTGCATTTTTAAACTCAAAGATAGCATGTTATTGATTGCACTTACATTAAATCTAAAAATATAAACAAGGCCGTTTCCTGGGATTCTGAAGACCTATTTTGTCACTTATTTTGTTTTTTTGTTTGTTTTTTGGGGTTTATTTTGAGACAGGGTGTCACTGTGTCTCCCAGGCTGGAGTGTAGTGGCATGATCTCGGCTCACTGCAACCTCCACCTCCTGGGTTCAAGCGGTTCTTGTGCCTCAGCCACCCAAGTAGCTGAAACTATAGACGCCTACCACCACGCCTGGCTAATTTTTGTATTTTTGGTAGAGACGGGGTTTCTTCATGTTGGCCAAGCTGGTTATCACTTAAATACTTTGACTACTCTGTACATTGAGTAATACACATAATTATTATATTTATACGTAGTTAAAATGTGTAACTTGCCAGATACTTTGGCCCACACCTGTAATCCCAGCTACTCTGGAGGCTGAGGCGGTAGGATTGCTTGAGGCCAGGAGTTCAGGACTAGCCTGGGTGACATAGTAAGACTCTTTCTTTTTTTTTTTTTTTTTGAGATGCAGTTTCACTTTTGTTGCCCAGGCTGGATTGCAATGGCACAATCTCGGCTCACTGCAACCTCTGCCTCCCAGGTTCAAGCGATTCTTCTGCTTCAGTCTCCCAAGTAGCTGGGATTACAGGCATGTGCCACCACGCCTGGCTAATTTTATATTTTGAGTAGAGACAGTGTTTCACCATGTTGGTCAGGCTAGTCTCAAACTCATGACCTTAGGTGATTCCCCCCTGCCTCGGCCTTCTAAAGTGCTGGGATTACAGGCATGAGGCACTACACTTGGCCAAGACTCTGTCTCTTTACCAAAAAAAAAAAAAGAAAAAAAGTAGTAACTGGATTTTTATTGAATTTCTGATTATCTATTGAAGTATATTCAGTAACTACTAGATTCAGTAAAAGATGACTCTTTTCATTATGGAAGGCCCACTACAAGTGGCCACAAATGAAATACTTCTTTTTTTTTTTTTTTTTACTTTATAAATAATAATTGTACATTTCATGGGGTACATAGTGATGTTTCTACACATATAATTTATTGCAATCAGGTTAGCATATCTGTCATCTCAGACATTTATTATTTCTTCGTGTTAGGAACATTCACTGTCTACCATCTAGCTATTTGAAACTATGTAATATTGTTAACTGTGCTCATCCTATGGTAGCGTAGAACACAGCCCTGTACAGTAGCGTAGAACACAGTCCTGTACAGTAGCGTAGAACACAGTCCTGTACAGTAGCGTAGAACACAGTCCTGTACAGTAGCGTAGAACACAGTCCTGTACAGTAGCGTAGAACACAGTCTTATACAGTAGTGTAGAACACAGTCCTATACAGTAGTGTAGAACACTAGAACTTATTCCTCCTATCTAGCTGTAATTTTATATTCTTTAACAAATCTCTCTTTATCTCTTCTTTCCCTCTGTGTTTCCTAGCCTCTAGTATTTACTTTTTACTTCTGTTAGTAAAAAGTAAATTTTTCTTTTTTTTCTTCTTTTTTTTTTTTTTTTTTTTGAGATAAGAGTCTTCCTGTCGCCCAGGCTAGAGTGCAGTGGCGCAATCTTGGCTCCTGCAACCTCCACCTCCTAGGTTCAAGCAATTCTCATGTCTCAGCCTCCCGGGTAGCTGGGATTACAGGCACGCCCCACCGCGTCCGGCTAATTTTTGTATTTTTAGTAGAGATGGGATTTCACCATGTTGGCCAGGCTGGTCTCGATCTCCTGACCTCAGGTGATCTGCCTGCCTTGGCCTCCCAAAGTTTTGGGATTACAGGCATGAGCCACTGCGCCTGGCCAACAAAACATTTCTTAATGTATAAGTTTTAATACCTGAAAAAAAATTGCTTGATGTATGGAATGAGTTCTGATTTTTCACAGCTAGTGTATTAATTCTTCTCTTCCTAAAGTTAACATTATCTCACTGCAGATACCAAAATATAGATCATTATCAGGAACTTCGTCAAATGTTTTATGTCCCCTAAAAGATTCCTTAATGCACATATTAAGGAATATCTTTATTATCTTTATATTTCTAAAAGTTCTATTAGACATTCAGAAAATGGTAAAATATATAAAAGCTTCATATTATCTCTGTGACCTTGGTTAAGTCATTAAATTTTTGTACCATTTTCTTCTGTAAGATAAAGATATGGTTCTACTTTGTGGCATTGTTGTGAAAATTGAATATTAGTATATAGGAAATGCCCAGCATATCTCCCTGAGAGGCAGAAGACCTTTTATAACTTTCTCTCCAGTTTCATATATGCCCATTTATAAAAATAGGGATAATTATCTGGACGAGAAATGATGTTTCACTGTCTTTTATTTCTTAAGTTTACATAAGTCTCTGTTTCATACATTGATCCTAGACTATTGAAACACCATCTTGAAAAATAAGGAGTGAACTTGGGTCCATAATCTTCCATCTCTTTTTCCCCTTTGAGCTCTATTAAGAGGCAGAGGGCATGCATACTAACCTTTCCTTACTTGCTTTCTTTTCCTTACTTTGCTTTATGTAGGCAAAGTCCTGATTTTATTAGCAGAGAGAGGGAATTTCAGAGAAAAATATTAATTTTTGAAATAAGTTTTACTGCAAATACTAGTAAACCTAACAAATACAGCTGTAAGTGGTAAGGAATACTTGTAATAAAAATGTTCTTAGTTTCTGTCTTGACATTATTTCTTGCTAGTCTTCCAGAGTTCTTTGCATCTAAATCTAGGAAAAGCTTATTTCTCTGTTCAAAGACTTAAATGCAATGATCCCCATGTTTTATTTATTATATAATACCACTGTAAGTAACTTTAAGCTAGTATTCTGACTTTTAACTCCAAGTGGAAAATACATTTCTTTTTAAAAATATTTAAAGGTGCTTTAGCCTTTTCTGTTGTTACTGTAGAAAAGACGTCTTGTTTTTGTTTTCGTTTTTCTCCCAAAATATGGCCCAACTTCTAATTCAGGCTTTATTACACTCTATAAAAAGTTGCTTTATCTGGAGAGAAAGAGGTATCAACATGGTGTTGTTAGAAGGTTCTCAACTCTCACTGATCATTAGTATCACTAGTTTAGCTTTATAAAGCATCATAAATGAAAAGTATCAGTATTCCTTTGCTATGTTCAGTCTCATTTCCCATGAGATAGTTACTTCTATAACTCTAAATAATATGTTTATATTGCTAGTATTGGACATGACTTACTGACTCACCACTCTGAAAGATGAAGATTTGTTAAATTCACTCAATTATCCATCCAGTTTTTAATTCTGTACCAATTCTTTGGTCGAATTTGTATACATATACACATAAGCAAATACACATACATATATATAAGTTCTATTTCTTGTTCTTTCCTGTGAGTGACTGTGTCTACTGAAGCCCCGCTGTATAAGATTTGGCAACTGTGTGTTTACCTTTATTTTGTTAAGACTGTTAACAGTTACATCATACTATATATATTTAAGTCTTCATGTTTTTTTATTCTGTAAATTAAGCATAATGTTGATGTGAAATAAGTGGGTTTTTTTAGGACTCTGTAGTCGTTGGACACTGTGAGTCAGTAGTATGCCAGAATTAATTTTTGCTCCCTATTGATAGAATATCATACTCTTTGTGCTGTTTAAAGGAAGATGATGCTATTTGGACTGTGTCTTTCTTATATAGCTCTTTGTTTTTGTCTCAAGTTTCTAATTGCCTTTCTTTTATGTTTTCGGGAGCAGAAACTTGTGCCTTTATGATAATATGAGGATCTAGTTTCATTTTATTCATAAATAAATTTTTATTGGAGCCAATGAATTTTTCTGATCTAATTTGTACCATTTGCTTCCTGAGCCTGCTACAAGACTGTCATACCACTGTTGTCATTATGCTTCCCATTTAGGTCTAATATGTTTGGGTGTTCTTGACTCTTGCTGTGTTGGAGAGAGATAAATTGATTTCTTGCTTGTGTGATAGTATACTTATTTTGCTCTCACACTTGATTGATAGTTCAGGTAGGTTTAGGTTCAAACTCATTTTTCTTCATTATCAAGGTACCAATGAGAAATTTGATACCAGTCTGAATCTTATTCCTTTGTAGATGGCCATTTTTCCTCTTTGGAAGCTTTTGAATGTTTTGGTATGCATATTTTCCTCATTCATCATGCTGAATATTTACTGTACCCTTTTGATCTGGAAATTTATTTATTCAGCTTTTTTCTGTTATATTACTTCTTTGATGATTTTCCCCTTTAGTTTTTTCTGTTCTTTCTTTCTAGACCTTCTTAAAGTCATAGTTTATATCTTCTTCCTTTATCTGTACTCCTCAAGATAAATGCTAGAAGTTGGTTAAGCCAGGACTTAAACCCAGCTTGTAGCTTTATAAGCTGGGTTTTGAACCTCAGTTTTCTAGTTAGTAAAGTGATCATGAGAATAACGACCTCAAAGGATATCATGAGGATTAAATTAGATTTTTTTAAAGTCCTTAGCACTATGCCCAGTACATACAGCATTCAATAATGTTAGGAATTGTTGCTGTCATGTTCACTATTAATTTATTTAACAAATATTTATTGAATGCTAATACAAATGTGCCATGCTCTTCTAGGTGACCCCCAGTAAGGTAGAGGACTAAGAAGACATGAGATTTATGTGAAAAAGCATTTTTAAAGAAGACCATTGGCAATCACAAAATAGGCCTTTAGTACACTAAACCCTAATGACTCTGCCTGTTCTGAGTCTAGCCTTAGTTTCAGTTCTGAGCCTTATGAACTGCTGTTGTGTGAGTCACAAGGTCAACTACCATAATTTAATCACTTGCTATCATTTTAGCTGAAGACACTATAACCTTGGCTTCCCCAGAGTATTTTACTACAGGTTAATCTTAAACTTGATAGTAGCAAATTGTCCCTAGTGTCCCTAACCTCCCCCTTACTTCAACACTGCCACTGACATTGGCCTGTCAATTTAAGCACTTTTAATGCCCAGCTCTTTTTTTTTTTTTTTTTTAAGACGAAATCTCACTCTGTCACCTAGGCTGGAGTGCAGTGGCACGATCTTGGCTCACTGCAACCTCCGCCTCCCTGATTCAAGAGATTCTCATGCCTCAGCCTCCCAAGCAGCTAGGACTATGAGTATCTGCCACAGCGCCCAGCTAATTTCTGTATTTTTAGTAGAGACGGGGTTTCACCATGTTGGCCAGGCTGGTCTCGAACTCCTGACTTCAAGTGATCCACCTGCCTCAGCCTCCCAAAGTACTGGGATTACAGGCGTGACCCGCCGTGCCTGGCCCCAACTCTTATTTCATAAGTTCATTTATTAGGAAGTAATGGAGGAAATAGTAGCATCACCATCTATTTTATTCTTTTTCCCACCTTGGACCTGGTAGGTCCTGCAGGTCCTCACTAGGGAAAACTGAAAAATAGAATTAAATCTCATCTTTATGGGAGTTGTGGTACCCAGCTGTGAATGGAGTTCAGGCTTTCTGCAGTGCTTTCTCCTGTTCCTGTTGTCAGAAATCGGAGGGAGAGAGCAGCTTGTCTTTAGTGTGCCTTTTCTGAGGGATGCTACATCATAAGCAGGGGCTTCCTTTCTTCCCAATCAGTCCATCACTATTAAGGTTGCCACATAAGAACAAAAGCTTATTTCTTATTTTTTAAGTTGCTTCTCAGTAAAGGAAAATACATTTTAGCAAGAACAGAACCTTCCACATACTCACTACTAAGATTCATTCCCATATTTCCTAAGAAACAATAATCAAGCAGAACTTTTAAAGTAATAGTATCAGAGTGGGGAACGTCTCTCTGTATGACCAAACTCCAGAATCTGTAATAGAAAATATCTACAAATCGGACTGCATGGAAATCAAAATTTTCTACATGGCAAAACGTTACAGTTGACCCTTGAACAATTCAGGGATTGGCGTACCCACCCACTACGTGCAGTCAAAAATATATATATAACTTTTGACTGCCCGAAAACTTTACTGATTGCCTGTCTATTGACCTGAAGCCTTACTGATAACATAAACAGTCAAGTAACAAATATTTTGTATGTTATATGTATTATATACTATGTTAAGTTAGAGAAAACATGTTATTAAGAAAATCATAATGAAGTGGAAGGGAATTCTTGTATAAGTGGACCCATGCAGTTCACACCCATATTCAAGGGTCAACTGAGTAAAAAATGTTAAAAAGACAAGTGTCAAGTTCAGAAAATTATATGCAGCCCAACAACTGACAAAGCACTATCATTTTTAATATAGAAAAGGTCCTACAAATAAGAAAAATCACAGAAAAGGAAATACAAATGGTTTATAAACTTGAACAAAATGTTTAATCTCACTCATAGTAAGAGAAATCAAATTAAAACCAGTGATACACCATTTAAAAAAACTAGACATGAAAAAGCAAAAAGTTGAATTAAACACTTAAATTGGTGATGATGGTAGCATACATTGGTATAACATCTCACAAGGGCAGTAAGTTAAAAATTTATATATTCTAGGAATTTCTTTTATATAAATGAGTGTATATGTATTAAATGAGGTATAGGTATAAGGCTATTCAATGCAGCATTGTTTATAATAACAAAAGATTAGAAAAGCCTTAAGTACCCTCCAACTAAGAGTTGGTTGTAGTGTATCCCTACATAGATTTATGAATACTAGGGAATTCTTGGAATATTATGTAGCTAACAAAAAAAATACCTAGTATAGATTGAGCATCCCAAATCTGGAAATAGAAAATTCTCCAAAATCCTAAAGTTTTTGAGTAACATGATGCTCAAAGGAAATGCTAATTAGAGCATTTTTGGATTTGAGATGCCCAACTGGTAAGTATAATAGAAATATTCCAAAATCCAAAAACACTTCTAGTCACAATCATTTTGAATAAGGGATACTCAACCTGTGCCTATTTGTGTTCTGCAAGATCGATTTTTTTTTTTTTTTTTTTTGGAAAGGAGTCCATTGCCCAGGCTGGAATGCAGTGGTATGATCTCAGCTCACTGCAGCCTTGGCCTCCTGGGCTCAAGTGATTCTCCCAGCTCAACCTCCCAAGTAGCTGGGACTACAGGTATGCACCACCACACCTGGCTAGTTTTTGTATTTTTTTGTAGAGATGGGATTTTGGGGTTTGGGTTTTCATCATGTTGCCCAGGCTGGTATTGAACTCCTGAGCTCAAGTGATCCACCTGCCTCGGCTTCCCTAAGTATTGGCATTACAGGCATGTGCCACCACACCTGGCCCCCAGGATCAATTTTTAAGTGAAAAAAAGTTGCAGGACAACATACACTATAATAATATGCTACAATTTATATTTAAAATGTACATATAAGTATGCACATATGTCCTTGTATTTTTATAGAATAGCTCTAGAAGTATACCTAAGAAAATTATAACAGTGGTAGCTCTGGCAAAGAGCCACGTGAAAAGAGATAAATTATATACTTTTTGTACCTCTTGAGTTTTATCCCTGTAACACTCTTACTGTGCATTTATGTTTATAATGCTCAGGTATACAGTTTCTTAGTACAGATTGCTATGGAGAACACCATCATTTGGTGTTCAGATTCCAAACTAAGAAGTTTTTCTCCGTCATAACTTCCTCTTATTTCAAAATGACAGTATATTTCTTATTATTTTGGCTGCTGTGAAGCTGAAAGCCACATCAGTGTCCAAAGTAATAGCTTCTTATATTCTGGGTTTGTTTTCTGGGCATCATTGCTGCTTTTCTTATTTCCTTTACTATACTTTTTATTCTTATATTAATTTTGAGTTTTGTTATATGTGTATCTTTTACCTATCATTATATTCTTAGACTATAAATATGAAGAAAGCCTTTGGTGAAGTGTAAGTATTCTTTTAAGGATGATTACCAGTTTATTTAGAAAAAAAGTTCTTTTTAATACTCTAATTTTAATGACTGTAATATTCTAAGTCCTACCTTTAAAAATTGAAATCAATGTAAATTTTTTGAGTAATTCATTATTAGCACTTTAGGTAGAGAAGTTTGCAATAACAACTGATGTAAGTATTGCTCTTCTGCAGTCTTTATTAGCATTGTTTAAACGTACCTTTTTTTAAAAAAAAAAAAATAGGTCATTGCTTCTTGCTGATCTTGACAAAGAAGAAAAGGAAAAAGACTGGTATTACGCTCAACTTCAGAATCTCACTAAAAGAATAGATAGTCTTCCTTTAACTGAAAATGTAAGTAACTTGGCAGTACAACTTATTTGAAACTTTAATAACTTGATATTTTAAAGTACCTAGGTAATCCATTAAAATTCAGGATAACTGAATTTATAGTTATTTGTAAATTGCAATATGTTTTACCCAACTTTAGGCCTGAATATATAATAGTTAATGAATTTTTGTTGGTAAAGATGATAAAACTTTATTGTGCTCAAATGTTTTATTTAAAGCTCTTATTTAGAAAATCTATAAAGTTTGAATTCTAGAGGACCTCAGGGTTCAACTAGGCAACTAGTTTTTTAACTCCGTGTATTGAATTGCCAAACATACTCTATAGAAATATTTATCACCATCTGCCTATTTTTTGTACTGTGTTGCAGGAATCATGCCAAATAGTTTTTGCAATAAAAATATCTCTGAAAATATTCTAGATATAAATGCCAATAGCTATAGCACGGATATTAGCATTTTTGCAAGCACTAAAGCTGGTTTGTTTTGTCCACCAGTATTCACAATAAATTAACAGTATGCAGTTGAATAACATTCTGATTTACTACAAAGGGTTATTTTTCTTGGCCTCTGCTGAACCAGTAAAACATATACTGAAAAGATCGAACCTGCATATAATGAATGTGTTGGAGTAAAGAAAAAACATGCAAGTCAATAGTTTAGATTACAGAAGTTTGTTCACCGATTTATGACAGCAGGTCCTAAACTGCCAACATCTCTAACCATCTGATTAGGTTTCCATGAGCCAAGTCTTAGATATTCCATGAATCATAACCTTTTAGTCAGTGTAACACAGGGATTTCAACTTTTTGTTAAGAAATGACTCAACATGGTGGAGGCTTATGCCTGTAACCCCAGCACTTTGGGAGGCTGAGAAAGGTGGATCACTTAAGGCCAGGAGTTCGAGACCAGCCTGGTCAACATGGTGAAACTCTGTCTCTACTAAAGTAAATACAAAAATTAGCCAGACATGGTGGTGCATGCCTGTAATCTCAGCTACTTGGGAGGCTGAGGCAGGAAAAGCACTTGAACCTGGGAGGCAGAGGTTGCAATGATCCAAGTTCATGCCACTGCACTCCATCCAGCCTGGGTGACAGAGCAAGACTCCATCTCAAAACAAAAAGAAAAAATAAAAAAAAAAATAAATGACTCACTAGAGGAATCTTTAAGTGTCCATTTAACTGTCTTGTTTAGCTAATTAAAATACACTAGGATTTGTCTGGTTTCCTCATCTGGATGTTGCTAGCAATGGTAACATTTTTCATTTTAGAAATTTTGCAAACCATTGCATTTATAGATATGAATTCTGATATGGCTGCTTTAAAATTATCCAATTTAAATTGTCCAATTAAAATCATTCATTTAACTTGAAATGTATGACTTAAGGAAATTTTTCAATTTAACTTGAAGTGATTTATTTTTCTTAGATTGTTCAGAATGATGGCATTTCAGAAACATTGGATTACCTGTGATTTTTGTTTTGGTAAATGTTTAAAAACAATAAAAAAGGAAAACATTTACGTGTGCATTTTCTTTATACACACACACACACGAAAAAAAAACAAGTAAGAAACCCAGAATGGTCCTTAGGCATATGAGAACAGAAGTTCTGATTGAGTAATGGCTATGGAAATTTCCCCTAATATATTTAGAAAAGCTGTTCTCTCATGCAGTGGATATAATATACCATGGTATCTAATTTTTCTTTCTGATGAAGGAAGCAACTACAGAAAGCTTTTATTTATTTGTTCAAAGTGACCAGTGCAATTAATGCAAAAGAAAATCCACAGCAACTCTCCCAATACTACTTTCAAAACAAACATACCAAACTTGATTTTCATTAAAATGTAGTTATTTCTTCACACTAGTAAATCAAAAACCAAGACCCATATAAAACAGGGCGAACAATTACTGTGCTTCATCTTCTGGACAAGAATGCCAAGTTAGTTTCTCTTTTATAAGCAATTACATTTTGAGGACCCTTCATATTTGCCTCTTTTGCCAGCAGCAACTCTGCCTAATCTGAATCCTTCCATTTCATGAGAAACAGCAGTTCTCCACTGCTGTCTGTGGCACCAATTACTCCTTCAGGATCAAGACATCTGGCAAAGCCTTTTAGTTTGTCAGCAGCATCCCTTCTCTTCTTTGATTTACTGTCATCAGATTCACTGTCAGATAAAGATTTTCTGTTTGTGCCATCTTTTTCTTGACTAGTTTTTTGAGAATTAAGAAATGCTTCAATTAACCCTGAACCATCTAAATTTTCTTTAGGTTCCCAAGTGTTGTCAACATCTGTAAATCCCTTCCGCTTAAGGAAATATCCCACTTTCCTATTCACTACACGTCAGTCTAGTACATTTTCCATCACAGATTCTTCCGGCTCTGCCTCTTCATCTTTTTTACTCTTTCCATTCTGTTTGTTTCCTATTTTTTGCAATGTAGTTTTATTGGAGGCCATTTTTTATTGCAGACTTGAGGAGCTGATATTCACCACCTCCAAGCTGCTCTGGGTTATAGGTCTGCAGTGTTCTGTAAAAAAAAAATTCTAATCCTGTCAGCCTCTCCCTCTCCATGTCAATGATTTTATTCATGGGATGGCACATATAAGAATATTTCTCAAATACATTTATAGTGGCTGCGTCAGCAGCACATATCCTAAAACTGGAATGAGGCAGAGGAGTTTAGCATGGCCCTTGCTCAAGGATGACATGGAAATTGATGAAGTATTCTATATTTAAAAAAAAAAAAAAAGAAAATTATATAATCTCAAACAAGACTACATATTTTAGCTATTATCCATAAATATTTCACGTAACTTATTTTTTTTTTTTTTGAGATGGAGTCTCGCTCTGTCGCCCAGGCTGGAATGCAGTGGCGCAATCTCAGCTCACTGCAACCTCTGACTCCCAGGTTCAAGCGATTCTCCTGCCTCAGCCTCCCAAGTAGCTGGGACTACAGCATGCCACCATGTCCAGCTAATTTTTTGTACTTTTAGTAGAGACAAGGTTTTGATGTGTTAGCCAGGATGTTCTTGATATCCTGACCTCGTGATCCACCCACCTTGGTCTCCCAAAGTGTTGGGATTACAGGTGTGAGCCACTGCGCCCAGCCACATGTAATTTTTTAAAAGAAAATAGACTAATTAAAATATAACGTACTCTCTTAGCTTAGATTTTTCATTTTCTACTACTACTTTGAGAGACCAAAATAGACAAAAAGGTAAAAACTGAAAGAGAGAAAACCGTTTTGAAAACATGTAGCTAGCCAGGTTTCCTGAGTGGACGTTGGCTGACAGGAGGTGGAACTGGAAGCTTAAGTGCTCATTCTCCTAGAATAATCATTCAGGGTTTTGAGAGAGAAAGGATCCCTTTTTCTGAGAGGGCCCTTAACATGTTAACACTTAACAGTGCTCCTGGGAATTAAGGAGCACAGATAATGAGAGAACAGTTATTGTTAGCCTGTGAGGATTAGGAATTTTGGGGGATTTGTTGGGACTATAACTTATGAAGAAAAATACCAAAGTGTAGTTTTGCTTACCGTTAATTTTGGTCATTAGAGAATATACAAAAATCCAGAATCCCACTGTCTACATGAAGTCAGGTTCAGGAAAGAGCTTAAATGTACATGACAACTCAAGAGTATTTGGTTACTATCTGAAACAAAGATCAGTTGTCAAGTTAATTATTCTCTACTAATTTATTAAGTAGATCACATTTATTTAATATGATATATAAGACATTATCAGGCACCATTGGCAACATCAGCAAATTTAAACTCTGCTTGTATTTTATAAGTATTTTTTATTTTCACAAATTTTGCATTTATGTTGGGAAGCCAAGCTAATGAACACTTTATGTGGAAATACCTACTTATCAAAACATTACTGAAAACATCAGATCTAAACCACATTATTGCAACATACTGTGTCATGTTCAATTTTTTTTTTTTGCAGAGAGGGTTTGGGAAGTGGAGGACTAATAAGTGGAGTTACAACTGGCTCAGTAGGAATAAGAAATAACATGCAGACTATTTCATCTCTATTGCAACCCATAATTTGGGTATGCCTAAGGGAATGCATTCTGCATATGAATGTCATCTGTATGTTGCAAAGGGAAAAGGGTGAGAACTAATCTAACTACAACTGACAACACAATTTGGAGTTCTTGGACCAGAATGCCATTCTGAGTCAGATATATGTCATATACAGTTTTCTAAGGGCACACAGAAAATCTATAACATTGCCTGATTCCCTTCATGGCCCATTATAAGTCTGTTACCTATCATTTTATTTAATCAGCTTTTATTGCCTTTTGGGCATGGGTTTATATGTTTCATTACCTTGTCCTTTTAAAATCCTGTTGCATGCTTGGCAGTTATCACAGTCCTTGGAATTTTAATTAAAGGGTTAATAAATTTTTGAATGAGTTATTACCCATTCTGAAGAAGTACCTCTTTTTGTTTCAACTTTGCTTTACTTTTGAATTTTTACCAAAGTCTGTGTTGACTTTATCTACTCTATTTATGATTATCTTTCTTACATGTAGGCTTTTTCTTGTCCCATATTCCTCATTTGATTAATGAAAAAGTTCTCTCAACTTAATCTGTATGTATATGGTAATCCTTACCTTAAGTTGAAGTATGAGCTTAAGAATGATGGACTTGTTTCTTGATATTTCTATGTTGTCCACGTTAATATGCTAGTATTTAATAATTAAAAGTAGTGCCTCTTCAGTAGAGAAGAGTCATAAGGCAACTGAATTTAACCTCACTCTAACTGGACCAATTATATATTTTAAGTGAAATAGGCCAATCTAATTAAAGCCACTTGTGACTTTGGCAAATAAGTGTTTGAATTCCACGTCACATCAGGGATCCAGATTGAGTCTGACACCTATAATCAAATTTAAACACTCCTTGGAGTAAAAAATAATTTTCTCATGCACCATGACTGACGTATTTGCTTATTCATTTTCTTTATTGGTTCTTATATGCTTTTTTGCTTTTACTGATTAACGTAAATACAAGATATTGATACTTTTTTATTATTTGTGGTTTTAGTTTTCCTTACAAACAGATATGACCAGAAGGCAATTGGAATATGAAGCAAGGCAAATCAGAGTTGCGATGGAAGAACAACTAGGTACCTGCCAGGATATGGAAAAACGAGCACAGGTAAGTTACTTGTTTCTAAGTGATAAAACAGCGAAGAGCTATTAGGAATAAAATGAATTACAGCTCTGTTAATATTGATTAAATTTTATTAAAGACATAAGGCTGTGTTTATTTTGGCTCTATTTCAAAATAAGATTTATCATGGCTGCTGAGCAACATAATCAATATTCACATAGTTGTGTCTTTACCATATTCATTTCCCCTGGTACTGTTCTGTTCTGCCTTGGAATTATAAGGGAGAGACAGAGTTAGATGGTGGTCTTCCGGTAGCTAATGACTAGCTTCAGTTCTCCTTTGAAATTTTTACTTCTTGTAATCTTAGACTGTATAAAGGCATTCAGAACATGTCACTGCTCTTCAAATTGTGCACTTAAAAAACCCTCATTCAAGGATAATAGGAAGGAAACAAAGAGAATTTTAGGAGAGATGAAGTAAGTTGTATGGAGAACATTCCCATATTTCTACCCTCAATGTCAAGAAAGAGTATTAGCTAGCTTTGCTATTAAGTATTTTTATATATTATTGAATATAGCCTTTTTATATTCAAACAAGTTTATGACTGACTAATGTTTTAAAGCCCTGAAGAGGCCTTGCCAATTGCCTTATCTGTTTCAAAACTAGCGTGGGTTGTTGTTTTCTTTTTTAACTTTTGGGACAAATTGGGAGGAAAACATTTAAAGATTTTCTTTAAGTAAATATAGCAAATAAAAGCAGAGACCAACATTTACATGGTAGTGATACACATACATTTTGTATTCTATAAAACATATTAAATAGTTTTAAAATGGCTACTGTAGGATATTTTACATTCCTTGAAGTATAGTCTTTATTTTTTTTGTGACACTTCCTAAACATAATGATTTTTTTTTTTTTTTCTTGAGTCTCACCCTGTTGCCCAGGCTGAAGTGCAATGGCATGATCTCACCTGCAACTTCCGCCTCCTGGGCTCAAGCAATGCTCCTGCCTCAGCCACCTGAGTAGCTGGGATTACAGGCGTGCGCCACCATGCCCAGCTAGTTTTTGTTTCGCCATGTTTGCCAGGCTGGTCTTGAACTGCTGACCTCAAGTGATCCACCGGCCTCAGCCTCCCAAAGTGCTAGGATTTAGAGTCATCATGCCCAGTGTATTAGTTTGTTTTCAGGCTTCTGATAAATACATACCCGAGACTGGGCAGTTTACAAAAGAAAGAGGTTTAAGGGACTTAACAGTTCTACGTGGCTGGGGAATCCTCACAATCATGGTGGAAGGCAAGGAGGAACAAGTCATGTCTTACATGGGTGGCAGCAGGCAAAGAGAGAGAGACTGACAGGGAAACTCCCATTTTTAAAACCATCAGATCTCGTGAGAATTATTTACTATCACAAGAACAGCACAGGAGAGACCCACCCCCATAATTTAATTATCTCCCACTGGGTCCCTCCCACAACACATGGGAGCTGCAAGATGAGATTTGGGTGGGGACACAGCCAAACCATATCACCCAGCCTAAACATAATGTATATTCTATCTGTTTTGGAGTATGGTGGAAGGCTAAGGTGCTACTAAAACACCAGTACCATACTACATTTCATAGTCCATACATGTTAGTTTCATAGTGAAGGTTAAGATCATAATGAGGTTGGGGGCTTAACTAGTGTTTGTGTGCATGTGCATGTATGTGTACATGTTAGTTATAATACGTGTATATATCATTTTTTCTTACCTTCCCTCTTGCCCCTATCCCAGTCAGAAAGATTCGTGACTTAAATGTCAAAAGTAAAACTTTAAACCTTTCAGTAGAAAATATACATAAGTATGTTTCTGATATTAGAGTAGGAAAGTATTTCTTAAGAAAGACTTAAAACGCTAATGATAAAAGACCAATAAGTTTACTGTATTAAAATTAAGAATTTATCTTCAACAGGTACCTGAAAGAAAGTGAAAAGATAACTTACAAATTGGGAGAAGATATTTATTACCATATAACTGGCAAAGAACTAAAATCAAGAATATATAAATAACTTCTAAAAATACATTGCATTTTACATTTAGATTTAAATTTTAGATTTTCATGGAATTATTTTAAAATGTTAGGTTTATTTGTTTCAAAAAAACAAGTATTACTTTGGTTTATATGAATTTGCATTTTTAGAACATGAATATATGGGATACTGTAGACATAAGTTAGTTTTTCTGTGTCTGTTAATGTGAGCTTTTTTTTAGAGAGAGAGATCCTAAAAGAACAAGATGTGATGGTAGTTGTAAAAATTCTTGTGCTATATAAATATAAGTAGGTGTATTCCAGACATTTTATATCCCTGAGGAGAGGTTAACTTGAGTTCTTTCTTGGCCATTTTGTTCACATAAGCGCTGATACTGTCATTCTTACTTTATTCTGGAATGCCGTATCCTTCATTTTGGTAGTTAATATTCTAAGGAAATTTTATTCTGTATTTTGAGAAACATACGTGTTCATTTATTCTGGAAATAGTTATATGAAGGTTAAGGTTAAAGAAATTGTAAACAAGATAAAAAGGCAAATAATGGAAATGTTGGTAGAATATATAAGAGATTTAATATCCCTACTCTACAAGGATCACCTACAAATCAATTGAAAATGGTCAACCATGCCAGGCATGGTGATTCACACCTGTAATTCTAGCACTTTGAGAGGCTGAGGCAGAAGGATCACTTGAGCCCAGGAGTTCGAGACCAGCCTGAGCAAGATAGCAAGACCCTGCCTCTACCAAAAAAAAAAAAAAAAAAGCTGAGTATGATGGTGCACATCTGTAGACCTAGTTACTTGGGAGGCTGAGGCTGAGGAGGATCCCTTGAGCCCAGGAGTTCAAGGCTGCAGTGAGCTACAATCTCACCACTGCACTCAAAAAAAAAAAAAAAAAAAGAGAAAGAAAGGAAAGAAAAGAAAAGAAAGAAAACAGATAACCAAATAGCAAAATAGTCAGAAGATGTGAATAGTTCCATCAGAAAATTAAGTTCAAGTGTCTAATAAACAATTGTGAAAAGATGCTTAAACATCACTACACATCAGGGAAATGTAATATAAAGTAAGGTACTATTTTTTTTTTGCCTATCAGCTGCCCGAAACTTTATAATTTTTGATGACATGCAGTATTAGCAAGGGTGTGAAAGTAAAAACATCATCTACCTTTAAATCTTTTTTGTTTGCTTTGTTTTTTCTTTTTGAGACACAGTCTTGCTCTGTCACACAGGCTGGAGTGCAGTGGTTTGATTTCGCCTTACTGCAACCCCCACCTCCTGGCTTCAAGCGATTCTCATGCCTGAGCCTCCTGAGTAGCTGGGACTATAGTTGTGTGCCACCACGCCCAGCTAATTTTTGTATTTTTAGTAGAAACAGGGTTTCACCATATTGGTCAGGCTGGTCTTGAACTCTTGGCCTCAAGTGATCTGCCTGCCTTGACCTCCCAAAGTGCTGGGATTACAGGCATGAGCCACTGCACCCAGCCAACATTGTCTGCCCTGTTCTTTTAAGAATAAATTGATACATTTTTGGAGGACAATTTGGCATTATTTGCCAAAATTAAAATGCCTGTGCTCTATGACCGTGTGTTTCTATAGGACTTCTAGGAATATGTTGCGTACAGAAATACTTACTTTAGGGCAGAATGTAGATACATATTTTAAATTATTAAATGAATAGTATGCAAGCTATTATAAAATACCATACTGAGAATAGTGGGAATATGGTAGCCAAAGCACTCCTTTCCCTCCTAACTCCCTGCTTGGGTGATTCAGCAAGTGAAACAAGAACGGCCCTGGAAGAGGAGATCTCAGGAGGGTCTGAGGCTATGAGAAAAAATATGGGATCTCATTTGCAAGGGGAAGGAGTAAATAAGAATTCCAAATAAAATAAGAATAGAATGAAAGTTTTTAAACATAAGTATTACCACAAACCAGAAGCAAACCTTATATTAAGAAAATAGTGACTGAGTGAAATAGCTCAGGCCTGTAATCCCAGCACTTTGGGAGGCTGACGCAAGAGGATCACAAGTTAGCAGTAGTGTTGGCACACAACTGTAATCCCAGCTGCCTTAAGGAATGCTGAGGTGGTAGGATTGCTTGAGCTTAGGAATTAGAGGTTGCAGTGAGCTATGATCATGCCACTGCACTCCAACCTGGGTGACCGAGCAAGACCCTGTCTTGAAAAAGAAAACAGAAATAATGAGGTAATCATTGTTGCTATCATTAATATGTTTGAGTAGCTTGCCGTCATCACTATTATTTAACTTTGTTTGACAGGCTTGACTAATGCAAGTAGAAAAAACAAAATAAGTGTTATGAATCCTACACTATTTTTGAACTAGAAAGGAAGAGATTAAATAATTATTTGTAAATGATGTGGTGGTTTGCCTAGAAAAGCTATACAAAATGAACTAAAAAGTATTTAAACTAGTAAGAGAATTTAGTAAGGTAACTCAAGTTAAGATACATACAAAAATCAGCAATAACTACCAGTTAAAGGTGGAAATGGGGGTAGGAGGACCTGTTCACAGTAACAGGAAACTTTAAAGTAACTAGAAAAAGCCTGCATAAAGAAAAACATAAAATTGTTGAAGGACACTAAATTTTTTGGAACCTAGAAAAATGATTATAAAGTTTATAATGCAAGAATTTCCAAAAACATTTATGAAAGAACGCATAATTGAAGATTTACCTTACCATTTGTTAAAATCTATTGTGAAGATGTTGTAATAATCACAGTATGATAATAGCACAGGAATAAATTTAGGCAAATGATAGAGACTAGAAAGAGGTACAGGAATATTTACAACCTTTATATGACAGAAGTTACATTATAAATTTTGGAGAAATTGATAAATTACTCAATAAATTATATAGGTACAACCAATGACCTGTTCAGAAGATGAGAAATTAAACCCTTACCTCACATCTTAAGAAAAGTTATAGGTTGATTAGCTATTCAAATGTGAAAAATAAATCTAAAATTAATAGAATAAAATACAGGCAAGAGATCTTCTTAAATATGAATGGAAACTCAAAAGCAATAAAGAGGAAGGAAAGTTGGGATTTATCTCATAACATTTTAAATCATTCATTGCACAAAAGATAAATTAGAAAAATACTTATAACACATAAAGGGGAAAATGGTAATATCTCTAAAATATAAGAATTCCTACAAATGAATAAGAAAAAGACAACCCTGTGTTTTTGTTTTGTTCAGAGAGGGGGTTTTGCTGGTTGCCCAGGCTGTAGTGCAGTGGCCATTCACAGGAGCAATCATAATACACTACAGCCTCAAACGGCTCTAGCAACCCTCCTTCCTCAGCCTCCCACATAGTTGGGACTTTAGGCGTGTACATCGCACCTGCCTAACCCATGTTTTTTAATGGACAGAGGATGTAATAAGGCAGTTCATTAAAAAGATGGCAAATGACCAGTAAAACACAGATGACTAGTAAATAATTTAGGAAAACTCAAAATCCACTTGTGCCTACCTATGTGAGATTGTTAGTCTCCAGGTACCTCTTAACTGCATGGTTATTTATTTACTCTTACTTGTTCAGTGTGTATTTGGTCACCTAGTATGGTGGTACTTACCCTTCCATAGGCATGTAAGCAAAGGTTGGAAAAGTGCACATCAGTTTGTTAATAGAGCTTACTACTGGGATGTGGGAATTGGTGGGGTGAAGGTGTAAGTACACCTCTATATTGCCATAATTGATGATACTGTTTAATGTAGTTTATCTCCTCCCTAGTTGATGGACACTTAAGTTGATTCTAATTTTTCAGTTAAAAACAGCACATGTACCCTAAAACTTAAAGTATTAAAAAAGAAAACAGCTCTGATAAACATACTTATTCATGTCTTGTAAACAAACATGCAAGAGTTTCTCTAGGTGAGGAGTCAGCAATCTTTTTCTTAGAAGGCCACATAGTAAATATTTAGGTTTTGTGGACCATATGGTCTCTTTTGCAACTACTCAACCCTGCCTTTTTCTTTTTCTTTTTTTTTTTTTTTTTTTGAGTCAGAGTCTTACTCTGTCACCTAGGCTGGAGTACAGTCATGCAATTTTGTCTCACTGCAACCTCCGCCTCTAAGGTTCAAACGATTCTTGTGCCTCAGGCTCCCAAGTAGCTGGAATTACAGGCATGTGCCACCACGCCTGGCTAATTTTTGTATTTTTAGTAGAGACGGGGTTTCACTATGTTGCCCAGTCTGGCCTCGAACTCCTGACCTCAGGTGATCCACCTGCCTCAGCCTCCCAAAATGTTGAGATTACAGGCGTGAGCCACCACTCTCGGCCTCAACCGTGCCTTTTAACAAGAAAGCAACCATAGATAATTTATGAACACAAATGGGCATGGCTGTGTTTCAGTAAAACTTAATTTATAAAAACAGATGGCTTAGTAGGCCCTAGTTTGCTGACTGTTGCCCTAGCATATATATCTAAAAGCATAATTACTGGTCATAAGGTATGAGTGTTTTGAATGAGTGTTTGCCAAATTGCTCTTAAAGTAATCTTTTTAGTTTACATTCCTAATAGTAGTATGTGACAATTCTTGTTTCTGTATGTCTTCTCCATCACTTGTGAGTCAGAATTTATCATTAACAATCAGTGGGTAGTGAAACATTTTGTCATCTTAAACTTTGTATTTTCCTGAGCTACTGAAGTTGAATCTCGAAAATATTTATTAGATTTTGGGGTTTTCTTTCTAAGTTACTTCCTCATATCCCTTGCTCATTCCCTACTGTTAAATGTCTTGTTTTCATTTGTTTGAGAGATGTTTTAATATCCTCTTGATACCAATCCTTTGTAGATAATATACATCTCAATTCCTCCCCACCAAATCTGTTATCTGTATTAGCCTCATAACAAAAATAAACTTTTATGATAGAGCTAAATTAGTTATATTGCCAGATTTATACATCTTTTCCTGTACTGAAGTCGTAAAGGTAATCTTCTATTAGCTCCTTAATTCATCTTGAGTTTGCTATTATGTATGTTGTGGAGGCAGGAATCTAACTTATATGTATATTACTTATATATGTGTGTATGTGTATTATACATGCACATGATTTATACATGTGTGTATATATAGTTATGTATAGTCATACATACATATATTTATGTTGTTAACTGAATTTCTCATTATCATGTATTGGATACCGCACTAGTTCCTCATCGATGAGTAATGTCATCTCTTATCACATAACAAGTTTATATATGCTGGATATTTCTGGACTTTCTTCTGTTAGTCCACTTTAGCTTCTCCATGCCTGCACTGATACCACATTTTTTATTTGCTGCAGTTTTATAAATCTTGATATCCAGTTGGGTGAATCGTTCTTTGTTTTTAAAAATGTAGTATTCTGCCTTATTACTCTTGTCATGTAAACTTTAATGTCAGCTTCTAATTCAGATAAAAGCTTCATGGGCTTTTGATTAGAATTACATTAAATTTATAGATTAAGGAGAAGTCAGACCTTCATAATATTTAGTCTTGGTTGAAAGGATGGACTCTGGAACCAGACCTTCTATATTCAAATCCCAGACCTGCCACTTAGCAACACCATGATCCTAGGTAAATTCTCTGCCTCAGTTTTCTTGTCAGTACAATACAGATAGTGATAAACTGTAAAATGTGAGGATTAAATGAGTTGATATATGTAAAAGCACTCAGAACCTGGCACATAGTAAGCAAATTATTAGGTATTCTTACTAATTTTATATCTCTCTATTCATTTAGGCTTTATTTTATATCCTTCAATAAGGTTTTGTCAAATTCTTCACAGGGGTCTTACATATCATTTAAAAAAGTTATTCCTAGATATGTTACAGTTTTTGTTGCTATTATAAGTGAGAATTTCTTTAATTATATTACTAAATTACATTTAAGTGAAAAGTATCCAGCAGTCTTCCTGAAATATTTTATTATATCATCGCCGGTTTAAGATTCTATACACTGTCATATTGTTCGCAAATAATGACAGTTTGTTTATCCTTTCCAGTCCTTACAGCGTTTTTTCTTTTGTTGTATTGTGTAAGAACTCTAATACATCTTTGAATGGAAACAATGATAGTGGTCTTCTTTTTCTTGTCTTGACTTTAAAGGGAATTCTTCTAAAATTTCACAGTTAAGTGTGTTGTTTACACAGTTAAGTGTACCCTTTATCAAGTTAAGGGATTTACCTTCTATTCTAATTTGTGGAGAGTTATCCTGAATCTGTATTACTACTGCAGTTTTTAAAAATCACTTTTTTCTAAAGTCATATCAAGTCCATACTCCTGAACAGTTTGTTATTAAATATAACTTCACAAATATTCTTGTCATATAGAAAAAGGAAAGAAATACTTAGTGGTTAAGCATCCTAATCCAAAAATCCAAATTGTGAAGTGCTGCAGTGAGCATTTCCTTTGAGCACCATGTGGGTGCTCCAAAAGTTTCCTGTTTTGGAGCATTTTGGGTTTTGGATTTTTGTATTAGGTATAGGGATTAGGAATACTCAAGGTGTAGTGGCTTCTTCTATTTTCATATTAGAAACAGAAGCACAAGGAATGTCATGTCAGAAACCATCCACCTCACTGGACATCAAGACATAGACATGACCTCAGTATTTAGTGAGATACTGGCAATATGGAAATGTAGTGTAAAACGGAGAGGAGTGGGAGATATAATTTCCTATTTTCATCCTCTAAATATTAAAAATTTTTATTTAGGCCTATATTGATGGAAGGGAGCTAATTATATAGAAACTGATTATATAGAAAAGGAGGAAACAATCAAATTTAGAAATCCAGTAATTTTATGTAGCTTGGCTATTTCTCTAAAGCTAGGAAGTACTTGCCACCTGGTTATGGAAATGATCACTCATCTTTGCAATATCTTTAGAAAACTAGCAAAAGTACAGGTACTTCTTCAGATGGTTTTCATACTGTGAATTGGACATGGTAAGATTTGTTACTTAAAGAATATTTTTTTTTTTTTCTATTTTTTTGAGACAGTCTGGCTCTGTCTCCCAGGCTGGAGGGCAGTGGCACGATATCGCTCACTGCAACCTCCGCCTCCCAGGCTCAAGCCATCCTCCCTCCTCAGCTTCCCAAGTCACTGGGACTACAGGCGTATGCCCTCATGCCTGGCTAATTTTTGTATTTTTTGTAGAGACGGGGTTTCACCATGTTCCCTAGGCTGGTCTCAAACTCCTGAGCTTAAGCAGTCTGCCCACCTTGGCCTCCCAGTGTGCCGGGATTACAGGCCTGAGCCACGGTGCCTGGCCTGAGAATATTTTTTTACCTTAAGTTTACTACTTTCAGAATCATGATAGAGACTCAGCTTAGTTATATTGTTAAAAAGAAAGAAAAGAGGGAGAAAATTAAGATAGATTAATTTGGGACTGTGAGCACAGCTTCTTGTTTTATTTGGGTTTTTTTTGGGGGGTGGGGGTTGTTTTTGTTTTTGTTTTGAGACGGAGTCTCACTCTCGCCCAGGCTGGAGTGCTGTAGCATGATCTCAGCTCACTGCAACCTCTGCCTCCTGGGTTCGAGCGATTCTCCTGCCTTAGCCTCCCGAGTAGCTGGGATTACAGGCACGCGTCACCCATGCCTGGCTAATTTCTTTTTGTATTTTTAGTAGAGACGGGGTTTCACTGTGTTGGCCAGAGTGGTCTCAATCTTCTGACCTAGTGATCCATCTGCCTCGGCCTCCTGAAGTGCTGGGATTGCAGGCGTGAGCCACCGTGCCCGGCAGCGAACACAACTTGAGTTTTCTGTTCTTTGTTTATCATAAGACTGGATGATAGCAGTAAACATTTTTACTATGGTAGTAAGAAAAGCATGAAGGCATTGTATTTAAGTAAAACTAGATGTGATCAAAGAGTAAGTTTTATAACTGCATGTATTTAAAGCTAATTGCCATAGTACTTTTATTATTTATCTGTTGGGGGTGATATTTGTTCCGAAATATTTTATTGATGGAGAACATAACTGAAAAATGTTTGGAAATACTCCATCTAGCTTCTAACACACACACACCCCTTATTGAAACAGTTTACTTTTATAATATAATTTTTGATTTCTCAATATTAGGATGTCAATAACTATAGAATTATTACAGAAAATGGTACAACATTGTCAGTACTTGTTTTTAAAACATATGTGTTTGATTTGTCATAAACTAGCTTTATGAGACATTTGCAAAGTCTTTATTCATAAGTGAGTTGTTTTTTCCACTTCCACTAGTATTCATAAAAGTTAAAATGAAGTCTAGCTTAAAAAACACACACACACACACACAATATATTCCCCACATTGTTTCCATTCCATGTGGTTCAATCTGTAGTTACTGCTTTGTGACCAGTTGATGGTCTCCATATAGTGGAAAAGCAAAAGCTCTATCCTCTTTATGATCCTAGTGTTGGAGAAAAAATAATGTTTAGCCACAGTTAGGTACTTGGAAAGGCTGAAAAATACTACTAACTTATGACAGAAGTAACTTTGGGGAAGAGTTGGGCCTACTGTTTAAACCAGGGGTCCCCAGCCCCCAGGCCACGAGCAAGCATTACCACCTGAGCCCTGCCTCCTGCCACCATCAGTGGCTGCATTAGGAGCATGAACCCGCTTGTGAACTGCACATGTGAGGGATCTAGGTTGCGGGCTCCTTATGAGAATCTTATCTAATGCCTGAGGACCTGAGGTGGAGCAGTTTTATCCTGAGACTTCCCCTGCCCCAGTCAGTAGACAAATTTCTTCCACGAAACCAGTCCCTGGTGCCAAAAAGGTTGGGGACCCTGATATTTATTAAAACAAATCAGATGTTCTTTCCCTTTACTGGTATACTATGTTTATATAAATTTATTATATTGTATTAATGTCTCGATTAATATAAAAGATTAAATGCAGGTGTAATTTTCTCTTTGTTGAAATATTTTTTGAGAATAAATTTTCACAATGTGTATTGTGTCAATTTTCATAATTCATGCAACATACAATTTGATATATGACTTGTATTTCCAGTTTTACTAAGCAGATCTAGACATCTGTTGAATAAAGTCCAGTGTATTACAAAAAATTGAACTGACCCAGGGCCGGGCACAGTGGCTCACGCCTGTAAGCCCACAGCACTTTGGGAAGCCGAGGCAGGCGGATCACAAGGTCAGGACTTCGAGACCAGCCTGGCCAGTATGGTGAAACCCCATCGCTACTAAAAATACAAAAATTAGCTGGGCGTGGTGGTGCGCGCCTGTAGTCCCAGCTACTCGGGAGCCTGAGGCAAAAGAATCACTTGAACCCGGAAGGCGGAGGTTGCGGTGAGCTGAGATTATGCCACTGCACTCCAGCCAGGGCAACAGAGCGAGACTCTGTCTCGAAAAAAAAAGAAAAAAAGAAAAGAAAAATTGAACTGACCCCAATTTGTTATTAAAGGGTGAATATATTTATATGTCTAGCTTTTTAAATGAGAATGATTTGACATAACCCTGAGCTTTTAAGTGGTAGCCATAGTATGATTATTTCTATTAATATTATTAATAAAAACATAACTAATTAGGTTTCTTGTTTTATTTTAGCGAAGAATAGCCAGAATTCAGCAAATCGAAAAGGACATACTTCGTATACGACAGCTTTTACAGTCCCAAGCAACAGAAGCAGAGGTTAGTAAATTGCCTTTCTTGTTTGTGGGTATAAAAATAGGTAGTTATTCTGAGAAAAGAAAACATGTATAATTTAATGTGACACCATTGAAATATAGATGTTCTTTCAGAGAATTTAAATACCGTAATTTTTTTCGTGAAATTAAATTATCAAAGATTTGGACTATTTTGATTTTATCTAACTTTTAGGCAGTTAAAATTTATAAAACTGTAAATATAGATACCTTACTTTAGCTGTCAGTTTACATATAATCAAATAGTTAACTTAATTTGGCTACTATCCAGTAAGTAAACTTTTTTATAGATAATCCATAGTAAGAATTGATAATACACATTTACCTGTGTTTACTCCAGAAACCCCATTAAAGTGATAGTAAAAGGATACAATGAAAGAGGCATTAAGACCAGGGAAGGTGACCACAGTAAAATCCGTGGAGCTGGAAAGCAGGTAAACAAGTGATAACATTCTAGCATATCAGAGAGGGTTGACCCATAAGGCAGCAATAGGAATGAAAAGTCATGAAGCAACTAGATACCTCTGGGTGTGAGAGTAAAAAAGGGTTAAAAGCAGGAAGATATTTGAAAATCTGTTAAGAAGCAGATGGACTTTCCAGAACCTCCCTACAACCCTGTACAGCTAGGTGACTGCTCCTTTCCAATCCCAGCAAAAGATGAGAGCTTTCTCCTCTGAAGAGGTGGAGAGGGTAAACAAAGGGTCTTTGGTTAGGGGTCAACCTTGTTTAATTGAACGTGAGGGTATCATACGAAACACTGAATTACATGAAAATTTACCTACTGAATGCTGAAACCCCCACTGGCATCCAGGCTTATAATCTCCAGGCAAGTTTCTGGAAGGAACTTCTATAAGGAATGTGACTAACCCTGATTCTGCTGAGAGAACATTAAAAAGGGAGAAAAAAAATCAGAAGAATGTGACTAACCCAAGAAAAAAAACTTAAAGAGACTTACATGGAAAAATTCACCCAACAAAACAACCCACCTAGATCACCCTATAGGGTAATATAGTTGACAAAATCCATTCTTCAGGCATAGAGCTTCATTTAACTTTTTCATAGATAGCCCGCTCTTAAATATGAGTGGACACTAACTACCAGACAGTATAGATCATTCTAGGAAGGTTCAATATCCAAATAAAAGGAGTTCCAAAAAGAAAATGGAGAAACTGGAGACAGGAAATTAGAGAAATAAATCAAAATTTCTCAGAAATTTTAACAAGGGGCTTAGTTTTCCAAAAAATTGGTCTCTCCAGTATCTAACATCATGTATAAGAATAATCCTACACTAAGACACATCATGAGGAAATTTCAAATCACTGGGGATAAAAAGAATATTCTAACAACCTTCTGGAGAAGGAAGAGAAAACAAATTTCACATAAAGGAACAGGAATGCAAATGCCTTTACATTTGTAAATAACAGCACTGGAAACTGGGAAGTAGGGTAGGCATTTCTTAAAACTTTTCTTTTTTTAAGAGACGTGGAACTAAGTCTCTTAAAAAAAAAAAAAAGGTAGGATGATCTAGCTGGGTTGTTTTGTTGGTGAATCCTGCCATGTAAGTAAGTCTCTTTAAAAAGTTTCTGTCACCCAGGCTGGAGTGCAGTGGCGCAATCTCGGCTCACTGCAACCTCTGCTTCCTGGGTTCAAGTGATCTTCCCACCTCAGCCCCCGAGTAGCTCATGTGCCACCATGCCTGACTAATTTTTGTATTTTTTGTAGAGACGAGGTTTTGCCATGTTGCCCAGGCTGGTCTCGAACTCCTGAGCTCAAGCAATCTGCCTGTCTTGGCCTTCCAAAGTGTGGGATTACAGGCGTGAGCCACTGCGCCTGACCCCTGTTAAACCTTTTAAAAGAAAATATGTGCAGCTATGTTTTGACCCCAGTTCTTTGACACCACTGTATATCCTCCAGTTGGGTTCAATTTTGATCCTAACTACCCAGAGTTAGAGTCAGCTCCACAAGTAAAAGACAAAGTCAGTCACAAGACTGTCCACTTCAAACGCCAGCCACAAGTTTTGGGTGTCCCTAAGCCACCAGGACTGCTGCCAAGCTGTCTATAAATTCCACCCCGTGTGCGTGTGCTGTGGTACCATTCCATTCTCACACTAACTACCCAGAGTTAGCACAGCCCCAACAGGTTAAGAGCCGACTCCTTCACAAGACTGCTCCCACCTCAGATGCCAGCCACAAATGTTGAGTATCTCCAAGCCACTCACATTTCTGCCCAGTGTGTTACAAATTCCAGGCTTCCACATCCCCTTCACGTTCAGTAATTCATTAGAATGGCTCACAACTCACTGAAAGTGCTATACTTAGGATTAACAGTTTTATTATAAGGATACAGATCAAGAATGGCCAAATGAAGAGACATATGGGGCAAGGCCTAAGGAAGGGGTGTAGGAATGGGGATGGGGGTGCAGAGATTTCATGCTTTCTCCTAGTGGAATCTAGGCATGTCACTCTTCTAGCACTTCATTGTTTTGTTTTTGTTTTTGTTTGAGACAGAGTCTCGCTCTGTAGCCCAGGCTGGAGTGCAGTGGCGTGATCTTGGCACACTGCAACCTCCGCCTCCTGGGTTCAAGCGATTCTCCTGCCTCAGCCTCCCTAGTAGCTGGGATTGTAGGTGTCTGCCACCATGCCTGGCTAATATTTTGTATTTTTAGTAGAGATGGGGTTTCACCATATTGGCCAGGCTGGGCTTGAACTCCTGACCTCATGATCTGCCCGCCTCGGCCTCCCAAAGTGTTAGGATTACAGGCATAAGCCACCGTTCCCAGCCTTTTCCAGCACTTCAGTGTATTCACCAATCAGAAAGCTGCACTGAGTTTTGGTATCCATAATTTTTATTGAAATTTTATTCTGTAGGCATGATTAATTAAATAATTGGCCACATGAGGATTAAACTCGATTTCCAGCCTCCTTCTCTTCCTGGAGGTCCGTCTGGCCCAAAGTTCTAACTCTCTTATCACATGGTGACAGCCACCCATCTTTTTGCTATCTGGTGGCCTACCCTGAGTTGCCTCATTAGCATAACACACACCCCTATCACTCGAGAAATTCCAAGGGTATTTGAAGCTCTCTCAGGTACAAATGAACAAAGACCAGCTATATTTTTTATTATACCATTCTAGCCTTTAATCAAAGTGTTAAATTTGAGAGTGGAATAAAGACACTTTTAGATAGGCAAAGTGTCAAATACGTTTTTCTCATGCACCCTTTTCTGGAACCTATTAAAGGATATACTCAAGTGAAATCGAAATGTAAAGCAAGAAAAATGAATTTTTTCAACTCAAGACCCAGGGGATATAATACAAGAGAAAGAGATGAGTGAAACTACAGAGTAAAGATGAAGGGACATCCTGAGATAAATGGTAAAGAAAGCAACCAGTCCATATTGAAACTATTGAGAGGATTCCAGGAGAGATTAAGTCCAAGAAGATGAAATCAGCAGAATACCTGCGGTTTCTGAATGTATTGAAGGGAAAGGAAATTTACACAGTAGGAGAGAAGCTGAGCATCAGTCATATGTACCCAGAAACCCAAATGAACAAAAAATAAAGATAACCTTTAACTCCATGGACAACAGGAAGTTGTAAAGGAAGGTGATTATAGTATACCATCTGCCAGCTATGATTAGAATTTCATAGTCAAAGTAATGTAAATAGTGGAAAATTTGTGTAACAATAAAGTGGAACTGAAATGAAGCATTCAACTGAAAAATGCAGAACTAGCCATTGAAGCAGGTTATTTGGAGATCGGAGGGGGTGAGTATCCCCCCTTCCCCAAAAACTCAGCTGAAAGAGATTAGAAAGAAAGAGTTCTTTCAAAAAACATTTTCATCCATGTCTGGCTTTTTTAATATCTGAGGAACTTTGGATTTAGTACATCTGAATCTGAAATATGTAGAAACTTATTTGCTAAGTAGACAGTTTAAGTACAATGTGATAGTCATAATCCTAAAAGCAGTTTAACATGACTGTCTTAAGCAAATATAAGTCAAATATTTGCAATTTAAAGAATGTGTTCATTTTTGCAATGGACTCTTTTTTTACCTGGCCCTTGGAAAGGGCCAGGAAAAAAAGCAGTATTTTTTTGCTCCTTTTCAGTTCTGTTGGTATTGATGTATGTAGCATTCTACTTATTATGACCTTTTTGGCTTTCTACTGAAGTTTTTATGTGTCTTTCATCCTTAAGCAAATTTGTTTTGGTCTATTTTTTAAATTATTTTTAAATAGGCAGTGTTTTGTTTTTAATTGAATAGCTTTAGTTACAGTTAGTTCTTTCCCCCCCATCTTTCTTGTATTCTGATTATTACTGTTTTGCTGCATCTAACAGGTTTTGATATTTCTAAATCAATAGTCACATTTTTTTCTAGTTGATTGAATCTTTTATTTATGTAATATAAAATAGCCCTCTATTTTATTTAATGCTGTTCACCTTCAATTTCATTGTAGTACCATTTATTAATAGTAATCCTCATTTTCCAGTACTGTTACAAGTTTCAGGTTGGAAACTTGTTTGTGTTTCTTGTATCTGTTCAAAACTTTTTATTCATATTATTGGATTTAGGGCAGACTGTCTGCTACTATGATCCAACCTCTTATTGCTTCCTTTTGTTATGATAATAGTTACATCAGTTGCATTATTCTGATAGTTTGTAAATGTAAGCCAAAGGAAGGTGCCATTTCACATTTAAGAAAGAACAAAACCACTTTTTACAATTTTGCCGTTTGTGGTTTGTTTATTGCATTATTTTATTCTTCTAATGTAAGTTAGAGGGAGAAGCTAGAAGATGGAGAAAATTGGGGATTGGACACTTGCAAATTAGTTCATAGAGCAGTAGATATGAGAAAGGGAAAAGCTTCTGCCAAATAATTTCTCTATCATGAAGCATATTTCTTATAGCATTTTCTTTGGCTACCTGTATTATAACTCTGGTTTAAGGTCTAGATGCTGGACGTGATTTAAGTCTACTAATTATTACACATGATTCAAAACTCAGAAGTTACATAAAGGTATGTGAGGCAACCAGTGCTGTGACTTTCTTGTGTGTTCTTCCAGACATAGTTTATTTATTAACAAGCAAGTACATTGGGTGGAATGGGAGCTGTGAGGACAATGCAGTGTGTCTTAAAAGATAATAGCAAATGAAGAATACTTACTAAAGTCACAGTATTCTTGCAACTCATTAATAAAGATAAATACAACTCACCTTTTAAGTGGGCAAAAGATTTAAATAGGCATTTCACCACAGAAGGTATATATAGGAATGGCAAATAAGTACATGAAAATATGCTCAATCATTAAGGAAATGCAAATCAAAGCCCAAGTGAGATACTGCTTCACACCCATTATGATGGCTTTAATCATAAAGGCAATAATAAGCATTGACGAAGATGTGGAGAAGCAGGATCCCTCATTGCTGGTGGGAATTTAAATAGTACAGCCACCATTTTAAAACAGTTGAGTGATTCCTCAAAATATTAAACATATAGTTATGTGACTCAGCAATCTTACTCCTAGGTATCTGGCCAAGAGAAATGAAAATATATGTGTACACAAAGACTTAGACTTGTATGTTCATTCACTAGCAGCATTTTTTCATAATAGCCTCAAAGGAGAAGCAGTGCAAATGTGTATCAACTAGTGAATAAATAAACAAAATTTGTTATATCCCTTCAGTGGAATATTATTCAGCAATTAAAAGTAAGTTACTGATGCAGAATTTATAACATGGATGAACCTCCAGAACATGCTAAGTAAAATAAGCCAGAGATATAAGTCCATTTATATCAAATGTCCAGAAAAGGCAAAATTTCTAAAGACAAAAAGTACATTAGTGGTTGTCTGACTGTAAGTGGAAATGAGGATTAACTGTAAATGGACAGCAGGAATTTTATTGGAATGATGAAAATGTTCTAAAACTGGATTACAGCTGTGCTTGATAAATCTAAAAGTCATTTAATTGAACACTTAAAATGGATGGATTTTGTGATATTTAAATACCTCACCAAAATTTTTTTTCAAGTTCTATCACCTAGAGTAGAAAACCTTGGAGAAGTTGTAAAGCAACTATGGAAATGAGGAAACTAGTTAGAATTAATCTTTCATAATAGTGAACAACCACTTCTTTTGTCTTCAGTGTATCGAAGCGTGCAGGCAGGCCTGTAGCCTAGGATCAGTGAAAGAATAAAAAAAAGTAATTAGGAAAGAGGAGGGAGGAAAGAAAATGAAGATAGTAAATGTTAAATGGTAGTTTGGGTTGGAATTGCCTGGGTTGGAATTCCAGCTCTGACTCTGCCATTTACTAGATATGTGACTGAAAACAAGTTACTTATATTCTCTGTGCCTCCATCTCTTTATCTATAAAATGGGGATAATGGCCGGGCACTGTGGCTCATGCCTGTAATCCCAGCACTTTGGGAAACTGAGGTGGGCAGATCACCTGAGGTCAGGAGTTCAAGACCAACCTAACCAACATGGTGAAACCCTGTCTCTACTAAAAATACAAAACATAACCAGCATGGTGGTGGGCGCCTGTAATCCCAGCTACTTGGGAGGCTGAGGCATGAGAATCGTTTGAGCCGAGATTGCGCCATTGCACTCCAGCCTGGGTGACAGGGCGAGACTCTGTCTCAAAAAAAAAAAAAAAAAAAAAGGCACTTTAATATTACTCAACATATTCAAAACATAATTAATGATCTGTTCCTCCTAAGCCCTCTTTACTACCCCACCTTGCAGCAAAAAACCTTCATCCTCCCTCAGTATTACCTATCTCTGTGAGGAGTAGCACCATCATTATTGAATTGTGTGAGCTAAGGAATGTAGGAGTAATACTCCACACCAGACCTCTTCCTCCACTCCCCATATCCTGTCAGCGAACCCGATCAGATTTACCTCTATGTCTCCACTTCTTTTATCTCTGTCACTGCTTCCCTAGTGCATAGTGCCACTGTCTCACACTTATATTAATACATTAGCCTCCTAACTGGTCTTTCCTATGTTTCCTCCCTACTTAGACCATTTAAAATTTGACTTAAAAAATAAAATTTACTTGCAACTTTATCCATTAATATATTAGTATTAATTATGTGGGGGCAATCATGCAGTGGCCTCACTGTAACTTGCAAGTAGAAAAGGCAAGAATGCCATCTAAGAATCGCAGAAAAAGGCATTAAAATTTAAATTTTTTTATCATATTCTTTTTGTTCTACTTTCCTCCTTATTTTTGGTGCTTCATCCACACCATGATTCGTTGACACGCTAAAACAAGCCACACTCCCTCCTACCCTGGGTCCTCTGCATGTGATCTGTTTTACCCAGAACACTCATCCTCTACTCCTCCCCTTTGCCTAGTTAACTCCTATTTACTCTTCAAGTCTTTACTCAAACAGCACTTCCCAAGAGAGCTCTTCCAAACCTCCAGAGTATATCATATCTCTCTGTTATATATATTTACAGCACCTTGTACCCTTCTTTCATGGCATTTGTCAATTTTACCTTTATTATTTCTGTCATTATTTGACAGTGTCCCTGACTAAACTGTAAGGTCCAAGAGAGCATAGAACAATGTCTAGTTTTGCTAGCACTGTATTCCCCAGCATCTATTGCAAGTAACTAACATAGTAGATGGTCAGTAATTTTCTTTAAATATGTTGACATCTTCACTTACGTTAGTGTCAAATCTTTGTGGTCTTAGATTCATTTTGTCTCTAGGTTGACTTTATGTATGTATATCTATTCTTGTGGATTCCATTAAATTCTATAGCATGATTTTCAGATGGTACTAATTATTCTTATATTTCTGGATTACTGAGTGCTACCTCACTTTTGCCAGCATATAACTGATACTAGTTTATTGATGGAAATGTTGCATATAAATTAAATTTTTAAGTCACATTTTTTAAATGATCTAGGAAAGCTTGATGTTTAAAGAAATTACGTTAGGAATCATTTTGTAATTTAATTATCCACTGTTAGGTCAGATTTTTAATGTATAATTTTTATTTTAGATATTTTTTTCCTAGAACAAGCATATAGGTGTTTCTATAAATGACCGTGAGAAATTCTTTTATTTCTTTAATTTTGTGGTGGTATTTTTATAAAGTGACTGCTTTGTGCTAGGGATAATCTATCTTGAAATGACTGCTTTTACTGGATGTAATCTGTCATTTTAATTTCCTGTTAACAGATGGTGGTTGCATTAGAAAAGGCTTTGGGTTTTATTCATATCAGAAGCTAAGAGCCTATCATTTTATTTCACCTAACTTTTATTAGAAGATATACATATATATATATATATTCTATGTGAAAATATACCTAAGTAGAAGATATTTGTAAGCTTAGGTAATAGTTTAACTGTTGTATTTGCAGCTCCATTAAATGTCAGAATCATGTGTCCTTGCAGAAAAGATAGTTATTTGTTCTACTTGGGTTATGTTCCTGATAGTAATGTGAGCGCAGCTGGTAGAGGATGGCATTCCTGTGAGTCTCAGAAAATCCTTTGTCTCGTGCAGCTCTAATGCTCAAGGGACACACTTCACTTTCCCCTTACCGAGATAGTCGACCGCCAATCGTACTGGAGGTTATGAAGTGTAATACACAGTTCCATGCCTTTATCAGTCTGTATAATTGATGCATTCAGAGCTTTAAAGCAAAAAAAGAAAAAAAGCCTTGGGCTAAGAAAGCCTACACCATTTTTGCATGTACTGATGTTAACTCCATCTTAACAGAGGTCATCTCAGAACAAGCATGAAACCGGCTCACATGATGCTGAGCGGCAGAATGAAGGTCAAGGAGTGGGAGAAATCAACATGGCAACTTCTGGTAATGGTCAGGTAAATAAATTATTTTATCATATTTTTTAAAATTATTTAAATATCAGAAAAGTATGAAGCAAGATGGTTCTAAGAATGATCTATAAATCTTACCTATTTTCTTAGTCCTGAATGCATATTTCCAGAAGCATTCAGTACCAATGTGCTGTCATTTCTCTTTATTATATCAGCAATAATGCTGTAAGGATTTTCTAGATCTATTTCTATAGCTATAGATTGTGTGTTTATGTTTTAGTCTAAAATGATTGTGAGTAGTTTTTTTTAATAACTCTAAGCTGCATTTTGATTATGTATATGATTTGACCTAGTTATTTTTGCTTGCCTTGAATAGGTTTGCTCTTTCACTAAGACCTTCAATGTAAAGACATTTTTATGGTTTTTTTTAAAGTTATAAAGGCTTTATTTCCTGTTGTACTTAAAGATTATATAAATCTAGAAATCCAAGTCTTACTGAAAAAGATAATTGTAATGCACACAAAAAAGTAAGGCAACATGGCCTAATTATGCTTAATATTACCACATCATTTTCAGCAAAATTATGAAAGTAAACTTTTTTTTTTTACATACAGAACTGTTATTTGTTATGCTACCATCCGTTATCTTATTAGATTTTTATTGAAATACAGTGCAATAGGACAGAATTTTTCTTTAGGGTGTTCTGTATTCTCCAAATTTTCTTCAATGAATATTTTTAGAGTGTAAATGAATGACTTTTTAAAAACAGAATTTCACTAAATTGTTCTTAAAGGTAATTTTTCTACTGTTGATACAGAAAATTTTCTTAGTCTCTCTAGGTTACTTTTGATAGTATTGTTTTTAAGAATATGCTTCTATTAGTTCATTAAAATGTAAAGCTTAAAATGTCTTATTAAGTATTTAAATTTATTTTACTGAGTTAAAACAAACATACTTCATTCAGTATTACTAGTTAGCATTATATTGGAAAACAAGTGGTAAATTAGGACAAAGGCAATCATGTTTAAACAGCACATTTGAGTTATGTATCTGTCTTTTGTTTAGGGAATTAGTTGCAACATTTATATATTCCTACACATATGTAGAAGGAAGAAAAATTTAATCCTATATGACAGAAAAAAATATTTACATAGGAATAGATCTACTCGTAGTGCTTTGGGTCATCTTCCAATTATTATGTACTTTGGAAACCTTACCTATCCAGTAAGCTGGCTATGATAAATTGGATCCATATTACACTTACTACATCAAAATAAATTCTAAGTAGATTAGATTTAATGTCAAAATGAAAATCATTAAAAATATAAAAAGATTAGAAGAAAATGTGGGTAGCGTTTTTATAATCATGATGTAGGTGGGAGACCCATAAAGAAAGGATTGATAGATTTCACGTTACAGCATGAGACTTCAGTATGCCAGGAAATCATAGCGAGATTCCAAAACAAACAACCAAGATCACATTATTTGCAAACATTTATGACGTGTAAAAAGTTAAAATTCAAGATGCAAAAAACAGTATTTATATACCAGCTATTTAAAGAGTATCTTAAAATGGTTCCAAGCCATCGTAGAAGTAAAAAAATAAATAATAATTTTAAAAATAAAATTAAAATGGGCAAAGGATATGAACAGGAAATAAAAGAAGAAATTAAAATGACTTGTAAACATGGAAAGATGGTCAACTTTACTAATCATGATATATAAATACAAATTAAAACTAAAGTCAGATTTCGTGGGGGGGCCATTTAGTTGGCAAAAATCAATAACACTCAGTAATGGTGAGCAAACAGGCATTCTCATATGTTGCTTTTAATTGTATGACATGAAACAGGCTTTCTGGAGAGCAATTTTGTCAAATGCATCTAGCATTATTTATAATGTGCCTGTTGTGAAGCTCATCACTACAACATCTAAGATTTTTTGCTAATGAGATAATCAGTCAAGAGTGATCAGACATGTTTGAAGAGATTCATCATAATACTAACAATAGCAAAAAGTTAGAAATAACCTAAATGGACATTGATCGTAAAATGGTTAAATTATTAGTCAGCTGTAGATTAGTTAAGTGGCTCTGGAGTCAACAAACCTGGGAAATCACACTCCCTCACTAACTAGCTTAGTAACAAAAAGTCTCTGAGCTTTAGTGTTTCCTCTTTAGTAAAATAAGATGATGATAAAACCTCTACCTCATAGAACAGTTGGGAGAGTTAAATGCAAGATACCCTTAACACAGTCCCTGGCATATTGTCAGAGCTTAGTAAAAGGTAACCGATTCTGTTGTTAACAAGTGTTAATAATTATCTTTAAATTAACAAATATGCCAGATACTGTGTTGGACTCTAGAATTGATAATTGAAAAGGACAGACAGTCCTTGGCCTCATGGAACCTATATGGTGCATCCATGCAAATATTAAAAATGATAAATTACATCTCTATTTATGTAAAGATCTAATTTTTAGCCTTCAATTGTTGCCTTTTCTAGTATATCCTTCATATTATAATCAGTTATTCTTCTAAAACATGAATCTGATTATATCACTTATTTGTTTAAACCTTTCAGTGGCTACTCACCTCCCATATATTAGAATCCAGATTCTTCATGTTGCTTACTCTTCCAAGAGTATCTCACAATATTTGCCCACATTTCTCACCACTCCCTCAACTTCAACTTCTTCAGTTCCTTGAGTATGTCCAGGCCTTCCACAGGACATTCCTTTGGTCTAAAACTGTCTTCTGCTTCAGTTCATATTATATGTTTTACTCATCCTTCCCCACCGTTTAAATGTCACTTCTTCCTGGACATTTTCCTTGTCTCCACCTACCTGGAATAAATAAAGTACTCTTTGATACGCTGTATTCCTGCTCTCATAGTGCTTAGCACAATTTATCATTGGTTTAATTGTCTTCCTTCCTTCTTAAAGTCCTTTAAGCCACACCTGCTCCTCACTGTATGCCAGCCAACTAATATGTACCTGGCAGAGAGCATTTATGTTGAATATTAATAAATATTATTGACTTAGGTAATTATAACTTTTTTTTTGGAGACAGAGTCTCGCTCTGTCAGCAGGCTGGAGTGCAATGGTGGGATCTCAGCTCACTATAACCTCCACCTCCTAGGTTCAAGCAATTCTGCCTCAGCCTCCCGAGTAGCTGGGACTACAGGTGTGTGCCACCACACCAAGCTAATTTTTGTATTTTTAGTAGATACAGGGTCTCATTGTGTTGGCCAGGATAGTCTCAATCTCTTGACCTCGTGATCCTCCCGCCTCGGCCTCCCAAATTGCTGGGATAACAGGCGTGAGCCACTGCGCCCGGCCAATTACAACTTTTTTAATTTAAAAATAGCAAGTATGCTGGGCATGGTGGCTCACACCTATAATCCCAACACTTAGGGAGGCCAAGCGGGAAGGATTGCTTCAGGGTAGAAGTTCGAGTTCAACCTGGGCAACATAGGGAGACTTTGCCTCTGCAAAAAAAAATAAAAATTAGCCGTGTGTGGTAGTCCCAGCTACTTGGGAGGCCGTGTGGGAGGATCACTTGAGCCTGGGAGGTCAAGGCTGCAGTGGGCTATGATCATGCCACTGCATTCCAGCCTGGGTAACAAGGCAAAAAATATTTTTTTTAATTTTTATTTTTTGTCTAAAAAATAAAAAAAAAAACTTAAAAGCAAGTAAGTATGATCTCATTATACATATGTATAATGTGTGTATATGCATAGAGAAATGTGTGGGAGAATGTTCTTTAAACTGTTATCAATAGTTATCTCTGAGTGTTGGGATTTTTGTGGGTTTTACTTATTCTTTTGTGTGTCGTTTTATTTTTTGTAATGAACATGTATTACTATAATTTATAACACCCAAAACCCATTTTCATTTTGGGAAAATAGAAGAAAGCACTGTCTTGATTTCCGTTGTATGGTAGTTTAGGTTGCCATACTTCAGAGTCCTACCATGACATACATCATGTCATTTATGTCAGTATAGGGATGGCAGAGGAAAAGATCTATTGAAAATAGTAAATCAGGGCCCGGTATTCATTCCTCCTTTAAGTGATGAACTCTGATAGTGCTGTGAATTCAGAGGTAAACATAAGTATGTTTGTTTAGCAGTAGCAATCATAGACTTGCCCACCATATTGGTGTTTGTATGACACTAATGCTGCTAATACTATCTGGTTACTTTCAGTCACTGTTTTAAAACAATATTGCAGCTATTCCCAGATCCTGATGTAGATGTGTGACCTGTATCTGTGGGACTGTGATTTGTTATTCCAAAAGTCCTTTCATCTAAATAGGATCTATACACATGATCGCCTCTTGGGGTTTATTAGTTTGTTTTGTTTTATTATTTGCTCAAAAGACAAAAGCCACCAACACTAGTTGAAAATGAAAATCAGTCTCTGACTTTCTCAGGATCACAGTAGCATGCTCTGCCAAAGTTCTGTCCTAGAGTAATTCTCTTCACCACCACGTGGGAATGTATTCTACCGCTTCTCTCACCTGGTTTCCTGCCCACAATCATTCTCTTTGAAAAATCCTTCATTGGCTTCCCTTGATTCTTAGAAAAATGATAACCATTTATTGTGACCCAGGTAACCTGGCCCCTACCTATCTTGTCAGCTTTATGTCACATCTTGCTCTCACACCTCCACACTGGCCTTCTCTCAGTACCTCATATTTACTGGGCCTTCTCCTACCACAGCCTGTGCACATCTATACCTGTTCCATGTAGTGTTTGTTTCATCCCATTTTGCTCAGTTAACACCAGTTCATGTGTGTCTGAGCTTAAGCACCAGTTTCTCAGAGAGGCTCGAACAGATCAAATCTCACTACCATAGGCTGTCACAGCATGTTCCTCTCGTTTGAAGACTACTACATTTGCAGTTTTACATTAATTTGTGTGATGACTTGATTAATATTTGTGTTTCCCCCACTAGACTGTAAGCTCCAGAAAGGCAGGGATTCTATCTAGTTTTGTTATTTTCATACCCACACAGTCCCTGATAAATAGTAGATAACAATAAATATGTGGTGTGTGTAATATCCCTGCTAAAGAAAGGGTTTCTTGATCTGTTTTTAATCTCTCATGGAAGTTAAATGGAAGGAAAAGCTTAGGAGTAAATTATACAGGCCAGATCCCTGCTTGCTTAGCATATAACTATGTGTATAATTTATTTATTAGTTGGTTCTCAACTTTATTTATTTATTTATTTATTTATTTATTTATTTATTTATTGAGATAGGGTCTCACTCTGTCACTGTACACCACTGCACAGTGGTGCAATCTCGGCTCATTGCAACCTCTGCCTCCCAGGCTCAAGCCATTCTTCCACTGTCATTCTTGGATAGTTGGGACCACAGGTGCACACCACTGTGCCTGGCTAATTTTTTAATTTTTTTATAGAGATAGGATCTCACTATATTGTCCAGGCTGGTTTTGAATTCCCAAGCTCAAGCAATCCTCCAGCATTGGCCTCCCAAAGTGCTACGATTGGCTGGGCATGGTGCTCACACATGTAATCCCAGCACTTTGGGAGGCTGAGATGAGTGGATCACTTGAGGTCAGGAGTTCGAGACCAGCCTGGCCAACATGGTGAAACCCCATCTCTACTAAAAATACAAAAATTAGCCAGGCATGGTGGCGTGCATCTGTAATCCCAGCTACTTGGGAGGCTGAGGCAGGAAAATCTCTTGAACCTAGGAGGCTGAGGTTGCAGTGAGTTGAGATTGTACCACTGCACTCTAGCCTGGGTGACAGAGCAAGACTCTATCTCAAGGAAAAAAAAAAAAAAAACGTAAAACCAAAGTGCTGGAACTACAGGCGTGCACCACCATGCCCAGCCTGTGGAAAGTGTTGACCAAATATCTTCTGTATATCAGAGTGTTTCTATGGCAATTACAGTTTGACAGTTTACTGTGGTAATTGTATTTTAGGGAGTTCTGGGTTTTTGTAATTTGTTATTTGGGGAATTTAAGAAATTAGTTTTTCCAGTACCCTTTATTCTTTTTATACGTTACATTGTTACTTGTGAATCAGCCATATATAATTTTTATATAAACAATATTTTTATACTATACAACTTACTCTTGTCATTTAATAATACTTTGAGATATCTTTTCCTATCTATATGTGGTTTATAGATATGGAAGTTTTTAATCCATTTTTCTTTCACTATTTTTTCTTTTTTTCAAGCAACCTAAGCTTTTCTATTTGAAATTTAGAACCAGGTCTCTGGTAATAGCCAGTATATAATAATAAAGCTCAATTAAAAGTGGGAAAAAGATGGAATGATAGAAAAACCCACTCTACTGCCACTGGTTTTTAAAACTTTTTCTTATGGAAAATTTTAAACATTTACAAAGACAATAATGTAGTGATTCATATCGACATGTAACCTATTCACCTTAACCTCCCATTTTATTTTTTAAGAAGATTCCAGGCATCATCATCACTTCTTCCCTGTTTCACTGTGTATTTACAAAAGATAAAAGTACTTATTAAAAATACATAACTGGCCAGGTGTGGTGGCTCACACCTGTAATCTCAGCATTTCCAGAGGCCGGGGTGAGCGGATCACTTGAGGTCAGGAGTTCAAGACCAGCCTGGCCAACATGGTGAAACCCTGTCTCTACTGAAAATACAAAAATTAGCCAGATGTGGTGGCGCACACGTGTAGTCCCAGCTACTCGGGAAGCTGAGGCAGGAGAATCACTTGAATCCAGGAGGCAGAGGTTGCAGGGAGCCGAGATCGCACCACTGCACTCCACCCTGGGCAAGAGAGCGAGACTCTGCCTCAAAAAAATAAAAAAATTAAAAAATAAATAACTGCAGTGGCATTATTACATCTCCAAAGACTCTAACAGTAATTGTTTAATAGCATCATTTATCCAGTCAGTATTCAAACTTGCAGTTGTTTCATAAATGTCTTTTTCACAGTTTATTTGCCTCAGGGTCCAGATAAGGTCCATGAATAGGAATTAGTATATCTCTGATATCTGTTCTAATCTGTATGTTCCTTCTTTTTGTTTTACGGCCATTTAGTTATTGAAGAACTAAAGTTGTTTTTCTTTTTTCTTTATGGTTTTCTGGGGTTTTGTTTTTGTTTTTGTTTTTTTAGTCAGGATCTCACTCTCGCCTGGACTAGAGTGCAGTGGCAAAGCTCACTGCAGCCTTGAACTCCTGGGCTTAAGCGATCCTCTCGAGTAGCTGGTGCTATAGGCACTCACCACCATGCCCTAGGCCTCCCTCTGTTCCCCAGGCTGGTCTTGAACTCAAACTGATCTCAAGCAGTCCTCCTGCCTCAGCCTCCTGAGTTGCTGGGATTACAGGTTTGAGCCATCATGCCTGGCTTCCAAATGTTTTTTTTATAGAGTGTCCCATACTCTAGATTTTGCTGATGACTCCCCATGATATACTTCAACATGTTTCTTTATCATCTGTATGTCCTATAAATTGGTAGATTTCAGTATCTGAGAATATTCAAGAAGTAGAATCAGTCAAGCTTAGGGATTGGATATGAGTGTTTAGGGGGAAGGAGAAGTCGAGAATTACTCGCAGGTTTCTGTTAGGCAGCTAGAAGGGTAGTGATGCAATTTAGTAATAATGCTAGATGAGAAGGAGGTTTGTGAGAGAAAATAATGAGTCTAGTTTTGGAAAAATGTTAAGTTTAACTTTAAAGATGTTAGGTCTGAGACATCAAAGCAGAAATGCACCTGGGTGCAGTAGCTCATGCCTGTAATCCCAGCACTTTGGGAAGCAAAGGCAGGTGGATCACTTGAACCCAAGAGTTTGAGACCAGTCTCAGCAACATAAGGAGACCCTGTCTCTACAAAAAATACAAAAAAAAAAAAAAATTAGGCGTGGTGGCATGTGCCTGAGGTCCCAGCTACTTGGGAGGTTGAGGTGGCTGACCCTGGAAGGTCAAGACTGCAGTAAGCTGAAATCATGGCACTGTACTCCAGCCTAGGCAACAGAGTGAGACCCTGTCTCAAAAAAATAAAATAAACACACAAAGTAGAAATGTGAGGTAGGCTATTAGATTTGGAATTGAGAGGAAAGGTAAAGAATTGGTAATTAAAGGTATTAAAGATTTTTACATCCCCAATGAGTATACAGTGAGAAGATGAATACCTAGCCTAAAATTCCAAAGCAGTAGAATAATATTGTTACAACAAAGAGGGAACAGTTAACAGTTTCCACCATTGCCATGAGGACTAAAAAATCACCTTGGGTTTCACCAAAAAAAAAAAAAAAAAAGTTCATTGCTGATCTTGTCAAATGCAATTCCTTGGGCCTTCTTTCCTACTATATTATATTGGAGTGAGTTGAAGTTAAATGGAAGGTTAAAAAGTAGAAGAGAGCAGTCAGGCGTGATGGCTCACGCCTGTAATCCAGCACTTTGGGAGGCCGAGATGGGCGGATCACGAGGTCAGGAGCTTAAGACCATCCTGGCCTTGGTGAAACCCTGTCTCTACTAAAAATACAAAAATTAGCTGGGCGTGGCAGCGCGTGCCTGTAATCCCAGCTACTCGGGAGGCTGAGGCAGGAGAATCGCTTGAACCCAGGAGGGAGAGGTTGCAGTGAGCTGAGATCCTTCCACTGCACTCCAGCCTGGTGACAGAGCAAGACTCCGTCTCAAAAAAAAAAGTAGAAGAGAGCAATTTTAGCTAACTGTAAAGATGTCTAGATGTGAACTGCCCAAGAGAGAAAAGATCGTTAACTGATACAGACTATAAGTTTGAGAGAAAATTTATTTCTGTTTTTAAGATAGAAAAGATGAGGATGTTTGAATGCTGATGGGAAGGAGCCAGTAGAGAAGAGAGTTGAAGATCCCTAAGATCAAAGAGAAATGGAGAGAGAAAGGATCCAGAGCACATCTAAAGGGATGGACCTTAGATAGGAGGAGGGGAACTCTGATGTCACAGCAAAAGGTGGCGATGGATATATACGCAGGTAATTTTAAGGTTCTGGTTAGCAAGAAGTTGAGGAAATTTTGTCTGTTGGCTATTTTTTCTATAAAGTAGAAGGTAAAGTTATATGCAGTAAGAGAAGAAGAGCCACAGTTTTATATGATACAAAATGAGGCATATCAAAAATAGCCAAAGAAAGGAGAGCTGACAAGGGAAACAAAAAGATGGCAGTTATAGCACGGAGAGTCTAGGTGTATTGGTGACCATAAATGTATATCGACAGCATCCTAAAGAGTTACGTAAGTTTCTCACATGCTCAAATTTCTCTAATGCTGCCTGGCACTTCATGTCAGGGTGTAGAGAAAACAGACAGTTGGATTCATCTGTGATTGCAATGTTTCCAGACAAATGGGGTGGAATAAGTGCAGGGCAAAGCTGTTAAAAGCTAGCAAGAGAATTATGAAAGTGATAACCACAAGAAATCCAACCTGAAATACATGCTGGATTTGCTAGTCATTTCAAGGAAGCAGTATCTTACTTGCGGTCAGGAGTTTGAGACCAGCCTGGCCAACATGGTGAAACCCTGTCTCTACTAAAAATACAAAACTTAGCCAGGAGTGGTGGCACATGCCTGTAATCCCAGCTACTCTGGAGGCTGAAGCAGGAGAATCACTTGAACCTGGGAGCCAGAGTTGGTAGTGAGCTGAGATCACGCCACTGCACTCCAGCCTGGGCAACACAGCAAAACTCCATCTCACACACACACACACAAAAAAAGAACCAACATCTTAGAGAAAGTTGAAGACCAGGAAATAAAAGGAGCATGAAGTAAAATGTTGAGGATGTATGGATATTTATAAAGCATTGAATGTGGATGGTACAGGAAAGTTGGATAGGAAAAAGGACAGTGGGAAATAGTGTCTCACACATTTGGACACTGAGTGTCAGGAATGATACAGCGAGTGCTTCTATCTTTGGACAATGAGCAAAGCTGATTCAAGGGATGTGCAATCATGACTGACTTAGCAGGTCTTGAGGTTGTGAGAAAGTTCATCACACTCAAGTTTATTCAGAATTTAGTTTTGAGTTGGGTGGGAAACAATTCTTAGGAAGTTATTAATCATTTCTTGTGGATAGGGAGACTCTAGTCCCTCCGAAAGAAGTTGGCTCAGGTCTAGCCTTAATAAAACGCCCAAGAAAGACTCTCATGGACCAAGTTCTAGGCTCATAGAGAATACGAGTATGTGTACCTCTTGGTATCTCCTAATAATAAATACATCTAAATTTCTACTGAGACAGATTGGTGAATGAAGAGTGTCTCAAAATCCAGGAGCTATATAGGAAGATAACTAAGACTGAAGCTTAGAAAAGATTTGTTGTCTACACTGAAATGAATGTCAGAAACATGTTTTATTGTGGAAACAGGTTTTCCCTTGTTTCATAATTAAACCTCCTGTTTTCTTTTGTTTCAAGTAGTACATTAGTTAGCTATTGCTGCATAACAAATTGCCCCCAAAACTTAACAGCATTAGTAGACATTTATATTTGCTTCTATGGATCAGAAATCCTGGTGCAGCTGAGCTGCCTGTCTCTGGTTCAGGGTCTCCCACAAGACTTAAGGGTATTGGCTGGGGTTGCAGTCATCTCCACACATAACCAGGGGAGGATCTGCTTCTAAGTTCACTTACGGCTATTGAAGGCCTCAGATCCTCATTGGATGTCAGCCAGAGAGACATCAGTTCCTTGTTACATGGGCCTCACCAAGGGCAGTTCACAGCATAGTAACGCTTCCCTCAGAGGGAACAAGAGAGGTGCCCAAGATGGAAGACACGTCTTTGTAACCTTATCTTGAGAGTGCTTCTCATCACCTCTATAGCATTTTATTCACTAGAAGCAAGTCACTAAATCTAGCCAAGACTAAAGGGGAAGGGATTACAAAAACGCGTGAATACCAGGAGGCAAAGATCTATCTTAGAGGCTACCTACAAACAGTAAAAATATTTAGACATCTTCCAAGATTGTGTGTTTGCTTCAGGGTAAAGACTCATTTCCCTTCTATAGACCAAGAAAAAGGTTCCTTGTCTGAATTTACTAAAAAAGCCCCAACTATCCTCCTTAGCCTGAGTCTCAGTCCCTCAGATCTATCCTTTATTAGTTAGAACCAGAGTAAGCTCCTTATGTTCAGATTTATTTGTAGTTCTGCCTCCCCTTCCTCTCCACACACACACAAACACAACTATACCATATTCTTCTGACCCTTGCTTATGCCTCTGCCTTTGCCTGGGCTGCCCTGTGGCTAATCCCCCTCATTCTTTTTATTAACTAAATTACTCCTCATGGTTCAAGTCCAAATTCAGATGCCACTTTTTCAGGAACCAAGACTGAATTGTGTATCTTCCTGTGTGTTCATATAGTTTCTGTCAAAGCACTTACCCACACGTATTTTCATGTTCAGCTCCTCATCTAGATTGTGTGTGTAGTGTGGGTGAGAATGTCTTATTCATTTATATTCCTGGTGACTAATATACTACCTGGAAAGTAGCAGGGGCTCAGGCAATATTTGTTGCTTGGTTGCATGTGGATTTAAAGACCATTCCAGAAGCAGTCAATAGCTGGTGGCAGTGGAAAGAGATGTAAGATGAGTCTTTCCTTGATGCCTCTTTTCCCTTCCCTAAGGAGGATTACTAATTAGTTTTGTCCTAGAAGTGTCCCTAGTCAGCATAAAGAGTCCAGACCCACAAAGGAAGTAGAGACTGGAAAGGGGAGCCACTCTGGACTCTGAACTAGTATTCTCAGTCCAACCCCAGACTTCCCTATGCGAGTATGAATAAGTGGATTATCTTGCCTTTATATGGGGACACATTTTTTAAAACCTCTCAAGTTAGGATTTTTTAAAGATCACTTTTATTGAAGAAAGATTAGTATGTGATAAAATGTACCCATTTTAAGTGTACAGTTGAATGAGTTTTGACAAATGTAGTTTTCTCTTTAAAATGCTGATCTAAAATAGCTAATTATTGTGAACGATGATCTAAAATAGTTTTGTGCACTAGTCAGGAAAACCTCACCTTGGCTTATAACATGACTTATACAGAAGTTCTAAGCAGCCCTCATAAAAATTAACTTTGGAGTATTACCTATTTAAGGACTTTATGAAACAAATTTATAACAAATTTGAACAAGGAATTTATTACGAATTCAGAAATCTCTGTATGAGCCCTTAATTATTGCTTGATTAAAATCCTGACGAATCACTTAGGAATACATTGTTAACAGTTTTCTATGTTGTCTACCAAAGTGGAAGTTATCTGGCAAACAGTTTACGTTGCTAGCTAACAGGGAAGAAAAGTTTCTAATACGTCACCATAGCTGGGCTCATTGGCTCGTGCCTGTAGTCCCGGCTACTCTGGAGGCTGAGGTGAGAGGATCACTTGAGCCAAAGAATTCAGAGCCAGCCTGGGCAACATAGTGAAACCTTGTCTCTAAAAAAAAAAAAAGAAAAAAGAAAAAAAAATCACCAAAAGTGAAATTTATGCACAAAAGGAAGTTATAAGGTGTGTTGGTTCCAGAATTCTCCCCTTGTACCCTCTAGAGTAGGAGGTGCCATCTCACAGTCCTCAAAACCTATTACTCCCATTGTGGTTTTCTCTTTACCTTCTTCAATTAGCCAGAGCCTGTATATCTGAAAGACAATTCGAATGATGTCCTGCATCTTGACATTCTTACGGATTTTACTAATAGCTCCTCATTTATTTATAATTCAACAAATATTCTGTGGATACCTACTAAGCTTAAGACCACCCTTGGTACTAAGAATGCAGCAGCGAACAGAATAAAGTTTCTGTCCTCAAATAACTTACATTTTAGCTTTCCATTCTGCAAGGTTGAGAACTGCAAAAGAATGCCTGCAAATATTGCTGACACTATTCTTACAGTCATTTCCTTAATTATTAATGAATGGATTTAGCTGTGGCCTATATTTTGATAGGTCCCAGTTATTTATCTGCAACCCCACCTCCTGTCCAGAGTTGCATCCTTTGTTTTCAGGTGCCCATTGGGGATTCTTACTGGATGTCAGATTCAAAGTGAGCTCAGTTCCCCCAATGAAAGCCATCATTTATTTCTGGGTTTCCGATATCCATTACGAGCATCATTACTTACCCATTTATCCAAGCTTGACACCTCCAAGTTGTCCTCGACTCCCAGCCCCTCTTTACTCACATCCAGTCAAGTTACTCAAGCCAGTTAATTTGACCTTCAGTTCAAGCCAATTAATTTGAATATCCTTCAAGAGCATCCCCACTTCTCTATTCTCACTGCCTTAGTTTGTGCCCTCAGAACCACTCAACTGCTGAAAATACCCTCTCCCTCATTTCCTACCTGTGATCTCTCCGTGCTGTTTTTAAGACGTAATTCTGATTGTACCATTCTCCTGCCTGAAGTCCAGTGACTCCACAGCTTGACAGCAACATCTTTGAAATGACATGAGATACTTAATGATTTAACCCAACCTTTATCTCTAACCATACACCTTGTGTTCTGTCCACATTACATTGGAACACTCCACGCTCTCCGTATTTGTACCTTTGCACAGTCTCCTCCGTCAGTCTCCTGTCACAAAATGCCTACCTTAAATGTTACTGATTTTATACAGCCTCTAATAGTCCCTATGCAGTAATTTCTTTCTTCCTGTTTTCCCTCAGTGTTTTGTTCATTCTTCTACTGCGGTGTTTATATTATACTGCACTGCAGTCATTTATTTTTTCATGTCTTTGTCCAGTAAAAGTTTTAAACAGCCCTTTCTAAACTGTGAGATCTTAGAGAACTTGGACTGTAGCAAATTCATACTTAGTTTTCTGGCAATTTGGAGCATTTCAGAATTTGAACATTCCTTCAATGCTTTTCATCAATGAACTTATCTGAATGTGGTTTTATTTATTTAGATCTATGAAAAATTACTACCCTAGAATTTCTTCAGTCTTTGGTTAAGTCCATTCTGCAGTTTAATGCTCATATGCAAGAAACTCTCTTTTCTTTAGTTTTTCTCTAAAACATACTTAGTAAGCGTATAGGTAAAAAATATTTTGAACAGTTATAATGGTCATACTTTTATGATGTATTTAATTGTTTATCATACAGACACTTCATTTGGAGTACCTTAACATGATGTTATCTGTATTTACCTATAGTCTAAATTATACCATCTATAATGTGCTTAATTTTTAGGGTTCAACTACACGAATGGACCATGAAACAGCCAGTGTTTTGAGTTCTAGTAGCACACACTCTGCACCTCGAAGGCTGACAAGTCATCTGGGAACCAAGGTAACAGAAGATTACAAACCCTGGTCACTAATGCCATGACTACTTTGCTAAGACATTCTTGGCCAGGTGCAGTGGCTCACACCTGTAATCCCAGCATTTTGGGAGGCCAAGGCAGGTGGATCACTTGAGGCCAGGAGTTCAAGACCAGCCTGGGCAACGTGGCAAAACCCCATCTCTACTAAAAATACAAAAATTTAGCCAGTGTGGTGGCACACACCTGTGGTCCCAGCTACTCAGGAGGCTGAGGCATGAGAATAGTTGGAACCCAGGAGGCAGAGGTTGCAGTGAGCTGAGATTACACCGCTTTCTAGTGGAGAATTCTGATTCACAGTCTCTTGAAGAAATTACATATTTTTATACAACGAAGCATAAACAAGGGAAAAATCAGGTTTATAAAAAGTGCCAGATTAGCTAATTTTTAATTCTTTTTCAGTCTTTACATCCACTTTTCTGCAAGAATACTGAGTTCCAGCCAAACTGGCTCACTTCCTGCTTCCTGAACATTCCCTGTGACTTTCCCCCTCCCTTCCTTGCCTGCATTGGTGGGGACCACCATAAATGTCTGTCAGAATCCTAGCCAGCCTTCAAAACTCTTCTTGGGCTTTGCTTTTTCACAAAACATTTTCTGATTCCCAAGGTCCTCTTACCTCCCCATGTGATCCATCTGCCTCATTTGAATCACTAACAATTTGCATGAACCTGTCTTTTGGAAATCAAGAAATGTTTTTTTACTTATCTTTTGCTGTGTCTAACAGAGTGCCTGCACATGAGTAAATATGTATTGAGGTGAATGGAAAAATTGTTGAAGTTGAGTGTTATTTCATGCTGATAAGTGAGCTTTCTTAGAGTATCTTTCTTAGATGTTAGCAAATATTTTAGGATTTGGGAATAATGTTTGAAAAGAAAATAGTTACTTTAAGCCGGATGTGGTGGCTCACACCTGTAATCCCAGAAATTTGGGAGGCTGAGGTGGGTGGATCACTTGAGGCCAGGAGTTCGAAACCAGCCTGACCAACATGGTGAAACCCCGTCTCTACTAAAAATACAAAATTAGCCAGGCATGGTGGCACATGGCTGTAATCCCAGCTACTCGGGAGGCTGAGGCAGGAGAATTGTTTGAACCTGGGAGGCGGAGGTTGCAGTGAGCTGAGATTGTGCCATTGCACTCCAGCCTGGGCAACAAGAGCAAAACTCCATTTCAAAAGAAAAAAAAAAGAGGAAAATATAGTTACTTTATTATTTTAAAGTCAGAGATTTGATTTTATTTTTATTTTATTTATTTATTTATTTTTTGAGATGGAGTCTTGCTCTGTTGCCCAGGCTGTAGTGCAGTGGCACGATCTTGGCTCACTGCAACCCCCACCTCCAGGGTTTAAGTGATTCTCCTGCCTCAGCCTCCCAAGTAGCTGGGATTACAGGTGCGTGCCACCATGCCCGGCTAATTTTTTGTATTTTTAGTAGAGATGGGGTTTTGCCATGTTGGCCAGGCTGGTCTCGAACTCCTGATCTCAGGTGATGCGCTCATCTCTGCCTCCCAAAGTGCTGGGATTAGAGGCATGAGTGACCACACCCGGCCCATCAGAGATTTTAATATTCACTAAGATGAAATGAAATTCTAATATTACTAAACGATGTATTTTCGATTAACTCGAATTCCATTAATTGTTTTCACAGCATACTCTGTATACTCTTTCTTTACTGTAAATAATATAATAGCTCTTGGGAAAGGTATTACTGAAATAACTAATGTTGATTTAAGTAATGATTTTAGAATAATCAATGATATTCTCACTATGAGGCTTAATCCTGTTTATACTTCTTGGGACCTCATATGCCATTCACTGTGCCAGGAGTTGTATGTACCTTATCTCTGGTCCTCTCCAAAATTCTATGAAGTATCCATATTTCTCTAAATGAGAAAACTGAAGCAAAAAAAATTTTAGGCATGGAAATTTAATTCCAGATCTGTCTAACCTCAACATGTAGTTTTTACTATAAAGAAAATCTTGAATATTCAAGAGTAATATTGTGTGAAAACTGGCAATTAGAATACTGTTTCTTTTTGAAGTAATTTATGCATGATAATATTAAGACCCTAGTATGTATTTTGAATGCTAGCTACTGTCCTATACATGTATTATTTTATTTCACCTTAATGGAGAAAACCTTGTTAGGTAGGTAAATTTCTCCATTTTGCAGCTCAGAAAACTGAGGCTCAGAGAAATCAAATAGCTTAACTATAATAGTATCACAGCTTGCTCCTAAGAGGTGGAGCCAAAATTTGAACCTAGCTCCGATGAAAACCCATTTATCCGCAGTCCTATACTGCCTTCCTAAAACTTTCATATCTAAAGGTGTATGTGTATTTACGCATCTAAAGCAGCATTTCTAAACCTCAGCACTATTGGCTGGATAATTCTTTGTTGCATTCTAGAATGTATAGTAACGTCCCTGGTCTCTCCCCACTAGATTCCCCTAAAATACCCATCCTACAATTGTGACAACCAAAAATGTCTCCAAGATGTTGTCAAATGTGTCCCGATGGGGGCAAAATTGCCCCCAGTTGAGAACCATTGACTTATAGAGAATGATGCATTCTTTATATAATAGCCTCTACTTTTATATAATACCCTCTAGCGTTAAAATGAGTGGACCATGGCCCAGGATAACTGGGTGCCACTTTCCGGTTTCTAATCTGCTTCTAACTAAATACGTAGAATTTATTGTCAGAGAGTAATTAGTACTTACCAGTTGCTTTTTAAAAAACTGACTACAAATCCTGGCTCTCACTCTGTATGATCATGGCATTTTCCTTTTTATGACAAAATGTTTTTAAATTTATAATCGTATAATTTTAATAATATTATCATCTGACGAGAATTAATGATTGCTGAGAATTAGTACTTAAAATTGTTGCAGAAATGTTTTCTGTTTATTGCTTATAGGTATAGATTAAAAGAAATAAGATAAAGTTTTAAATTATGTAAAGATTTAGATAAACTACATTCTCTATGTGTGTGAAATCCGTTGTTTTTCACTGATTATAGTCAGTGGATTAGCACCAACTTATCTAGGCAAACAGCACTAACAGTTTGTTAGTGAGTATGCAAAAACCTACTTTTGCTTTTAATACTGTATATTACCACTCATACTATTTACTCACATAAACAAATTGGTGATGATACATAGATTTTGAAATAACACTGATTACTTCATCCTGGAAAGGTTTTCCGGTTTTTTGTTTTTTTTTTGGCGGGGGGGGTTGTTTTGTTTTTTTAGAGTTATAGTAAATATCCCATTCATCACTTAATTGGTTTTTGGCTTTTGGATATTAAAGTCGTAATTTTGTTTCTAAACTCATTTGGCCCACAGGTGGAAATGGTGTATTCATTGTTGTCAATGCTTGGTACTCATGATAAGGATGATATGTCGCGAACTTTGCTAGCTATGTCTAGCTCCCAAGACAGCTGTATATCCATGCGACAGTCTGGATGTCTTCCTCTCCTCATCCAGCTTTTACATGGCAATGACAAAGACTCTGTATTGTTGGGAAATTCCCGGGGCAGTAAAGAGGCTCGGGCCAGGGCCAGTGCAGCACTCCACAACATCATTCACTCACAGCCTGATGACAAGAGAGGCAGGCGTGAAATCCGAGTCCTTCATCTTTTGGAACAGATACGCGCTTACTGTGAAACCTGTTGGGAGTGGCAGGAAGCTCATGAACCAGGCATGGACCAGGACAAAAATCCAAGTATGTTCTCTATAGTGTACATCGTAGTGCATGTTTCAAAGCAAATGTGAAATTTTTAAACAGAAAACATGTTTAGTTAATATGCTGTCTTTATGACTAAGAGGAGAAAATTCATATCAGCCATTTGTGCTACTCATATTTAAAAGATTAAGTCTGTATTTCCCTAGAAAAATTTAGCAAAGGAAAATGTTATGTGCACTACTATAAGAACAGTAAGTCAAGAGAAATTTATACAATCATAGCATAGTAGGGCCTTAGTAGAGCTAGAAAGAACTTGAGCAATTATGTTGCCCATCTTTCACTTCATAGCTGAAGCTCATTTCATAGATGAAAGTGACTTTACGTAAGTTCCTATAGCCATTAGTGTCCAAACCATAATCTTTTACATTTGCATATCATTATATTCAGGGGATACAGAGCAGCGTTACATCTGTTATGTTATTTGCTCCTCACATCAACCTACTGAAGTAGGAAGGGAAGGTATTATCATCTCCATTTTACAGATGAAAAAACTGAGGCTCAGAAGAGCTAAAGGACTTAACCATGGCCTCACACCTAGTAAGTGGTAGACCCAGGAACAGAGCCCAGATCTCCTGACTCTCAGCTCGGTGCTCTTCCTACTGTACCATCCAGCTGTAGACAGTGGGCCTCAGTTGCTGGGAGTGATAATCCACCCAGCTCTTCACTCAGGAAGGGACCCTTAGACCTCAGCCCCACTCCCGCAGGAGCAGCATGGGAGTTAGGACCTATGGGGATATAACTTATTTCATTCCTGTAGCCAAGAACCAAAAGCAGTAAGTATGTAAGGTAAGACCTTCCTTTCACCTGATAAGAACTGACACACACACACACACACACACACACACACACACGTGCACTACAAGTAGATGATTCTACTGTATCAGCCTATTGATGTGAAGAGGAGATGATACAAACATGACTTATGAACCTATAGCAGATTTTTTTAAGCTTAGGTATGAAGGTGAATTTATTTGAAATCTAAAAATGTTCAAGGATAAGAAAGGCCAGGTGTGGTGGTTCATGCCTGTAATGGCAGCACTTTGGGAGGCTGAGACAGGAGGATTGCTTAAGCCCAGGAGTTAAAGACCAGCTGGGCAGCACAGTGAGACACTATCTCATTTTTAAAAAATTTAAAAAGCATAAGAAAAAAGGGATTGCCTTTCATATCTATTTGTCCTGGGGTGAGGGGAACTAGTAAGATTTTACTGGGAGAACATTGCCTTCCTGGATTGTTTCTTTGGCTATCCACAGTTACGTAATGACCCACATTTTGTACTCCTGATATTTGTTCTCAAAAAATTAAATAGAATAAAATGATACTTCTTTTGAGAAGTTTTTTAAAAACTTACGTCAAATGAGTTTTGAAACCTCGTGCATAGTATTGAATGTGGAGGTACATTTTCTTAGTCACCCTTTTAAAAAATATCTGTTTACTGTCTAGTATATCTGTGTAACTTTTTGTATTAGAGATCACATTTGTACATAGCCACATGCTTTTTTTCTCTGTTTGTATTGAGACAGGGTCTCACACAAGCGCCCAGACTGTAATGCAGTGGTGCGATCACAGTTCACTGCAGCCTCAACCTCCCAGGCTCAAGCACTCCTCCTACCTCAGCCTCCTGAGAGTATCTGGGACTACAAGCATGTGCCACCACAACTGACTAATTTTTTTTTTTTTTTTTTTTGAGAGACGGGGTTTTGCCATGTTTCCCAGGCTGGTCTTGAACTCCTTGGGCTCAAGGATCTGCTCACTTCAGCCTCCCAAAGTGCTGGGATTACTGGTGTGAGCCACTGCACCTAGCACCATGTGCTTTTAACCCACACTCATGATAGTAGTTTAAATAGAAATTATAAACTGGGCTAAGCACGGTGGCTCGTGCCTATAATTCTAGCACTATGGGAGGCCCGGGCAGGAGCGGCACTTGAGGCCAGGAGTTTGAGACTACCCTGGGCAACATAGCAAGACCCTATCTCTACAAAAAATTTTAAAAATTAGCTAGGGATTGTGGGGTATGCCTGTAGTCCTAGCTGCTCCGGAAGCTGAGGCAGGAAGGTCAATTGAGCCCAGGAATACAAGGCTGCGGTGAAAGCTATGATCATTCCACTCGAGCCTGGGCAACAGAGCAAGACCCTGTTTTGTTTTTTTTTTGTTGTTTTTTTAAAGAAAGAAAGAAATTATAAACAAAATTAAACCATTTTATACCAAAATATTTTTATTATTTTGTATACTCAACATAATTTTAAGTTATTAGCTATATGAGTAATAGCATAAACCTCCTAGACTTATTCTAAGAGACTTAGTCAAGGGCAGATGAGTGGTAAACATTTTTATGGAAACAAATCCCTTTATTCCTATTTTTTGTTCCACATTTGTAGTATTTATTCATCCTTTCAGCAAATATTTGTTGATCCACTAAAATTCCGTGAATTAGGGTTATATTAGTGATCCCTGCATATTTTTAAAGTACAATAAACATCATTGCTCTTCAAATAACAAAGCATTATGGTTTATGTTGATTTTATTTTTCAGTGCCAGCTCCTGTTGAACATCAGATCTGTCCTGCTGTGTGTGTTCTAATGAAACTTTCATTTGATGAAGAGCATAGACATGCAATGAATGAACTAGGTAAGACAAAAATGTTTTTTAATGACATAGACAATTACTGGTGGATTTTTAAATCATGGTAGAAATTCAGTATAGTAAATAAAGATTTTTAATCATTGATGAATTAGGATATAAGGCCACCAACTTCTGTTATCAGCTGCTTCCTCTGTGTAGCAAAAAATTGTACCCTGGTTTCCAGCATAGAAAGGATCCTGAATCACAGAAACTGCTACCCTGTCATAAGCTAACTTTTTCAAAATCGAAGCCGGAGATTGAAAAAAAATGACAAAATGGGTCACTCTTTGTCCCTTTTGCCAAAGTAGACTCTATATGTGCCAGCTGATGAGGATGGTAATTTGAATTATTTTGAAATGTGGAGCTGCTGTATTGTGATTGAACTCAGTCACTTTTGATGAGCATCAGAGGGAATTATTATTAAGATTGTCATTTATCTTCATGGTTATTGGTACTTTACAGGATTTTCATCATAAGCAGCCTGGTATCTTTGAAATTGGTTAATATAGAAAAGTATTATGCTTTAAGTCAGAAACATTTCATTATAACTTTGGAATGATTACTTCTTTAGGTATGTATTTTCACACACTAAGCCTTATATAACCAGCAGTGCACTCCATTTTTTATGTAATGGTTTTTCTTTGATTTCTAGGTTCATTTTGTACATGTGGTATTTATAAATTGCATCATGCTGAACCATCTCATGTGAACTGGATCTCTCTAGTCATGCCACAAGCAAGAACCATACGCTTAATTCCCATTTTAGTGTAATTGTGCCCTTGCTTTTTGTGCCGTTTATGTTACATTATGTTCCAGCCACCACTTTATATTCCTATCCCCTCATCGTTTCATTCGTCATTTATCTTAAAAGTGATGAAGTCATGAGACTCTTACACAGAGAACCTGAACAGCCAAAAGTATTGTCTCCTTCAGAGTCATCACTTTGGGAGGCTCTGCACCTTAAGATTTCAGGCCTGCCCTCTGGCCATGCTTTCCTTCCTAGTGGTGTAGCAATTGGCCTACCTGATTCTCTTTCCTCCCCCTGGTCTCCTGTGGATTCTCAGTTAATCTTATGAATTCTCCCCTCGTTAATACAATCTCAGCATTTGTGAACATTTTAAATTTTTTAAAATGCTAATCATAACAGGAAGGGGATAAAAAATAATGAATAAACAGGAAAACATTCAGTTTTAAGATACCTCAAAAGTTATTCTGTAAATGTTCCTGTATTCCAATGGATTGTAGACTAGGACTGAGACATTAATCATCTGGATTTCAAAATAAAACCTAGACTCAGTATTTGTTCCTCTTCCTTCTTCAGGTAGGAAGGCTACCCGGGGCATTTCATCACAGGAGCTAGGGCAGGGGCTTTCAGGTGAGGAGCAGGATGGGGCCTCTGGGGGTGTGACTGCTGGGGACATAGCCACAGGGGATTACCTTCTTCTCACTCCTCACCTCCAGATTTGCACTGGGGCAAAAGGAGGATTAGGGTGTGTGGATTGCGGGGAGATAATAGTACAAGACAGCACAAGGTTTTGGCAGTAAGGGATAAGGAGAAAAGAAATCCCAAATAGGTAAAGGGGAATTCCTTAGTTCAGTCAGCTGGGATGGTCATTTGTACATATATGAAGATTCTACAGCTATCAGTCATTTAAGTTTGCACTTATTAGTATTAGAAGTTTTAGAATATAATTTCCATGATATATGTTTATTGATTCCCTAATCTACCCCAGAAACTGTGCTAGGCACTAGATTTTTATAATGATTAAGACCTGGTCCTGGCTTTCAGGGAACTCACAGTTTATTTGCATTAGTGTTTCACAAAATACCTAAATCATAATGATCACCCAGAGGCACTCGTCAAACTGGATTTTCTGGCACTGTAGCAAACAGAATCTCCAGGGGAAGGGCCTAGGAATCAATGTGATAAGTGGCCTGGCTGATTCTTATGTTCGGGAAATTTTGTGAAACACCAGTAGAATATTCTTGTTGAGCCTGTGATATTTATTTTAGAACAAGGCATTTCATGCTAATGGTGACTATCTAAACCAAATAAAACAAAAGCAATATGCTTTTTAAAATTATCAGTCTTTCTTTTGTTCATAAGAGTCTAAATTAAGGATTCTGTTGAATGTCACCTGAGTCTGTTGGTGCTCTACTATCGGTAGTTTTACCCTATTGGGCAATAGTCCGGTCTATTTAGACCACTGTTTTCTAACAGGCACCAAGAAAATTGTAGAAGGACATGTTCATCATCTTTGCATTACCATGAAACATCCTGATTTTTCTTAGAGCAACCAGTTTTTAATTGTATCAATCCAGTCATGAATTTGCATATTTTAGCAAATCCATTTATAGGTTTAACCTATGAATTCTATTCTGTGCCTCAAAATTCTCTGAAATCTTTTCATTTGCCTGAAATCAAAAAGCACTTCCTCTTTTATCTGATAGTCTAAATTTTTTTGAATGTTCTTTTTTTATTAGCCATGTTCTTCCTGAATCTGTTGATATCTGCCACATTCTTATTTAATCTTTATTTTCAGTATCAAATCCTAAGATTTTTAGTTTTTCCATACAAGAGTACTCAACTCTTTGATCATGTAGTGCCTTCTTGGCATCTTCTTTAGGTGCATTTTATCTTTCTTAAGAAAGTATCCCAGTTATTGTCACACCAGGCAAGATTTTATACAGACAAAAGGCATAGTTTGTTTTGTTTTGGTATTGATCCTCTGCTTTAAAATACTCGACATCTTGGGGATCTCATTAGTATACCAGGCCAAGTCTTAAGGTCTTCCCTGTCAATTTCATGGGTCAAAATTCTCAGTTCTTTTACAGGCTCCTTTTCTTTTACCCAAGTGTAAAATGGTGGAATTCCTTGAAGCTCTGCCCTAGGCTCTTTTCCTTTCTCTCTATGCTTCTGTTATAGTTTTTGTTTTTGTTTTCAAATTTACAGCTCAATTTGAGTTTTTTCCCTGAGTTTTAGACACATTATTGAACTGACTATGTGACATCTTCCCTTAGGTGGTATTTTAGACACTTCTAACTCAACTGTCACAAACTGAATTCGTAATCTTTCCCATCCCTGAATCTCTTATCTTTTCCCAGTTTCCTTTTCTCAGAAATTCCAATCCAGTTGCTCAAATTTCAAAATCTTGGAAATCATTCACGATGCCATCCTTATCCCCTGCAAATAGCAACTGACTGCTTTAATTCTGCTACTTAAAAGTATCTTATGTCATCACTCTTCTCTTCATCCCCAGTCCAAGCCACCATCGTCTCTCCTGTTCTACAATACTTTGTCTTACTTCTCTTCCCATTTCCACTCATAGTCGATTTTGTTCACTGAAACCATAGTAATCTGTTTAGAGTGTGCATCTAATTATTCCTTTTTCTGCGTAAAATCTTTAATGTGGCACATAAAGTCTTATGTGATCCGGCATCTACCCATGTTTATAGCCTCATTTTGTGGCCCTCTCCTTGCTGTTAAATATTTCAGGCCCAGGGGCCCTTTCACATGCTGTTTCCTTTGCTTAGAACGCATCTTTCTTCTTCCTGCCCCACCCTTGTTAGATACGCATTCATCTGGCCAGACCTGATGGCTCATGCCTGTAATCCCAGCACTTTGGGAGGCCGAGGCAGGAGAATCACTTGAACCTAGGAGTTCGCAACCAGCTCGGGCAACATAGTGGCACCCTGTCTCTACCAAAATAAAAATAAAAAGAAAGATACACATTCATCCTTTACGTTTCAACTTAAACATTAAAAGATTATTTCCTCAGCCTTTTTCTTATGGAGCCTAATCCCAGGTCTAAGTTAAGTCCACCTATTATATCACCCTGTGGTTCTACATAGTTCATCTATCTTTGCTCCAATCTGTACGCTCTTCATAAAGACAGTGACTGATTTTTGTTCACTGTCTCTGTATTTTGCCACTGTTGCAGGTGAATGGAGGAAAATTTTCCTAAATATGATTTGGATTTTCTTTAACCAAATTAATTTTCACTTACCTACATTCAAACATGTCTGTCATTCCTGCTAGTAATAAAGTTTTGCATAAATCTTCCTACATTTAAATCCCTTGGCTTGGAATTCTTGACCCACGACAGAACTTTGTTTTACAAACTTGCAGATTCTTCTGCATATTGAACTTCCCAGATCACTTATTAAAAATATTAACGTACTGGCTGTCTTGCAGATGAATGACCTAATTAGACTTGTAGTATCCAAGAATTGCCTGTTTATATTCATCTTTTTCTTTCTGAGTCCCGTGATGATTAATATTTGATGAATTATATTTTGAATAGCCTCCACATGCATTTTTCTCTTTTGTTCACTTCCTCACCATTTTGCTTCACTTTTTTTTTAACTGCTTCCTTTGTGTCTTTCCCATTCCTTTACCTTTGTTTTCTCCTTGACTTCCTATTGTTGGCCATTGTGGGCATTGTTTAGCATTTTCAGTGGAAAGAATCAGGGGAAAGAAAATACTAAATCTTAGTATAGTTAATATTTGATATTATCAACGAGAAGTAAGAAATGTTTTGAAAAACACAAATCAGTAGTTTTATATAACTTAATAAATTGAACAGATGATCATTTTTTGTAAAAAAAAAAAAAAACAAAACTTTTTAGTTTTTCTTCATGCACAGTTTCATTTAAAGGCATCCGTATTCCTAAGGGTAATTATTTGCCAAAAAAAAAAAATTAAAGTAGTTAGGCCACAGTGTATGACAATAAAGAGTGTTTATAAAGCCCTAATAATAATAATAAGTTACCTTTTTCTGCTTATGTTCACGAAGAACTAGTGTTAGAAAATAGCCTTCTTCACTGTTGGCAAGGTGCAGTGTATATGCAGTAAATAGAAAATAATTATTTCGCTCAGCAAGATAAGGGGCTGGGGGTGGAGAAACTGGCATAAAATGGAATAATTGTCAGTTGTACTTTATAAATATATTATACAGAAGTTCTTTATAACAGTTTTTGTAGCTTATAATTCTAAAGGCAAATTTAAACCATATATTCTCATTGATTGAGTTTTTTTTTCCTAGTATTTAAGTTACCAACTTGGTACCAGTTTGTTTTATTTTAGATGATTGTCTTTTTCCTCTTGCCCTTTTTAAATTAGGGGGACTACAGGCCATTGCAGAATTATTGCAAGTGGACTGTGAAATGTATGGGCTTACTAATGACCACTACAGTATTACACTAAGACGATATGCTGGAATGGCTTTGACAAACTTGACTTTTGGAGATGTAGCCAACAAGGTATGTTTTTATAACATGTATTTCTTAAGATAGCTCAGGTATGAGTTAATTTACTTTCATACAAATACATTTTACTGATTTTCTTTTTTTTCACTCTCCTCATTAAACAATGACTGATAAAAACCTGTGCTTCACATTCGCTTATCTTTACTCATTTGTTTGTCTTATGCCTAAACAAAGGCAAAGGTACATCTACAGATGGAACACAGTAGTGAATTTATGTAATTGCATTAAAAACACCATTCATAAGAATATACTTGTAGGGATCATTTCTGTGATCCATTACTAGAGAAGTTTAACTGTGTAGAATTAAAAAATAAAAGATAAAACACTTCCTAGGAATGGGATTAAAAATCTAAAAATTCTTAAGACCAAGGCAAGTGTTACACACACATTGATTCCATCCAAATAAGAGGCTTTACTCTAAAACCTGTTGCTTATCATTTCTCACCACTTATTCACTTTATTTCTCTAGTTTGACAAAGGAAGAACAGATAGCAAAGAATTAGGAGAATATTTGTCTTTTATTTAGGTAATCTTATTCTAGATTTTTTATGAGTGAAGTATCAGTTATGATTAAAACAAAATAATGAAAACTGAATTAGACATTTAGTAGCCAAAAATAAAGCTTGGCTTCAAGTTGTCTTTTTAATGATCCTCTATTCTGTATTTAATTTACAGGCTACGCTATGCTCTATGAAAGGCTGCATGAGAGCACTTGTGGCCCAACTAAAATCTGAAAGTGAAGACTTACAGCAGGTACTATTTAGAATTTCACCTGTTTTTCTTTTTTCTCTTTTTCTTTGAGGCAGGGTCTCACTCTGTCACCCAGGCTTAGAGGGCAGTTGTGCAATCTCAGCTCACTGCAACCTCTGCCTCCAGGGTTCAAGCAATCCTCCCACTTCAGCCTCTCGAGGCTGGGCCTACAGGTGCACACCACCATGCCAAACGAATTTTTGTATTTTTTATAGAGACGGGGTTTCACCACACCTGGGCTCAAGCAATCTGCCCACCTCAGCATCTCAAAATGCTGGGATTACAGGCGTGTGCCACCACACCCAGCTAATATCCTGATTTAGATTGTTGCTCAGTATTTAGTATCTCATGTATAAAAGATAGTTCCATTAACACTAGAAAAAGAAAAATAATTATATTGTGGTTAGACTGTAGGAAATCTTTTTGGCACTGTAGTAGCATTTAGGAGGAATTTAAAAAAAAAAAAAAAAACAGGATCTCCCTCTCTTGCCCAGGCTGGAGTGCAGTGGTGCGATTATGGCTCACAGTAACCTCAAGCTCCTGGGATCCTCCTGCTTCAGCCTCCCAAGTAGCTAGAACTACTGCAGGCGCATGCCACCATGCCCAGCTAATTTTTAAAAAGTTTTCATAGAGACAGGGTCTCACTGTGTTACCCAGAAGGTCTTGAACTCCTGGTCTCAGGAGATCCTCCTGCCTCAGCCTCCCAAAGTGATAGGATTACAGGCGTGAGTCACCACGGCTAGCCAGAATTTCTTTCTTAATAGATTTCTATTCTTACTGCTAGCATTAAAAACAAAAAAGCAACTAGTATGATTTTATGTATAAATTAATCTAAAATTGATTAATTTGCAGGTTATTGCGAGTGTTTTGAGGAATTTGTCTTGGCGAGCAGATGTAAATAGTAAAAAGACGTTGCGAGAAGTTGGAAGTGTGAAAGCATTGATGGAATGTGCTTTAGAAGTTAAAAAGGTACCTTTGAAAACATTTAGTACTATAATATGAATTTCATGTTTGGCTTTTTTTTGCTGCCTTCTTTTAGCCATGAGATTTCCTAATTTCTTACCTGTGTATTATTCAGTACTATAATATGAATTTCATGTTTAGCTTTTTTTGCTGCCTTCTTTTAGCCATGAGATTCCCTAATTTCTTTTTTGAGATGGGGTCTCTTTCTCTCGCCCAGGCTGGAGTGCAGTGGTCTGATCTTGGCTCACTGCAACCTCCGTCTCCCATGTTCAAGTGATTCTCCTGCCTCAGCCTCCTGAGTAGCTGGGATTACAGTGCACGCCACCACTCCCGGCTATTTGTATTTTTAGTAGAGATGGGGTTTCACCATGTTGGTAAGGCTGGTCTCGAACTACTCCTGACTTTGTGATCTGCCCAACTCGGCCTCCCAAAGTGCTGGGATTATAGGCGCAAGCCATCACGCCCAGCCTAGATTCCCTAATTTCTTACCTGTTTATCTCACCAGTCCATAGTTTTAGAGTACCGCAAACTCCTAAAGTACTAAGGTAGAAAAGATTATATAAGGGGATTTAATGTATATCAGGGTTTCTCTGCCTCAGCACTATAGACATTTTTGACCAGATAATTCTTCGTTTTGCTGGGGCTGACCTGTGCACTGTAGATTGTTTAGCAGCATCCCTGGCCTTTGCCAACTGGCTGCCAGTATACCCTCCCCCTAGTTATGCCGATCAAAATTGTCTCCAGATACTGTCAGATGTCTGTGGGAGGGAGGAAGGACAACGTCACCACCAATTAAGAATCACTGGTATAAGTGTACCTTTGTGCTCTCCAAACCTCAATCCCCTCAAATTTTGATGGTCAACTTATCAAGAGGTGATCAGAGCCAAGGGTGAGGAATCATCAAATAATAATTTGTTTACAGAAGGAAATATCTCCAGGCAGTCCATCTGCTTCAGAAACTAGGCTAAATTTAAAAAGAAAAAAAAAAGTAAACTTGAAATCTGAGAGGGACCAAGCAAGTTGTCTTAGCTAGTCTAGGTTTCCTTTCACCCAGCTAGTCCTCCTATACCCACAGCCTACATGTTCTTCTTCAAAACTTTCCTCTTCAGAGAAGGCAAAAGGTTTGTTTTTTTTTGGTTTAGTTATGCATTTTTGGTAAAGTATATTATTTTGTTCTTGGAAAACCCTTGAAAATTTATTAGATAGAAAAGCATTCAGCTAAATTATTAGTTATAAAGATAATATTCAAATATACTTAGCATCTGCATAAAAATACCTGTATCACTGTTGAATGGAGAGAAGACATTTAAGAAAAGAACATGGCCGATAAGCCCTTGAAAAGATACTTAATATCATTAATCATCAGGGAATACAAATTAAAACTACAATGAGATACCATTATGCATATCATATTGGTTAAAATTTAAAAGATTGACCATGCATTTTCAAGGATGTTGAGCAGCTGGAAATCATGTATTCTGCTAGTGGGAATATAAAATGGTATAATCACTTTGGACAACATTTGGCAGTGTTTTTAAGTTAAACATACACCTGCCATATGACCCAACCATTCCACTTCTAAGTATTTACCCAAGAGGAGCAAAAGTGCTGACACGAAGACTTACACACAAACATCCACAATAATTTATGATAGTCAAAAACTAGAAATAACTATGTCTGTCAGCAGGTGAATGGTAAGCAAATTGTGGAATATTTGTACAAAGTAATAGGATTCGGCTGTGAAAAAGAATGACTATTGATACATGCAGTAATCTGTAATGACAGAAAACAGATTAGTGGTGGCCTGGGGTTGGGAGTAGAAGAGAAGGGGAGGATTATGAGAGGGTAGGAAACTTTTGGGGATGATATAAATGTTTGTTATCTTGATTGGACTGGCAGTTTTATGGGTGTATACATGTATGAAAAATTATCAAATTGTAAACTTGAAATGTGTGCAGTTTACTGTTCTTCAATTATATTTCAATAAAGTTCAAAAAAATTAGTGCTTGCACACTTAAGTACTCCTACTCTAATAACCCTGTGTAGTTTCAGAAGGATTTAATGTGTGTGTGTATTATGAGAATTTGCACTGCTGCTAACTGGTTCATGACTTAATTCTCTCTCAAGGACCTAAACTCTTCTATAAATTTTTTTTTTTTTTGAGATGGAGTCTTGCTCTGCTGCCAGGCTGGAGTGCAGTGGCAGGATCTCGGCTAACTGCAACCTCCAACTCCCTGGTTCAAGCGATTATCCTGCCTCAGCCTCCCAAGTAGCTGGGATTATAGGCATGCGCCACCATGCCCAGCTAGTTTTTGTATTTTTAGTAGAGACGGGGTTTCACCATGTTGGCCAGGATGGTCTTCATCTCCTGACCTCATGACCCGCCTGCCTTGGCCTTCCAAAGTGCTGGGATTACAGGCATGATATAATGCATGGTCAATCTTGGAAAAACTAGCTGTCAGAAATTTATAATATCCAGTTCTGATTTGGGCCTAATTCTGGTTAGCAGTATTAGAATTTATTTATTTTTTCCCTCTTTTTCTACATTTAGTGCAGCAGTCATGAACATTCTTCTTCTCTTTTTCATTCAATATCAATTCCCTCTCAACTTCAGCTACTAATGAGCAAGAGAATCAGAACTACCTTCTAGCTCCCCTGCATGTTCCACATCACTTTAACTCACTCAGAGCTCTTACTCTAGAGCTTTCCTTTACCAGCACTCTGTACTCCGTTCACTTAAAGCTGTTGGTCCCTTACTCTTGTCTTCTACATATTCTCTACTGGATCCTTCTTTTTTATGTTTCAGTTCTCTAGAAGAAGCCCAATGTTTTGAAAAACAAAAATTTTCTGTGGCTTCTATTACAGTGTTTCTCTTTTCCAGTAACAACCAAAACCCTGAACAATGGTTTTGACCAAATACCTTTGTGTATCAGAGTGTTTCTGGGGCAGTTACAATTTGACAGTTGACTTTGACTTGCTTCATTTCTAAACTGGCTGTACTATCTTGAGTTCCTCCTAATTTTGCTTCTGACACAACCCTTCTCCTTGATCATAGAATCTAGATTTGTAGATTTATTTAAGTTTTTCTATTCTACCTTCACCTGTATTTTATACTTTTTGGTCACTCACTTTTGCTGTTACTACTTGTATTAATAACCTCTAATTATTTATTTTGTGTCTTCTAATTTGAACTATAAAAACATTTTTGAAACAAAACCTCTGGCCCTTGACATGTAGCCCCACAGAGAGGAACTTTTGTATTTTTCTACCTTCAACTCTCAACTCTGGGCCAGTTGCATCTTAATTCAGTCCTTTAAATTCTTGCTTTTTTTGTTCTCAGGATACTTGGAGTGCCCCACCTTTATCTCAGTCACAATGTAATTAAAATTGGGCTCATCTTGATTGATGTGAGAAGGACAAAGGCACTTCTTGCATAAAAGCACTCTATCTGCCTCCTACCACTTATGTGACAAATTATGTCTAAACCTGCTCCTAGATTGTTTTGTTCACTTAATTTCTTGATGAAGAGAGTAAAGTAGCTATTTATTGGGTTAGACCCAAAATGTTTGCTGTGACATTCAAGGCCTGGCTTTTGTCTCTCTGGACTTATTTTCCACTGTTCCCCATCATGGACTGTGATCTCCTTTGCATCTTCTTTCTGGGTCATCAGTACTCCCGCGCTGATTCCCACTTCCCTGCCTTTCCTCATTCTACTTCCCCTGCCAGCAGCAACTGGATTCTCTTCTCTGGGAATGTACAGGTCTAATCCTCCTAAAGAGCTGTTCTCCTCCATGAAATATTTGATTGATTTGATTAAATTCAGGGTGTAATAGTTTTTTCTTTGGAGCACTTTGTTTCATGTATATTTTTGTATCTTTTTTTCCCCCCAAAGCAAATTGCTAACACCTTCAATCACTGGTATCAGTTTGCTATGTTTGCATCCTCTAGAGTGCCTCTCATTGCAATAGGCACAGAGTTGATTTCTAATTAATGTTTGTTTCCTGATGGATATATAGTAAGAAGACAGATTGACATCACCATCATGCCAAGTTTTGGGTTTGGGTTTTTTTTTTTTGCTTTTGCTTTTGCTTTTGCTTTTTTGAGACAGGGTCTCACTCTGCCACACAGCCTTGACCTCCTGGGCTCAAGCTAGCCTCCCGCCTCAGCTTCTCAAGTAGCTGGACCTATAGGTGTGCACCACCATGCCTGGCTAATTTTTTTTTTTTTTTTTTTTGAGACCGAGTCTCGCTCTGTCACCTAGGCTGGAGTATAGTGGCGCAATCTCGGCTCACTGCAACCTCTGCCTCCCTGGTTCAAGCGATTCCCCTGCCTCAGCCTCCCAAGTAGCTAGGATTACAGGTGCCCACCACCACACCGGGCTAATTTTTTGTATTTTAGTAGAGACAGGGTTTCACCATGTTGATCAGGATGGTCTCGATCTCCTGACCTCGTGATCCGTGCACCTTGGCCCCTCAAAGTGCTGGGATTACAGGCATGAGCCATTGCGCCTGGCCGCCTGGCTACTTTTTATATTTTTTGTAGAGATTGGGTATTGCTGTGTTGCCCAGGCTGGTTTTTAACTCCTAGGCTTAAGTGATCCACCCACCTCAGCCTCCCAAAGTGCTGGGCCTGAAGGCATGAGCCACCACACCCAGCACATGGCAAGTTTTGACCAAATACCTTTAATTGTGTATCAGAGTGTTTCTGTGGCCATTACAATTTGACAGTTGACTTTGATAATTGTATGTTAGGGAGTTCCAGGTTTTCATAATTTGTTATGTGGGGAATTTTAAGAAATTATAGCTTTTCTAGTACCCTTTATTGTTTTTATAAATTACATTGTTAATTTTGAATCAACCACTTGTATATAATGCTTTTTATATAAACAGAATATTGTATATACTACACTGCAACTTGCTCTTGTCATTTAATAATACTTCCAAGATATCTTTCCATATCTATGTATGGTTTACAGAATTTTAAAAATCTACTTTCTTTTTTTTTTGAGACAGGGTCTCACTGTCAACCAGGCTTGAGTGCAGTGGCGCGATCATGGCTTACTGCAGCCTTGACCTCCCAGGCGCAAGTGATCCTCCCAAGCAGCTGTGACTGCAGGCGCGTGCCACCATACCCAGCTCATTTTTTTTTTATTTTTTGTACAGACGGGATTTCACCATGTTGTCCAGGCTGGTCTCAAATTCCTAAACTCCCAGTCACGCCAGTCAGCCTTCCAAAGTGCTGGGATTACAGGCATGAGCCACCACGTTGCGCCTTTTTTTTTTTTTTTTTTTTTTAAAAAGAGTTTCGCTCTGTCAGCCAGGCTAGAATGCAGTGTTGCAGTCTCGGCTCACTGCGACCTCTGCCTCCCAGGTTCAAGCGATTCTCCCACCTCAGCCTCCCAAGTAGCTGGGATTACAGGCACCTGCCATGAAGCCCGGCTAATTTTTTTTTGTATTTTTGTAGAGACGGGGTTTTACCACATTGGCGAGGCTGGTCTTGAACTCCTGACCTCAGATGATCCACCCGTCAGCCTCCCAAAGTGCTGGGATTACAGGCATGAGCCACTGTGCCCGGCCACATGCCGGGCCTTAATCCACTTCCTGTTCACTTTTTTTTTTCTTTTTTCAAGCAACCCCAGCCTGAGAATAACCCACATTCTATTCTGAAAATGTTTTCTTTTCATAATGCACATCAGTTGTGCCTCATATTCTAAGATGTGTGTACTATCTAAACACTTAGAATAAAGTTTATAAAAGTCATTAGTTAAATATTGTGTTCTGCTTGTTTTATAGAGATATCACTGATATAAATACTATTTGGTATTTTATGAACATTTTTCTAAATGGAAAGTTCTTAATTTACCAGTGAGGGACGGGCAATAGGATAGATTAAAAAATAGCTTTTATTCAATATCAGTAACATAGAAGTTAATGAGAGACAAATTCCAACTCTAATTAGATGACCCATATTCTGTTTCTTACTAGGAATCAACCCTCAAAAGCGTATTGAGTGCCTTATGGAATTTGTCAGCACATTGCACTGAGAATAAAGCTGATATATGTGCTGTAGATGGTGCACTTGCATTTTTGGTTGGCACTCTTACTTACCGGAGCCAGACAAACACTTTAGCCATTATTGAAAGTGGAGGTGGGATATTACGGAATGTGTCCAGCTTGATAGCTACAAATGAGGACCACAGGTATATATAGAGTTTTATATTACTTTTAAAGTACAGAATTCATACTCTCAAAAAGACCTAATTGTAAGCAATGTTTTATATAATCATGAAAGTTTTAAGCCAAAATATATTTATTACTGTGAAAAGATAACTACTAACTCTTAGTTTAACTCATTAGTGTACTTAATGTAATAACAGTTTATAGTATTATAGAGGAGACTAAATTAAGCAAATTATAGTTGAGAGGTGTAGCCCATAGGTGGAGGAAAAAATAGTCACAAATATTGTAACAAAATAATCCATTTCTATTAGTATAGTATAAAAGAGTATGAAAACAAAATTTAGAACAAGACAAAAACTATGAGCGTGATCCAGAGAATATAAAGGTTCACATTTTTCTAATGATGTCTTAGTATCCATAATAATAATTTTTTTTTTTTTTTTTTGAGACAGGGTCTCACTCTGTCTCCCAGACTGGAGGGCAGTGTTGTGATCTTGGCTCACTGCAACCTCCACCTCCTGGGTTCAAGCGATTCTCCCACCTCAGCTTCCCAACAAGCTGGGACTACAGATGCACGCCACAACACCCGGCTAATTTTTCTATTTTTTGGTAGAGATGGGGTTTCACAATGTTGTCCAGCTGCTCTTGAACTCCTGGCCTCCAGTGACCCACCTGTCTCAGCCTCCCTAAGTGCTGGGATTACAGGTGTGAGCCACCGCGCCCGGCCAATAATCATAATATTATTTAGCTAACAGCCATTCATCCAATCTGCTAGAGTTGTAAAACCCAAGAGAGTGCTTCAGATACAGGGCACACATTTTCAGAACTCGGATGCTGTATTATATCAACAAAAATACAACTGTCTTTTTTTTTTTTTTTTTTTTTTTTTTCTTGAGATGGAGTCTTGCACTCTTGCCCGGGCTGGAGTACAGTGGCACAATCTTTGCTCACTGCAACCTCTGCCTTTGGGGTTCAAGCGATTCTCCTGCCTCAGCCTCCCGAGTAGCTGGGATTACAGGTCCCCCCCCCCCCCCGCCACCGTGCCCGGCTAATTTTTATATTTTTAGTAGAGACGGGGCTTCACCATGTTGGCCAGGCTGGCCTTGAACTCCTGACCTTAGGTGATCCGCCCACCTCGGCCTCCCAAAGTGCTGGGATTATAGGCATGGGCTACTGCGCCTAGCCAAAAATATGGTTGTTTTTTATAGCTTATTCATTTTTTAAGTCTGTGATGCAGAAACTACAAGCCTAGTCTCCCTTTCTGCTATACAGAGAAGATTTCTTAAGTCCAGTAACTACTGGACTGCTAAGAGAAGACGACCATGTTAAAGCTCATTATGTACCCTTGCCATTCAGTTTTAAAGCCCACTAAAGCTGAATATGCTGTCATTAATCTTCAGTTTGCCTGCGTTAAACAAGCTGTTGCTCTTTCATGTCCAGAGTTCATTATGCTGATTCTCACTCCTTGTTTTTATATGCCTTAAATGTTTCAAAAACTTTAATTTACTTGATTTTTTAAAAATAATAAGCACACAGTCTGCCAAAGAGCAGTTTTTCTTTTCTTTTTTTTCTTTTTTTTGAGATGGAGTCTCACTCTGTTGTCCAGGTTGGAGTGCAGTGGTGTGATCTCGGCTCACTGCAACCTCTGCCTCCCAAGTGATTCTCCTGGCTCAGCCTCCTGAGTAGCTGGGACTACAGGCATGCACTACCATGCCCGGCTAATTTTTGTATTTTTAGTAGAGACAGGGTTTCACCATGTTGGCCAGGCTGGTCTTGATCTCCTAATCTCAGGTGATCCGCCTGCCTCAGCCTCCTAAAGTGCTGGGATTACAGGCATGAGCCACTGTGTCTGGCCAAGAGCACTCGTAAGAAGGATGGCAGTATCACAAAATCAAGCCAGAGATACAGAGATTACTCTAAAAAGTAAGTGTTCT